>NC_000004.12:152557744-152860774 GCF_000001405.40 Homo sapiens | reverse complement strand
GTTTCCTTTTTCTAGCTAAACAAATATCTGTCCAGTTAGTGACTAATTTATTATTGGAAATAAATTAAACGGAGGGGATTGTGTCTGGGAATGGCTCCTTTATCCTGTAGTTCTCAAACCTGGGATTTCATCACACTGGCAGTGAGATGTGTGTAAAGTGATTTGTTACTAATAGTAGTTGAAAGCAAAACACTTATCAACTTCAGTGTGTAAAGTATTTATATTACGGTAGGTTCAAGGTAATCTCTGTGACTCTTTTGTTGCATTTTAGTATGCTTTTTGGACTGAGAGATACAGGGTGGAGTTTCAGAAGGCAAACAAAATTGTTTAGCACTTTGGACATCAGTGAAAATGTCTGAGAACTGGCTCTGATTTCAAATGCATCCATTATTTCAAAAAAATAATACCTAGCAATCATTTGATGAGGCAGTTTGATATAATGGATGCAATGTGGGCTCTGAAGTCAGCTCAGATATACCTGAGTTTGAATCCTGGCTTCAGTCACTTAATGGCTGCATAACCCCAGGCAAATAGTCTGAATTGCTGAGATTCTTCACTGTAACATGATAATGTTAAGGGATAATTATTCTTACTTCATAGACAACATACAAAAAGTACACTACAACATCTGGTACTTCAAGTATTAATGTCTTTCTCCTTCATCCCAATTTTTAAATAGAACTCTTCTGGAGACTAGAAGTTGGAATGATGAAAGATTATTTTCTTATATGTAAAACTGACCATTATATCTAAGAATGTATTTTCATATTACTTAGGATGAGTGATTTTTATTTTTTGAGTGACAAAGTCATGAAATTATAAGTATTTCCACCCTTATTATACTTACAACCCCATCTTAATTATATTAGAGCATGCCTAGATGGGAAACTAACCATATAATTAACTTCTGATATCCAGTGACTTTAAACAGGGCAACTAGATAGAATTTACAAGTCGGAGAGATCTGTTTTAAAATTTATAAAACGACACCTTTAGTAGAAATAGAGTTTCTGAGTAAGAGACCAAAAACTGTGGGAAAAAAGACATGCTTTAAAGGGAAGGTGATGAGTTTGATACAAAAAGTAAGGAATATACAGAGTACAAACCAAAAAATGCAAGAAAAGCCCAGCTGGAAGATCATTAAAAATAAGTACCTTCAGTAGGGATAGGAATGTTTTCATAAACAAAGAAAGGCTGCTAAAGAGAATTTGAAAGATAAACTGGTCTTTGAAACAGTCATTGGAACACTTGTGAAAATCCTCAAAAGACTACAAGCTTGGGTATTCTGAAGAACATCACTCTATATTCAATAAATGAGGCATCTGAGGAATTCTAGACCTCAAGACATGATTGGTTACCTACTGTACATAAAATCCAAATCAAACTCTTTCTTTCAAAGAGATAAACTGGTCAGGCATGATGTGATGGCTCACACCTGTAATCCCAGCACTTTGGGAGGTTGAGACAAGAGGATCGCTTGAGCTCGGGAATTTGAGACTAGCCTAGGCAACATGGCAAAACCCCAACTCTAAAAAAATACAAAAATTCAGCTGGGCATGGTGGCATGAGCCTATAGTCCTAGCTACTTGGAAGGGTGAGGTGGAAGGATGGCTTGAGCCCAGGCGACGGAGGCTGCAGTGAGCCAATTGGTGCGACTGCCCTGTAGACTGGGCAGCAGAGCCAGATCCTGCCTCAAACAAAAACAAAAACAAAAAACAAAAAAGAGAGATAAACTAGTATGTCTCTTATAAAGGAAAAGAAAAATATTGGTCTTGGGTCTCAAATGGGTCTCTCAAAACGTTAGATTTCCTACTAAAAGTCTTTTTACCATCTGGTTTGGATATGAGGTTTGGATCAGAGATTTACAGCGCTTGCTCCTTTAAAGATAACATACAACATAGCAATCCCCTCCAACCCCCACAAAAGAAATCCCTATTCCCCTTACCTTGTTCTATTTTTCTCATAGCAATGACCACTAAGTGATATATTATGTGTATATTTGTTTATTTTTGTGTCCCCTCACTATACTATACATCATGACAGCAGGGTTGTTGCCTATTTTGTTTACTGCTATATACCCAGCACCTGAAATAGTACCTGAGATATAGGGGGATCAAATAAATATTTGAATAGATAAATAATGAATTTGTTGAATGAACTAAAGGATTTATGATTCAATGCCATGTAGATTAAGAAGCTGCAATAATAACGGGTTTATTTTGAAATATAATTTAATGTATATTTGCTTATTCTTACATTAGACTTTTTGGTCAGAGAAAGAGATAAGGTACACTCCTTGCCATCTCATTGGAGACAAGATAGACATTAACATAAAAATTGAACATGGTGCCAAAGTAAAAACACTAAGTATCAGAAGAATTCAGAATAGACTAAGTCCATAAAAAACAAAATAGGAAGGAAGGAAGTACTGCCTGAGCTATGGAACATAAATTATTTATTTACTTATTTTATTTTACTTTTTTGAGATAAGGTCTGGCTCTATCACCCAGGCTGGAGTGCAGTGGTGTGATCTGGGCCCACTGTAACCTCCACCCCCTGGGCTCGAGCCATCCACCCACCTCAGCCTCCCGAGTAGCTGGGATTACAGACATGCACCACCACGCCCAGCTAATTTTTGTATTTTTAGTAGAGATGGAGTTTCGCCATGTTGCCCCAGCTGGTCTCAAACTCATGAACTCAAGTGATTCGCCCGTCTCAGCCTCCCAAAGTGGCGGAATTGCAGGTGTGACCCAACAGGGGTGGCTTATTTATTTACTTATGTATTGAATCAACATCTAATGACCACCAACTTCATGACAGCCACTGCTCTAGTCACTACTGACACGGCAGTGAAAGAAAAACAGATAAAGTCCCTGCCCACATAGACTGATGTTCTGGGGGGTGGGGACATAGGAAGGGAGGAGATTGATAGTAAACAAACATAGGTGGTAACAAGTCCTGTAATTAAGTAATAAACAAGTAAATAAGTTTTTGTTTTTAAAGGCAGGATAAGAGGGATAGAGAGTGACAGATAAAGGTTGCCACTTCAGATGCAGTATTTGGGGAAGGTCTCTCTGATGAGATAAATTGTGAACAGAGTCCTGAACAAAGTGAGAGAGTAATAAGCTGGGTTGCTGAGGGACTGGTGTTATTTAACTAAACTGTGCTAACTGAAATTAATGTATATTGGAACTATACAAAGCAAGAACTGTGTATATATTACCTCATTTAATCTTGACAAACACTTGAAGTGCTTTCACTCCCATTTTACAGATGAGAAAACTGGGACACAGAAGTGTGTCATTTTGATATTAACTAGCAATATGGTTAGGACTAAGCCTCCAGAAACGATATTAACTGTAATGTATGATAAATGTAAGCAGCCATAGGCAATTTATTGGAGACTTAGAATTTATTTTAGTTAGTATGTTTTCTAAAAGATTTATTTAAATAAATAGCTTTAAAAAAACATTATTTCAGAACCTGCTTCGGTTTAAGCGCACTAATAGAAATATGTTCTCAAACTGTAATTTCCTACTGGTACAAAACAGATGAACTGCCTTTATCCCATTCACTCATTTCCTAATATCACTTAAAACCTCTTGTCACAGGACAACGCCCTTCAACTACATATTGTTTTAAAGAACACTTAGAGAGTCAAAAAGAAAACATTCCTTACACTCAATTTTTATTTACTTCCTATTTTTAAACCGAGTCTCCAAGTCTGTTCATTTCACTGAATAAGTGACCTTTAACTTTCCCAGTTAGTTTTCAATATCTAAAATCAATGGTTTCCAGTTTTAAATATTAGCATTCCTTTCATTCATATTTATATTACTAGAATCTTCCCTCTCTGAAAGACAAAATAAAATGCTGTCAAATCACTGAAATAATTTGTAAACTTTGCAAGTTTGGTCATTAGGTCAACTATTTTTGGAATGGCTTCCTTGAATGTTGCCTTGCTTAAGTCTTGACAGCTTTTCAGTGGCTTATGTTTTAGTGAGTATAACAGCTTTCCTTAAGGAAAAAAGTACCAAAACACCCCTCAAAATACAAAAAATGTAAGAAAACCCTAACATCTGAACACAAACAACATACAAATGGCACAGGATTGTCCTTTGGAAGTTTGGTTCCAGGATCCCTTGGATACCAAAATACATGCGGATGCTCAAGTCCCTTATATAAAATGCCTAATATTTGCCTATACTCTATACACATCCTCCCCGTATACTTTAATCTCTAGATTACTTAAAATACCAAATACAATGTAAATGTCATGTAAATAGTTGTTATACTATATTGTTTTTAAATCTGTATTATTTTTAATTGTATTGTTATTTTTCATTTTATTTCATTTTCCCCAAACATTTTCAGTGCAGTTGGTTGAATCTGTGGATGTGGACCCTGGGATACAGAAGCTGGGATAAAGACAGCTGACTGTGTAGGTCCAGAATGGTTATGTTAGATGTATCCTTGGAACTTTATCAGAAAGAACAACACTCATCTGAATCATTCTCCTGTCATAGAATATTGTGTAAATTTCTGGAAAAGAGATATAATAGCAGTACTATCTGAGAGGAGGGGAGCTAAGTAATGTGTTATTAAATAGTACATATGATAGATAATTCTGATTACCTAACTTTTCAAGCAGTTATAGAGATACCTTTCATCTTGTCACCTATGGCCTCTTAGAAAAGAAAACTTAAGAGAGGGGCTTCAAGATGGCTGATTAGAGGCATTTCGCACTCCCTTCCTCCATTAAGAAGAACCAAAAGAGTAGATATCACACCTCGAATACATCATCCAAGAGAGACCACTGGAATCCAACAGAAAAGTGACAGGAAATATCTAAAGCAAGGAAGGAGAAGGAAGCAAGGCAACCTGCTCTGCCAGGATCAGCTGGGAGGCAAAGGGAGACTTCCCAATATGGGAAAGAGGTAAATGACAGACCCTAAGAAGTCTACATTCCCACTGTGGACTCTTGCAATCCTAGCTACAGGAGAGCCCCTGGACCCTCATGGGCCCTGAAACAAATGCAGGGAGCTGCCAGGAGATTGTGTGATGGCACTGCCCCAGAAAGGAAGCTCACTCTGGGTCCCACATGCTCCCTGAGATCTAAGCAGATACGGCAAGGTGCCATTTCAGAGCTCTGCTCCCAACAGATCTCACACTGTCCTGAAAAACAAGAGAAGCATGGGCTGCAGGCCCTAGGACTTAGGTGCAAGTGATAGCAGACTACTGTATCCAGGGCTGAGGCACAAGCACTGCAGGGGCCGAGATCTAAGGGGCATAGATGTTCTCTATCCACCAGCCTAGGCTGCCGCCAGTCACTAAAGGCAGCACCACCCTCTCCAGTGGAAGTGCAGAAGCACAGCTGTTGCCACCTCCTACTCACGCATTCTGCACCCCACCCCTCCCCACCACAGCTAGCACACCTGTACACACCATGGGGGGCCTGAGGACATGCCTACCCAACCTGGCTTCCCCACCCCCCGCAGCTGTGCCAGAACACATAGTCTGGGGGCCACAGCATTGCCCAGCCCAGTCCACTACCACTGGCACCTGAACACTCTTCCAGAGGACCTGAGGTTGGACTACCCACTCAGCTGCTACCACCTCAGCTGGCACCTAGTTGCATGCACTCCCTGAGGACCTGGAGACTGGTCCGCCCAGCCCATCACAGCCACTGCCAATACCCATGCACACTACTCAGGACCCAAAGGGTCGTCTGCTACTGCCACTGCCATTGCCCATGCTATGCTAGCTGCCTAGAGGTCCAAGAACCTGCCCACCTGCCTGGCCCACTGCCGCCACTACTGGCATCCAAGTAAGCCATCTGGAGGCCCAAAAATCCACTCGCCTGGACCCATTAACACTGGTGCCGGCATATACCACCCTGGGGCCAAAGGACAGGCATGCTCAGCCCACCACTGCTACAACTGGGGCCCAAAGAGTGACCTATCTGACATCTAAAGCAAAACTTCACCACAGCTTCCACTAATAACTGTACACTTAATCCACTGAGGAAAATCACAGATACCACTAATGCTGTATACAGCCAAAGAAATTATACAGAGAGTACACTACTGCTTGCACAAGAATCAAAGTCAAAGTAGCCTACTCACCCAATAGCATAGATACAACTTCAGGAAAAAGTCCTCCCCTACAATAGCAAATTCAAACTAATGGAGAAACGATTACACCAGATATCAATGTAAAGACACAAAAAACATGAACAAGCAAGGAAATATAATACCTCCAAAGGATCACAATGATTCTCCAGCAACAGATCCCAACCAAAAAGAAATTCAGGAAACCTTGGAAAAAGAATTCAAACTACTGATTCTCAAGATGAAGATACAAGAGAATTCTGAAAAACAATAGAGAGAAATCAGAAAAACAATTCAGGATATGAATGAGAAATTTACCAAAGAGATAAAGATCATAAAAAAAGAACCAAACGGAAATTCTGGAATTGAAGAATTCATTGCTTGAAATACAAAATACATTCAAAAACTTCAATAATAGACTAGCTCATGCAGAAGAAAGAATCTCAGAACTTGGCTGAGTGCGGTGGCTTATGCCTGTAATGCCAGCACTTTGAGAGGCTGAGGCAGGTGGATCACCTGAGGTCAGGAGTTTGAGACGAGCCTGGCCAACATGGTGAAACCCCGCCTCTACTAAAAATACAAAAATTAGCTGGGTGTGGTGGCACGTGCCTGTAATCCCAGCTGCACAGGAGGTTGAGGCAGGAGAATTGCTTGAACTCGGGAGGTGGAGGTTTCAGTGAGCCAAGATCGTGCCCCACTGCACTCCAGCCTGGGTGATAGAGTGAGACTCAGTCTCAAAAAAAAAAAAAAAAAAAAAAAGAATCTCAGAACTTGAAGACAGGTCTTTTGAAAGAACCCAATCAGAAAAAAATAAAGAATAAAAAAGAATGAGGAAAGTATTCATGACATGAGACAACATAAAGTGACCAAATATTCATATTATCGGGGTCCCAGAGGGTGAAGAGAGAATGAAAGTGTTAGAAAACCTATTTAATATAACAATAAATGAAAACTGTCCAAGTCTAGCAAGAGATTTAGGCATCCAGATACAGGAGGCTCTCAGATCACCAAACTGATACAATACAAAAAGATCTTCTCTATGGCACATTATAGTCAAAAAGTCTAAAGTCAACAATAGAGAATTCTAAAAACAGCAAGAAAAGTGTCTAATCACCTATAAAGGAACCCCCATAAGACTATCAGTGGATTTCTCAGGAGACAGAAGCCAGGAGAAAATGGTATGACATATTTGAAGTATAGAAAGAAAAAAACTGTCCAGCCAAGGATACTATATCCAACAAAATTACCAGAAGGAGAAATAAAGTCTTTCCCAGATAAGCAAAAGCTGAGGTAATTCATCACCAGTAGACAGGCACTACAATAAATGCTCAACGGAGCGCTAAACCTGGAAGCAAAAGGGCAACATTTACCATCATCAAAACACATGAACATACAAAACTCACAGGTAAAGCAAACACATAAATGACAAAGAGAAAAGACTCAAACGGCACCAATACAGAAAACCACCAAACCATAATGAGAAACAATCAGGCAAAAAGAAAGGAACAAAGATTATACAAAATAACCAAAAACCAATTAACAATATGAGAACAACAAAACATATCAATAAAAATCTTAAATGCAAATGGAGACAACTGTAGCTGAGGACATTACAGTCACTCAAATCCCTCCCTACTGTCTGCTGGGGTTCTTTACTAAACAAACAAAAGTTCTTCCAGAAGAAAACTCTACTGTCCTATAGGTAAAACAGGTGTAAAATCTGAAAATCACTAAGGCCTTCCTATGCCTAAGCTGCTACTAACAGAAGGAGCCTAACCAAAAATGATACAAATAGGTTGAATTCCAATTCTGAAGAGAACTATCATTCTGATGTGGTTTGGCAGCTAAATGAAACACAAAATAATAGGGGCTATGTGAGACGAATTTATGACTTGTGAGATAATACTAGGGATTTTATGAGTTTGTTGTTTTCAATAAAATACTCATTCTCTAAGTAATATTATATAGCCTCACAGTTCACCAAAATTTTAAATGTGCTTTCTTTACATAACCCGAAATTTTTTTTTTTTTTTGAGACGGAGTCTCGCTCTGTCACCTGGCTGTAGTGCAATGGCGTGATCTTGGCTCACTGCAACCTCCGCCTCCCAGGTTCAAGCAATTCTCCTGCCTCAGCCTCCTGAGTAGCTGGGAATATAGGCACACGCTGCCACACCTGGCTAATTTCTTTTGTATTTTAGTAGAGACAGGGTTTCACCGTGTTGCCCAGGCTGGTCTCGAACTCCTGAGCTCTGACAATCCGCCCGCCTCAGCCTCCCAAAGTGCTAGGATTACGGGCATGAGCCACCGCGCCTGGCCAACCCTTAAATTTTTTAAGTGTATCAGTTATATAAGTCTGTGCCTAGCTTAGCAACTTATAAAGTATCTGCTACTGAATTTACTCCTATATTTTCCAGACTATATTTCAGAGACAATGGACCCATTTATAATTAACAACATAAAATTCCTAATTTGCATTTTTATGTTGCTGACATTCAATTCAAAGTTTAACACTTTGCAAGGCCAAGCTTAACAAGTGTATAATAAAATGGGATAAACCTGAGTTAACCTTTTATTCAAGCTTTTAGCATAATGCTTGAGTATTTAATAGTTTTTAAAAATATTTTTCAAACAATTAAGCTAAAACAAAATATGCTTTTGGCAAAAGCTCCAAATACATTTTTGTACATTTTAGGTACTTTTAAAAGAATACAAAGTAATATTTGTAGTAATAGCTTTCATAAAGCTGTGAAAAATAACGTCTCCATTTTGCATATTTTAATAGAGGTTACTATAATTATGACATTAAAAACATAAGTTTAGAACTTAAAATTTAGCATGGTAATACTTTTGAACTGTAGTGTAAAACCAACACATGAAGAACACAAAATGTTCAGTAAATTTGTTTTAAAATATATATCCTTGAGAATGTCCTAAGTCTCACTCCTCTTTTGCCCTTGATGACTGAACTTGTTTCCCATGTCTCTAGTACTGTCAGTCCCGCAATCAATTCTTCAAACTAGACAGAGACAGTTTTCTAAAATGTGAACCCAACTGAGACACTCCCATTTTTATAGCATTTAGTGGCTCTCCATTGCCTTTTAGGTAAAGACTAAACTCTTCAATATGGTTTTCAAGGTTTTGCAGGATCTACTATCTACTTATCTCTCTAGCCTCATTTCTCACACACCTGCCCTCACATTCTCCATTCCAACAACATGAATTTCCAGTTCTATGGTCTCACACTTCCTTCGGGTTGTTACAGTTGCTTCTGATGAGAATATTTTTCACCCTTTATCTGGCTAGGTCATCCTTCAGACCTCAGCTTATATAGTAATCACTCAGGTAATCTTTCCATGCTCCCACCAGTACTCAGACCATGCTATACTTGGCCTAGCACAACATTTTTCACATGGTATTAAAATTAATTTGTCTATATCCTCTCTTCCCATTCCGAAGACCATATGCTAAGATCAGGAAGCTTATCTATCTTGTTCACCACTTGTATTCTTGACATCTAGCAGAGTGTCTATTACTTCATTTGGCAAGAAATTTTCTCAGTAACATCTCATGCTTCAAAAGGGACAAAACCTTCCAAAGCATCTACATAATAAATTTTTTAAAGAAACAAACTAAAACACTTATGTTAAATGTTTGATGAATTCTGTTAATTTAAAATCTCCTTTGTTAGTTTAACAGTTAGCTGTCTATAAAAAGTATCTGCCAGAAGCAAAGCTATTATTACAACAGCCTCCACATCCCCAGTTCTGTAACACTATTAACCCCCCTTAAGTGGCCTCTCTGCTTCTCCACAATTATCTTGAGTTTTATAAAACTGATTATCTTCCAACATTCTACTTATCAATATTCTATTGTTAGAAGGCAGGGTCAGCATTTTCTAAACTCTCTATTGGTACTTCTAAACAACCAGTTCTCAAACCTTAATTTCAGTAGGAATCACCTGAGGATCCTGTTAAAAATGCAGATTGCTCTTAGCTGTGTGGTGATTCTCACTGAGTTGGAATGTGAAGCCCAGAAATCCGAATTTCAAAACAAGGAAATCAGGTGATTCTGATGCAGGCGATCCTTAGTCTATTTTGAGGAACTGTTGTAGAGAACTGCTTTCCATTCTTGTGCAACTCTGCCCCTACCCAACCCCCCCGTTTCCTGTGTGTCACCTTCCTCACTGCCCTCGTCCCCACCTCAACATTGTCATCTACCTTCTTTCCAGTCAATTTCAAATATTTATTGAAGACTTTGGCACATCTAGGGCTTCTGCTTTATCCCTAACTCTCACCATTAAACTGGGTGTTTCTAACCTTTTGCATGTTGGTGGGCACATTTTCAGGAAATGATTATAGATGTTCAGTTAGCAATTCCTTCCAAGCTGATATATTCGCTGTCTAGGCTGAAAGTTTTCACCGATCATTAAAAATACAGTCCACTAATGTTATGGTAGGTAGTAAGTTGCTATATTTTAAAATATAAATTGTAAAACACTTAAAATCTGTTCCATGAGCCTGCCTACCTATGCTGATGCAGAATGACAGGGGATAGTAATAATGATATGTAAAGGTATGTGATTTTATTTTCCCTCCGTATACTTGCAGAAATGCGTAAAATTGGTAATCTGGATCAGGTTTGGGAATCTGTAGTTGGACAACATGCCAAAAAAGTGTCAGGGCAGATAAAAGACATTTTAGACTTAGTATAACCCAATCTACACCTTAGTCTCAGATTTCATTAACATCTTCATTTCTAATGCCTTTCATCTTTCATACCCCATATTCCACTCAGGCAACCTAAACTCAAATTGCCACTCTTAGACCTTGTCATCACTTCGGAAGCAACACTTCTAGATTCTCACTTTAAATAAGTTTAATAACTCACTTTATGATCACAATATCCTCCTGTATCTTATTCCATCTAATCAAGAGAGTAAATCTAACATTTTTATTGATTTTTTTCCATTTACCACCATACACACACACACCTGCCTGCCACAGACACACAATTTCAATCTTCTTTTCTCCCTCTCTCCCATTCATTCAACAATATTTAACAAGAACTTACAAGTACCTTTTGGTGGTTCACTGCCTACCCTCTTGGCCTCACCCACTTAGTCTAGATTCTAAGTAGTTCAAAAGCTTGAATCATGTACCAACTTGCATCAAAGAAATACTGAATTCATTCACATACTATCACTGTGGAAATATTTATATGTATCTACATTCAAAATAATTCCTTCAAAAAATTTAAAAACGACATATTCCTAATAGCTTTTGTTTATAAATAACGACACACTCTCAGATTATAATTTAAGACAGATAAGCCTTCAACCTTTCATTATGAATTGTATTTTCAACAAAATTCCTCCAAGAAATAAAAAAAAACATATTACTAATAGCTTTTGTTTATAAATAAGGGCACACTCTCAGATTATAATTAAGACAGATAAGCCTTCAACCTTTCATTATGAATTGTATTTTCAACAGGACTCTCAATCCAGAATTAATTTAATGTATGTGTATATTAAAAATATACTTAAAATTTTAATTTGTAGTAATAGTATTAAAAGTATAGCCTATAGCTGAAAAGCAAACAGTATTAAAATGAATCTAGATTTGTATGGGTTAAACAATCCTTGAAAACCATTTGCCATACCTCTAAAAGGGATCAACATACATATTTGGTCAAAACTGGCTCTCTGAAAAAGCCCCCATCAAATCATTATTGCCATTGACCGAGCTACTACATTTTTTATGTGTGAGTAACGTGGAAACATTATATTGCATTCCTATATAGAATGGAGACAAACTGTAATCACATGCTATGAAAACCCTAGGGTAGGATGGCTGAAGGAGAAAAGATGTCAACTTTTAAGTCTATTTACTAGAATTCATTCTTTTATTGAGCAACTACTATGAACCAAAACTTGTGCTGTGTATACACACTATCTCTGACCTAACAGTGATTCCAATCTCTTGGGAAAAGGAGATAAATAAGTTACAACATGTGACTGGTGGGGGTAGGAGTTGGAGGAACAGTGTTCCAACAATTTCTTGTATTTCTTTCCCAAATCTTCTGCAGATCGTAGTGTATGATATTGCAGACTGCTAAGTACAAGGGAATGAAGAAACGACTTAGCTCAACAAAATCATTAAAAATAAAACTATAACAACAAAGACTCACACTCACAAACCCAAATACCACATGCAGGGAAATTAAGGACACAAGATGTATCAAATATAAGATTACAATATCTCTTCCCTGGTTTTTCAGAGAAGTCTAAAAATCTGGTTTCTAGTCCTCGTCCTCGTTCTTACGTGAATAAACATTCATTTATTCACCATTTATTGAAAGGCCCTCTTTGGTAGTAAGTGCCAAAAACTGTTACCAAACCCTGGAAATAAGGTAATGAAAGAGAGCGCTCTTGCACTCACTGCAGTTATAGTCAAATCACATAAGCTTTTGGTACAGCTATTTAATTAATACTGGGTAATTCCATAACAACTTCAAGGGCCTTTTTTCTCCACTATAAAATAACATAGTGAGACTCCGAGATCTCTAAGGTAGTTCTACTGAACGAATACTCTGTGATATCACTTAAAACTTACAGGTGGGGGGTTCTTAAGACTCAGGGAACCTGAGAACCCTTATGCAGGGTTCAGGGGGTCCTAAGCTCACTAAATCTGAATGCAAAATTTGGTAGGTTTGTGTATGGACATTTTGCTAGAGAAAGTGTTCATAGGTAAAAACACCCTACATTAGTGGATTTTTGTTTTGGGCCTTCCACGGGAAAAATTCCATTTTAGCTAGGTCTAAGGAGGCAATGTCTTTAAATCTACCAACTATAAATTAATTCACAAGAAGTTTCAACCATGTGGAGTTAGTATGATTTGCTTCTGCTCTTAAACTCATGGTATGAGTTGCAAATTTCTAATTAATTTTGACCAGCACTATAACAGCATCCATTACAAATACTACACACAGTTTACAAATCAGAGTAATTTGAATTATTTAGATTAAATTGTAATACTCTTTTTTAAAAGAATAATTTTTAAAAGAATAATTTTAAAGAATAATTCTTAAAATAATAATTTTATTTTTATTTTCTAAATAAAATGCATTTATTTAGAAGCAGAAATATTTTTGCTGTAAAAAACTGAGATAATACTAAGATGATTATCCTCTCCACATCTGGCTGTTGCTGCCCCATCTTAATAAAAAGAAGACACCGGGTGCAGTGGCTCATGCCTGTAATCCCAGCACTTTGGGGGACCAGGGCAGGAGGATCACCTGAGGTCAAGAGTTCAAGACCAGCCTGGCCAACATGGCGAAACCCTGTCACCACTGAAAATACAAAAATTAGCCGGGCGTGGTGGCACATGACTGTGGTCCCAGCTACTTGGGAGGCTGAGGCAGGAGAACAGCTTGAACCTGGGAGGCGGAGGTTGCAGTGAGCCGAGATCACACCATTGCACTCCGGCCTGGGGGCGACAGAGTGAGACTCTGTCTCAAAAAAAAAAAAAAAAAAAAAAAAGAACAAACCTAAAAACATTAACATACGAGGCAATGACTAAACTGCTGGCAAAGGGATTGCTAGGACAAAATCATCTCTACATAGATGTGAATATTGAGTGTAAAGCTAACCAGGGCCTCTCTTAGGACAGACTAAGAAAGGAAGTAAAATGAAAAATCAAATATCTGCAATGAGAAACACAAACAAGAACAAAAAAAAAAAATTGTAATTTCATTGCCTGTGCCACAGTGACACCAGCTGGCCAGCCAGGTTACGACAACGTAATAACCTACCACTTTTATTTTATGTAACAGACTAAACTTTTAAAAGTGCATTATGCATTCAACAAAAGCCATTATAAGATTTTAAACAAGTATAAAAGAAACATGTATATAAGTAAAGTACCTCAGAAAACTTTGGTTATGATTCAGTTTTACATATGAGATCTCTTCACTAGTCTATAAAATATATTAATATACTTATTTTCTCTATAAAATTTTATCTCTATTAAAATAGAAAAATGAATTTGGAGTTAAATGCAATTTTCCTATTTATTCCTCAGAAAAATAAATGGGGAAAAGTAAGCCAAAATTGAGGTAAACAGATGCTTAAAAGATCTTGAGGGAATTTATTCAAAATAGTCAAATGATGCTTCTGAAATACTGTTTTCACTCACGGGTTAAGAGAGCACATGGCTGAGTTTTATTTTAATTCAAAACTATTAAATATGTAAATGACTCATATGCTCTTTGTGTGTGTGTGTGCGTGTGTGTGCGTTTAATTTCAACTTTTATTTCAGATTCAGGGGTTACATGTGCAGGTTTGTTACTCAGATACATTGCATTATGCTGAGGTTTGGGGTACCATTGATACTGTCACCCAGGTACTGAGCATAGTATTCAATAGTTTTTCACCCTTTGCCCCCTTCTCTCCCTCCCTACTCTAGTCGTTCCCAGTTTCTATTCTTGCCATCTTTATGTCCATGAGTATCCAGTGTTTAGCTAGCACTTATAAGTGAGAATATATGGTATTTGGTTTTCTGTTCCTGTGTTAATTCAGCAGCAACAAAAACAGGTGGATGGCCTCCAGTTGCATCCATGTTCCTGCAAAAGACATAATGTTGTTCTTTTTTATGGCTGCACAGTATTTAATGATGTATATCTACCACATTTTCTTTACCCAATCCACCATTGATGGGTACCTAGATTGATTGTATGACTCTGTGACTGTCAATAGCACTCTGATGAACATACAAGTGCATGTGTCTTTTTGGTAGAATGATTTATTTTCTCTTGGATATATACCCAGTCATGGGATTGCTGGGTCTGATGGTAGTTTTAAGTTCCTTGGGAAATCTCCAAACTGCTTTCCACAGTGGTTGAACTAATTTACATTCCCATCAACAGTGTATAAGTGTTCCCTTTTTCTCTGCAGCCTTGCCAGTATGTTATTTTTTGTCTTTTTAATAAAAGCCATTCTGACTGGTGTGAGATGGCATCTCATTGTGGTTTTGATTTGCATTTCTCTGATGATTAGTGATGAGCATTTTTTCATATGTTTGTTGGCTACTTGTATGTCTTCTTTTGAAAAGCGTCTATTCATGTCTTTTGCCCATTTGTTTAATGGGGTTGTTTTTTGCTTGTTCAATTGTTTAAGTTCCTTATAAATTCTGGATATTATACCTTTGTCAGATGCATAGTCTGCAAATATTTTCTCCCATTCTGTAGGCTGTCTGTTTACTGTGTTGGTAGTTTCTTTTGCTATGCAGAAACTCTTTAATTAGGTCCTACTTGTCAATTTTGTTTTTGTTGCCATTTCTTTTGAGGATTTATTCATAAATTATTTCCCAAGGTCAATGGCCAGATGGTGTTTCCTAGGTTTTCTTGTAGGATTTTTATACTTTGAGGTCTTATCTTTAAATCTTTAATCCATCTGAAGTAATTTTTTATATACGGTGAAAGATAGCAGTCCAGTTTCATTCTTCTGCACATGATTATCCATTTATTCCATCACCATTTATTGAATAGAAAGTCCTTTCCTCATTGCTTATTTTTGTTGACTTTGTCAATAATCAGATGGCTACAGGTGTGATGCTTTATTTCTGGGTTCTCTATTCTGTTTCATTGGTCAATGTGCCTGTTTTTGTACCAGTACCATGATGTTTTGGTTACTATAGCCTTATAGTTTGAAGTTGCAAAATGTGATGCCTCCAGCCTTGTTCTTTTTGCTTAGGATTCCTTTGGCTATTTGGACTCTTTTTTTGGTTCTATATGAATTTTAGGATAGTTTTTTCTAGTTCTGTGAAAAAATGATACTGGCAGTTTAATAGAAAAGCACTGAATCTGTAGACTGCTTTAGGCAGTATGGCTATTTTAATGGTATTGATTCTTTCAAACCATGAACATGGAAGGTTTTCCTATTAGTTTGTGTCATCTGATGTGTTTATTTTTAATAACAGCAGGTACAAACAGAAATAATTAATTTGTATTATGTTGAATTTCTTTAAGGAGGTGAAATAGGTTATTGCTTCTATGGAGGCTTGCCCACTGATAAGGTTCATATTCAATAAGGAGAGACCACCAAGACAACCTATGTTTTCCTTTTCTGCCTTCCAATAGGAAGTAAAATAATTGCAAGGGAATCTTTAAAAAGAGAATTTAATTTAAATCAATCAATCAATTCACAAAGGAGGAAATTATTGGCTTTGAATAAGCAAATAACTCATACTGATATGTTGCAGTTTAATTCACTTCATTCTAATAAAACTTTTCATTGTAAATTTTAGCTCCAGATTGACTGCAAGAACAAATCAGCAATCCCGAGAGGACCCACAGACCCTCTGAAGGAAGCGGACTGCTCCCGGAGGACCCAGGAGACACCTCAAGTACTGTGAGTGCCCCAACTACGGAAGTGGGAAAGGGAGAGCCTCCTCTCCCAAACACACTCCCACTGGAGAGGCTGAAGGTCTGTTCGTGGGAGAAGTTTCTGATTTTACCTAAAGCTGAGTCAAGTTTAGAGAGCCAAGAGAAATACAGTGGTACACGAAGCAGCAGAAAGGCCCTGGGAGCTCGCTGGGTCCCCTAGCAGGCCATTCCTGCCTGGTACCACAGGGATCCATCAGGAGGGTGACCAGAGGAGCAGGGGGTAAAACTCCACAGTGAGAAGGAAATCTCCAGCTGAACTTTGTAACAATTTGAACGGTGGTAGAAGCCTCCTGGCCACAAGTCAGGGGAGGGCACAAATCCCGTGTGCAGACTCCACAGGCCATGCAAGAACCAAGCCCTTTTCTTTCGCAGCTGGAAGGTGGGTAGCCTGGGTCAGGTTTTCAAGCCTATCACGCTCTCTGCCTTGAAACAGACTCAGGGCTGTTGGTGGGGGCACAGTGGAAGTGAGAACAGCCCTTCAGTTTGCGTGCGAGCTGCGTGAGGCCTGTGACTGCCGGCTTTCCCCCACTTCCCTGACAACCTGTGTGACTCAGCAGAGGCAGCCATAATCCTCCTAGGTACACAACTCCTGTGACCTGGGAATCTCACCCCCATCCCCCAGAGCAGCTGCAGCAAGACTCGCCCAGGGATAGTTTGAGCTCAAACACAACTAGCCCTGCCCCTACCTGATGGTCCCTCCCTACCCACCCTGGTAGCTGAAGACAAATGCGTATACTCCTGGGAGTTCTAGGGCAGTGCCCACCACCAGTCCCTCTCCACATTACTACAGCTGATGCTTTCTGGAAAGCACCATCTCCTGGCAGGAGGCCAATCAGCACAAAAACAGAGCATTAAACCACCAAAGCTAAGGACCCTCATGGAGTCCATTGCACCCTCTGCCACCTCCAATGGAATAGGTGCTGGAATCCATGGCTGAGAGACCCACAGATGGTTCACATCACAGGACTCTGTGCAGATAACCCCCAGTACCATCCTGGAGCCAGATACACTCTCTGGGTGGCTAGACCCAGAAGAAAGACAAAAATCACTGTAGTTTGGTTCACAGGAAGCCACATCCATAGGAAAATGGGGAGACTACTACATCAAGCGAACACCCCATAGGACAAAAAAAATCTGAACGACAGCCTTCAGCCCTAGACCTTCCCTCTGACAGAGCCTACCCAAATGAGAAGGAACCAGGAAACCAACCCTGGTAATATGACAAAACAAGGCTCTTCAACATCCCCCCAAAAAATCACACAAGTTCACCAGCAACAGATCCAAACCAACAATCCCTGATTTATCTGAAAAAGAATTCAGGAGGTTAGTTATTAAGCTAACCAGGGAGGGACCAGAGAAATGCGAAGACCAATGCAAGGAAATCCAAAAAAAAAGACATAAGAAATGAAGGGAGAAATATTCAAGGAAATAGATAGTATAAAGGAAAAACAATAAAAAATTCAGGAAACTTTTATGGAAACACTTTTAGAAATCCAAAATGCTCTGGAAATTCTCAGCAACAGAATTGAACAAGTAGAAGAAAGAAATTCCGAGCTCGAAGGCAAGGTCTTCGAATTAACCCAATCCAACAAAGACAAAGAAAAAAGAATAAGAAAATATGAACAAAGCCTCCAAGAAGTCTGGGATTATGTTAAACAACCAAACCTAAGAATAATCAGTGTTCCTGAGGAAGAGGAGAATTCTAAAAGCTTGGAAAACATATTCAGAGGAATAATCAAGGAAAACCTCCCCTGCCTTGCTAGAGACTTAGACATCCAAATACAAGAAGCACAAGCAACACCTGGAAAATTCATTGCAAAAAGATCCTAGGCACAATGTCATCGGGTTATCCAAAGTTAAGATGAAGAAAGAATCTTTTTTTTTTTTTTTTCAGTTGCAAGATTTAATAGAGTGAAAATAGAGCTCCCATACAAAGGGAGGGGACACAAAGAGGGTAGCCATTGCTGGCTCGAATGCTTGGGTTTATATCCGGATCATTGTCCCTCCTGCTGTGCTCTCAGGCGATAGATGATTGGCTATTTCTCTACCTCCTGTTTTTGCCTAATTAGCATTTTAGTGAGCTCTCTTTACTATCTGATTGGTTGGGTGTGAGCTAAGTTGCAAGCCCCGTGTTTAAAGGTAGACGCGGTCACCTTCCCAGCTAGGCTTAGGGATTCTTAGTCAGCCTAGGAAATCCAGCTAGTCCTGTCTCTCAGTCCCCGCTCTCAACAGGAAAACCCAAGTGCTGCTGGGGAGGTTGGCTGACGACCGCTCTAACTGCTTCCTGCTGAATTGGGGTGTAGTAGGGGTTGTGCAGTTGAGATTTCCTCGAGACGGGTGCCTTCGATGTCATTAACATCGGAGCATGTGGGCTAGCAGGCTGGTCCAGAGGTAGAAAGAATCTTAACAGTTGTGAGACAGAAGCACAAGGTTACCTATAAAGGAAAACCTATCAGATCAACAGCAGATTTCTCAGCAGAAACCCTACAAGCTAGAATGGATTGGGGCCCTATCTTTCGCCTCCTCAAGCAAAACAATTATCAGCCAATAATTTTGTATCCAGTGAAACTAAGTATCATATATGAAGGAAAGATACAGTCGTTTTCTGACAAATGCTGAGAGAATCAGCCATTACCAAACCACCACCACAAAAACTGCTGAAAGGGGCTCTAAATCTTCAAACAAATACTGGAAACACATCAAAACAGAACCTCTTTAAAGCATAAATCATACAGGTCCTATAAAACAAAAATACACATTAAAAAGCAAAAACAAAAAACAAAAGTACACAGGCAACAAAGAGCACAATGAATGCAACCGTACCTCACATTTCAATACTAACATTGAATACAAATGGTCTAAATGCTCTACTTAAAAGATACAGAACTGGCCTGGCACGGTGGCTCATGCCTGTAATCCCAGCATTTTGGGAGGCTGAGGGGGGCGGATCACGAGGTCAGGAGATTGAGACCATCCTGGCCGACATGGTGAAACTCCATCTCTACTAAAAATACAAAAATTAGCTGGGCATGGTGGCACGTGCTTGTAATCCCAGCTACTCGGGAGGCTGAGGCAGAAGAATCACTTGAACCCGGGAGGTGGAGGTTGCAGTGAGCCGAGATCACGCCACTGCACTCTAGCCTGGCAACAGAGCGAGGCGAGACTCCATCTTAAAAAAAAAAGATACAGAAGATACAGAACTGACTGGGTGCAGTGGCTCACGACTATAATCCCAGCACTTTCGGAGGTCGAGGCGGGTGGATCACCTGAGGTCAGGAGTTGGTGACCAACCTGGCCAACACGGTGAAACCCTGTCTCTACCAAAAATACAAAAAATAGCTGGGCGTGGTGGTGGGTGCCTTGTAATCCCAGCTACTCCGGAGGCTGAGGTAGGAGAATCACCTGAACCCAGGAGGTGGAAGCTGCAGTGAGCCGAGATTGCGCCATTGCACTCCACCCTGGGCAACAAGAGCGAGACGCTGTCTCAAAAAAAAAAAAAAAAAAAAAAGATACAGAGCCACAGAATGGATAAGAACTCATCAACCAACCATCTGCTGCCTTCAGGAGACTCACCTAACACATAAGGACTCAGATAAACTTAAAGGAGTGGTAAAAGGCATTTTATGCCAATGCACACAAAAAGCGAGCAGGGATAGCTATTCTTACATCAGACAAAACAAATTTTAAAGCAACAGCAATTAAAAGAGACAAACAGGGACATTATATAATGGTAAAAGGCCTTGTCTAGCAGGAAAATATCACAATCCTACACAAATATGCACCTAACACTGGAGCTCCCAAATTTATAGAACAATTACTAATAGACCTAAGAAATGAGATAGACAGCAACACAATAATAGTGGGGGATTTCAATACTCCACTGACAGCACTAGACAGGTCATCAAGATAGAAGGTCAACAAAGAAACAATGGATTTAAACTATACCTTGGAACAAATGGACTTAACAGATACATATAGAACATTTCATCCAACCACCACAGAATACACATTCTATTCAACAGCGCGTGGAAATTTCTCTAAGATAGACCATATGATAGGCTACAAAACGAACCTCAATAAACTTAAGGAAATTGAAATTATATCAAGCACTCTTTCAGACCACAGTGGAATAAAACTGGATATCAACTCCAAAAGGAACCTTTGATACCATGCAAATACATGGAAATTAATAACCTGCTTCTGAATGAGCACTGGCTCAAAAATGAAAACAAGGTGGAAATTAACCTATCAAAACCTCTGGGAAACAGCAAGGTGGTGCTAAGAAGTGCAAAGAGGTGCTAAACGCCTACATCAAAAAAACTGAAACAGCACAAACTGACATTCTAAGGTCACACCTCAAGGAACTAGAGAAACAAGAACAAACCAAACCCAAACCCAGCAGAAGAAAGGAAATTACCAAGATCAGAGCAGAACTAAATGAAATTGAAACAAACAACAACAAAAAAATACAAATGATAAATGAAACAAAAAGGTGGTTATTTGAAAGATAAATAAAATTGATAGACCATTAGCAAGATTAACCAAGAAAAGAAGAGAGAAAATTCAAATAACCTCACAAAGAAATGAAACAGGGGATATTACAACTGACACCACTGACAAACAAAAGGTCACTCAAGGCTACTATGAACACCTTTACACACATAAACTAGAAAATCTAGAAGAGGTGGATACATTTCTGGAAAAATACAACCTTCCTAGCTTAAATCAGGAAGAATTTGATACCCCGAGCAGATCAATAACAAGCAGTGAGACTGAAATGGTAATTTTAAAATTACCAACAAAAAAAGTCCAGGACCAGAGAGATTCACAGCAGAATTATACCAGAAATTCAACACAGAATTGGTACCAATCCTTTTGACACTATTCCATAAGAGAGAGAAAGAAGGAACCCTCCCTAATTCATTTTATGAAGCCAGCATCACCCTAATACCAAAACCAGGAAAGGACATAATCAAAAAAGAAAACTACAGACTGATACCTTGATGAACATTGATGCTAAAATCCTTAACAAAATATTAGCTAATCAAATTCAACAACATATCAAAATGATAATCCACCATGATCAAGTGGGTTTCATACCAGAGATGCAGGGGTGGTTTAACATATACAAGTCAATAAATGTGATAAACCACATAAACGGAATTAAAAACAAAAGTTAAACAATCATCTCAATAGATGCCGAAAAAGCATTTGACAAAATCCAGCATCACTTTATGATTAAAACTCTCAGCAAAATCAGCATACAAGGGACATACCTTAATGTAATAAAAGCCAACTATGAGAAACCCCACAGCCAACATAATACTGAATGGGGAAAAGTTGAAAGCATTCTCTCTGAGAATGGGAACAAGACAAGGATGCCCACTCTCACCACTCCTCTTCAACATAGTACTGGAAGTCCTAGCCAGAGCAATCAGACAAGAGAAAGAAATAAGGACATCCAAATTGGTAAAGAGGAAATCAGACTGTCACTGTTTGCTGATGATATGATTGTTTACCTCGAAAACCCTAAGGACTCCTCCAGAAAGCTCCTAGAACTGATCAAAGGATTCAGCAAAGTTTCCAGATACAAGATGAATCTAGGCAAATCAGTAGCTCTTCTATAGCCCAACAGTGACCAAGAAGAGAATCAAATCAAGAACTCAGCCCCTTTTACAATAGCTGCAAAAAATAATAATAAAAAAATACTTCGGAATATACTTAATGAAGGAGTCAAAAGACCTCTACAAAGAAAACTGCAAAACACTGCTGAAAGAAATCACAGATGATACAAACAAATGGAAACACATCCCATACTCATGGATGGGTAGAATCAATATTGTGAAAATGACCATACTGCCAAAAGCAATCTACAAAGTCAATGCAGTCACCATCAAAATGCCACCATCATTCTTCACGGAATTAGAAAAAACAATTCTAAAATTCATATGGAACCAAAAAAGAGCCCACACAGCCAAAGGAAGACTAAACAAAAACAACACATCTGGAGGCATCACATTACCTGATTTCAAACTATACTATAAGCCATCACCAAAACAGTGTGGTACTGGTATAAAGATAGGCATGTAGACCAATGGAACAGAATAGAGAACCCAGAAATAAACCTAAATACTTACAGCCAACTGATCTTTGACAAAGCAAACAATAACATAAAGTGGGGAAAGGGCACCCTTTTCAACAAATGGTGCTGGGATAATTGGCTAGTCACTTGTAGGAGAATGAAACTGGATTCTCATCTCTCACCTTATACAAAAATCAACGCAAGATGGATTAAGGACTTAAACCTAAGACCTGAAACTATAAAAATTCTAGAAGATAACATTGGAAAAACCCTTCTGGACACTGGCTTAGGCAAGGATTTCATGACCAAGAACCCAAAAGCAAATGCAATAAAAACAAAGATAAATAGCTGGGACCTAATTAAACTAAAGAGCTTTTGCATGGCAAAAGGAAGTCAGCAGAGTAAACAGACAACCCACAGAGTGGGACAAAATCTTCACAATCTATACATCTGACAAAGGACTAATATCCAGAGTCTACAATGAACTCAAACAAATTAGTAAGAAAAAACCAAATAATCCCATCAAAAAGTAGGTTAAAGATATGAATAGACAATTCTCAAAAGAAGATATACAAATGGCCAACAAACATATGAAAAAATGCTCAACATCACTAAATGATCAGGAAAATGCAAATCAAAACCACAACGCAATATCACCTCACTCCTGCAAGAATGGCCATGATCGAAAAATCAAAAACCAGTACATGTTGGTGTGGATGCGGTGAACAGGAAACACTTCTCCACTGCTAGTGGGAATGTAAACTAGTACAGCCACTGTGGAAAACAGTGTGGAGATTCCTTAAAGAACTAAAAGTAGAACTATCATTTGATCCAGCAATCCCACTCCTGGGTATCTAGCCAGAGGAAAAGAAGTCATGCAAAAAAGATACTTGCACACACATGTTTATAGTGGCACAATTCACAATAGCAAAATCATGGAAACAACCCAAATGCCTATCAATCAATGAGTATATAAAGAAACTGTGGTGTATATATATGATGCAATATTACACAGGCATAAAGAGGAATGAATTAACAGCATTTGGAGTGACCTGGATGAGATTGGAGACTACTATTCTAAATGACGTAACTCAGGAATGGAAACCAAACATCGTATGTTCTCACTGATTATGTGGGAACTAGGCTATGAGGATGCAAAGACGTAAGAATGATACAATGGACTTTAGTGGTTTGGGGGGAAGAGTGGGAGGGGGACAAGGGATAAAATATGGTGCAGTGTATACTGCTTGGTGACAGGTGCACCAAAATCTAACAAATCACCACTAAAGAACTTATTCATGTAACCAAATACCACCTGTACCTCAATAACTTGCGGAAAAATAAAAATAAAAATAAAAAATAAAACTTTTTATTCTAAAGTTAAAATTTGAGAGGAAGGGGAAAAAAATTTGTTTCAGTGCTACTCAAAGGCAAATAAACGTTCTTAAGACTCATGAATGAGTTTAATGTGCAAGGCAACCTCAAAGAACAAAGCTGGAGAAATAAACTACCAGTATCAAGATTGGAGCTGACATTTACTCCAGTTTTAATTACTGTAGTAAATAAATAAGACAATGTGTTATTGCTTCAAGGTCAGACCAAAAAAAGAAGAAAGAAAAGAGATACCAGAAACAGACCCACACATATACAATCATCTGAAAACAAAGCCCCCAGTGGAGGAAGGATAGTCTTTTTTTCTCCCAGCTTTATTGAGGTATAATTGACAATTAAAATTGTATTTAATTGTAAGGTGTACAACGTGGTTTCCATTTACATTTATACTATGAAAGGATTACCAATCAAACTGATGAGCATATCCATTACTTCACAGTTATCATTTTTATTTGTATGTGTGGGTGAGAATACTTAAGATCTACTCTCAGCACATTTCAAGTATATAAAACATCACATAGTCAATAAACTATAGTTAGCATGCTGTATATTATATCTCCAGAACTTACCCGTCAACTGCAGGTTTGTATCCTTTTATCAAAATCTTCCTCCCGCACCTCTTCAACATATGGTTTTGGATGTTCGTCTCCTCCAAATCTCATGCTGAAATGTGATTCTCAATGTTGGAGATGGTGCTAGGAGGGAGGTGACTGGATCATGAGGGCAGATCCCTCATGAATGGTTTAGGACCATCCCCTTGGTGATGAGTTCTCACCCAGTCCACATGAGATCTGGTTGTTTAAAAGACTCTGGGTCCTCCCCTTTCTCTCTTGCTCCTGCTCTCACCATGTGATGTGTCTGCTCCCCTTTTACCTACCACTTATGATTGGAAACTTCTTGAGGCCCTCACCAGGAGCAGATGTTGGTACCACGCTTCCTTTACTGCCTGCAGAACTGTGAGCCAAATAAAACTCTTTTTTTTATAAATTACCCAGTTTCATGTATTTCTTTATAGCAACATAAGTATGGACTAACACAGAAAATTGATACCGAGGAGTAAGTATTGCTATAAATGTTCCTGAATATGTGGAAGCAGCTCTGGAACTGGGTAATGAGCAGAGGTTGGAAGAATTGAGAGGGCTCAGAAGAAGACAGGAAGGTGAAGGAAAATTTGGAACCTCTTAGAGACTGGTTAAATGGTTGTGACCAAAATGCTGATAGAAATATGGACAGTGAAGTCCAGGCTGACAAGGTTTCAGATGGAAATGAGGAAGCGAATGGGAACTGAAGTAAAAGTCACCCATGGTATACCCTAGCAAAGAGCTTGGCTGCACTGCATTCATGTCCTAGGGATCTGTGGAAGTTTGAACTTAAGAGTGACAAATTAGGTTATCTGGCAGAAGAAATTTCTAAACAGCAAAGCATTCAAGAGGTGACTTGGCTGCCTCTAACAGCCTAAGATTGGATATGAGAGCAAATAAATGACTTAAAGTTGGAACTTATATTTAAAAGGAAAGCAGAGCATAAAAGTTTGGAAAATTTGCAGGCTGGCCCTGTGGTAGAGAAAGAATCCGAGCAGACTGTGGAGCAGCCACTTGCTAGAGAGATTAGCGTGACTAAAGGGGAGCCATGTGCTAACATCCAAGACAATGGGAAAAAGGCCTTAAAGGGCATTTCAGAAGTCTTTGGGACAGCCCCTCCTATCACAAGACCAGAGGCCTAGAAGAAAAGAATGGTTTTGTGGGCCAGACCCAGTATGCTGCTGCCCTGTGCAACCTTGGGACACTGCTCCCCACATCCCAGCTGTGCCAGCTGCCACTTTGGAGAATATAAGCTGCCATATGTCTTGGCAGCTTCCATGTGGTGTTAAGCCTGTAGGTGCAGAGAATGCAAGACTGAAAGAAGTTTGGCAACTGCAGCCCCCACACAGAGTCCCTACTGGGCCACTGCCTAGGAGAGCTGTGGGAAGGGAGCCACCACCCTCCAGACCCGAGAATGGTAGAACCACCAACAGCTTGCAATCTCAGTGTGGAAAAGGCACAGGCACTCAACTCCAACCAGTGAGAGCAGCCATGGAGGCTGGGGCAGAGCTGCCCAAAGCCTGAGGTGCCCATCCCGTGCACCAGTGTGCCCAGGATGCAGAGCACAGAGTAAAGGAGATGGTTTTGGAACTTTAAGATTTAATGATTTCCCTGCTGGGTTTCAGATTTGTGTGGGGCCTATTCCCCTTCTTTTGGCCAAATTCTCCCTTTTGGAATGGGAATGTATACC
Organism: Homo sapiens; assembly: GCF_000001405.40. NCBI lineage: Eukaryota > Metazoa > Chordata > Mammalia > Primates > Hominidae > Homo > Homo sapiens. The sequence continues at coordinate 152,834,476 of NC_000004.12, read as the reverse complement.
TAATACCGGTACTACCATTGTATCTTGGGAGTAAATAACTTGTTTTTGGTCTCGCACACTCATAGGTGGAAGAAATTCGTCTCTAGTTGAGAGTTTAGACTTGAGAGTTAATACTGGAATGAGTTAAGACTTTAGGAAACTACTGTGAAGGCATGACTACATTTTGAAATGTGAGAACAAGAGATTTAGGGGGCTAGGGGCAAAGTTTGTCCCTCCAAATCCCATGTTGAAATGTGATTCCCAATGTTAGAGGTGGGGCCTTGTGGGAAGTGACTGGATCATGGGGGCGGATTCCTCATGAATGGTTTAACACCACTCCCTTGGTAATAGGTGAGTTCTTGCTCAGTTAGTTTACACAAGATCTGGTTGTTTAAAAGAGTCTGGGACCTCCACCTTTTCTCTCTTGCTCCCTCTCTCACCATGTGATGTGCCTGCTTTGCCTTCCACCATGGGTAAAAGCTCCCTGAGGCCCCACCAGAAGCTGAGCAGATGTTGGCATCATACTTCCTGCACAGCCTGCAGAACTGTGAGCCAAAACAAAATTCTTCTTTATAAATTACCTAGCCTCAGGTATTTCTTTATAGCAACTCAAAAACAGACTAACATACTCCCTATAATCACCTATCTACTATCTGTTTCTATGAATTCAACTTTAAGATTCCACATGTAAGTACAGAATCATGCCGTATTTGTCTTCCTGTGTCTGGCTTATTGTACTTAGCCTAATATCTTCCAGGTTCACCTATGCTGTTACAAATGGTAGGATTTCTTCCTTTTTAATAGAGCTTGAATGATATCGCATTGTCTGTGGGTGTATGTGTATGTATATATTTTCTTTATCCATTCATCCATTAACAGACACTTAGGTTATTTCCATATTTTGGCTATTGTTTATAATGCTGCAAAGAACATGGGAGTACAGATAACTATTCAAGACAGTGATTTAATTTCCTTTGAATATATACCCAGAAATGGAACTGCTAGATCTTATGGTCGTTCTACTTTAATTTTTTAAGAAATTGCCATACTGTTTTCCACAACAGATGTACCAACTGACATTTCCACTAACAGTATATAAGGGTCAACACTTACCTTTGGACTTTTTGATAATAGTCATCCTAATAGGTATGAACTGATATCTCACTGAGGTTTTGATTAGCATTTCTCTGATGATTAGTGATGTTGAGCACCTTTTCACATACCTGTTGGCCATTTGTACTTTTTTTTTTTTTTTGAAAAATGTCTACTCAAATCCCCAGTTTTAAATTGAGCTGTTTTTCTGCTATTGACTTGTATGAGTTCTTTACATATTTTGGATATTAACACTTTATCAGATATATGGTTTACAAATATTTTCTCCCATTCCATAGGATGCCTTTTCATTTTGTTGATTGTTTCCTTTGCTGTGCAGAAAGTTTTTAGTTTGACGTAGTCCCACTTGTTTATTTTTTTGTTGCCTGTGCTTTTGACATCATATCAAAAAATTATTGCCAAGACCAATGTCATGGAGCTTCTCCCCTATGTTTTCTTCTAGAAGTTTTATAATTTCAGGTCTTACAGTTAGGCTTTTAATTTATTTTGAGTTAGTTTTGTGTATGGTGTAAGATAAAGATCCAATTTAATTTTTTTGCATATGTATAGAAAGAAGAGTCTTTTCAAAAAACAGTGCTGATCAATTGAATATTTACATGAGAGGAAGAAAAATCTTGGTCCCTACTTCACATCATACACAAAAACTAATTCAAGATGAATCACAGACCATAGTGTGAAAAACAAAACAACACAACTTTTAGAAGAAACAAAGTGTCTTCAAGATACTGAAGTAGGCAAAGATTTCTTAAATGCGACATAAAAATTACTACAGAAGGAAACACTGAGAAATTGGACTTCATTAAAATTAACAACTTCTGTTCATCAAAAGATGCCATTAATAGAGTACAAAAACAAGACATAGACTGGAAGAAGATATTTGCATATATACATCCAAACAAATGGCATATACCCAGAATATATAAAGAACTCCTACAAATAGATTAGAAAAAAAGACACACACCCAGTAGAAAAACGGGCAAAAGGCTTGGAAAAGTACTTTATAAAAGACAATCTCCAATGGTCAATAAGAATATGAAAATGTGCTCAACATCATAGTCATCAGGGAACAGCATTTTATAACCACAATGGGATACCATTAAAAGAATGGCTAAAATTGAAATGTATGACAATATGAAGAGCTAGTAAGGATGTGGAACAACTAGAACTCTCATTCATTGCTGGTGTTGCCAGCTGGTCCAACCATTTGCCAAACATTCATATACTCGTGACCTGGCAATTTCACTCTTGGGTATGTACTCAATAAAAACAAATAATCAAGTACACCAAAAAATCTGCACAAGAATGGTCACAGCAGCTTTATTCATAATAATCATAAACTGGAAACAACCTAGATAACAATCAGCTGAAGAATGGATATACAAACTGTGGTATATTAACACACTGGAAAACTATACTACAATTTTAAACACTGAAATACTCGGGGGGTGGGGGGCAAAGGGAGGGAGAGCATTAGGACAAATACCTAATGCATGCAGGGCTTAAAACCTAGATGATGGGTTGACAGGTGCAGCGAACCACCATGGCACATGTATACCTATGTAACAAACCTGCACGTTCTGCATATGTATCCCAGAACTTAAAATTTAAAAAAAAAGATAGAAAAACTGCTATAAGCAACAATATGACTGAATCTCACAGACATAATGTTGAGTGAAAGCCAGTTGAAAAAGAGTACACACTGTATGATTCCACTGATAGGTATTTCAGAAACAGCCAAAAGCAATTTATGATTATAGAGTTAGGTTAATGTGGTTATCCCAGGATGGGATGAGTTGTATTGCCTAGAGGGCATAAGGAAGCCTTCTGAGGTCCTGGAAATGTTCTACATCTTTATCTGAGCGGTAGTTCTCTTGAGTGGTACACTTAACATTTGTGCTTTCTGCTGTGTAGAAGCTATACCTCAATAAAGAAGAAGAAGAAAAAAAATAGGCTTAAGATGGCAAGTGACTTCCCTAACCATGAATGCAACATTTTCTATGTATTGCATTACTCTTGGATAAAGGTCCTCAGCTTTCATCAGATTGTCTTTTAAAATATCAACTACCTGATGACAGATATTTTTGTTCACTGTATATCCCCAGTACCTGGTACAGAGCAGATATTCAGTAAATACTTGCATAGTAAGTTTGCAAAAAGAGCTGTTACCAAAAATAAGATGAAGAAATCATTAACTTGAATCTTGGCATAATTAGTATTAAAATTAGTAAAAGTTTATCAGGTAATTGGTATAGTCTAATGATGCTAACTTGAGTTTCTTTATTATGCAGGTGTGTCTTGGAAAGACTAAAATCTGAAATGAAAATTTCTTTTGTGTGCTCAGAATTTAAAAGTCTCTTGGTTCTATGAGTCACTCTATATTGGACCACAAGTGCTCAGAAACCAAGTTAAAGCACTTGCCATTAAAATAAACCTCGAGCTTGAAGACATACTAGTTCTTTTCAAAAGACTGTTAATGCAAAAATAAATGAAATTCAGTGGACACTTCTACTATTATTTAAACCGATCTATTTATAACAGTAATTCTCAACCAAGGAGGAATTTGTCCCCTCTCCTGGAGACATTCAGCAATATCTGGACATATCTGCTTGTCATAACTGCAGGGTACTACTGGCATCTATTAAATAGTAGGAAGAGGCCAGGAATGTGCCAACCATCCTACAATGTATAGGCCAATACACCCAACAAAGTACAATTTGGCCCAAAATGTCAACAGTGCTAAGACTGAGAAATCCTGATTTAAGTTATCACCTTCTGCTAACTAAAAGATTTTATTCTTAAACACATGGAGTAAAGAGTCCTATTTAAACTACATAATAATTTAAGTACATTTCAACCACTACTTTTTCAAAAATACGAAAACTCTGTTTTTAAAGTTGTACACTTGCATCAAATGTCATAAAAAGGAATGTTTAATGCAAGTATCTCCAGAAATAATAACCATCACTATCATTTCTATGACTATATTAGACATATTATCTCATTTAATATTAATATCTTCATGAAAGTAAATAAGATATTCATTGTAGAGATTAGAAAACAAAAACCTGAAGAGATTAAATAAATAACTGGCTCAAGGTTATACTGCTAGAAATGTGGCATAGCTGAAATTTGAACCCAGATTATCTTCAAACCCATGGTGTTCCCATTAAAATGCAATAAAATTAAATTTCGACTGAGAGACAGATCAAAATTAAATGCACCCCGAGTATCATTTTCCACTGAGTCAAGTATGGCACTTTAGAAAATGAACAGCAAAATCAGAAGTGGCTATTTAGAAATTATGTACTAAATGACATATATATAGAAAAGTTATTAGTGCCAATTTTAAAAGGATAATCTTTTTATTACAAACAGAATTAATAGTCTTATAAAGTTAGATACCAAAATCATCAGACATACTTTTGTGCTGATCAATTACTGAAAATAAACCAAAGCCTAATAGTTTACTGGCCTGGAGCTTAATCTTGACAAACTACTAAAATGGCCTTCCTTGTCATCCCTATATAATAACATTAGATTCCTGACTGAAGCCAATCTAAGAAAACAATCCTATATTAAATTTTGTCTATTACTTTCATCTCAACATTTAAAGACTTACCATGATTCTTTGCATTAAGAGAAAGAAAAGTGTTCTTACCCTATTAAAGCTATGTTCACGAGAGTCATCAACTTCTCCATTACTAGTCACTGGAATTTCTGCTGCTGAATTTTTGGGAGATTCTTGAGCCATGGTAGACTCCTAAAACAAAAGAAGAAAAAAAGCGCCGTAACTAATACCAAATCATAAAGACTATATTCATGTTTATAGTACTTACAAGCCACCGTTTTAATATTTTTTATCATTGCAACCTACCAAATACTTGTATAATAAACAGAATACATATATAATTTTAAAATTCCATCTGGCTGCTTTAACTTCACTTAACCTAAACTTCTTAATTAAAAATGAGTTACATATTTGTTGTAGGTACCAGAGGCACTATCCTTGCCTCTTAAATAGTGTTATGATAGAACACCACTTACAATTGGAAAAAAAAAATTACAGAAAGCCAAGCTTGGTTGTTAATTCAACTACAGCAGCTCCATTTTTCCAACTGGAGTACTGCGAAGACAAATGAGAGCACAGGGCAGAGTAGAATTAGGTTGGTAACAGATCACTAGCTTAAAAATCCACAAACTTTAGTTGACAAGTGTTATCAAAATAATTCCGTGTCTATCACCAGACTTCAAGACTAGCTGGAAAGCTACAATAATCAAGACAATGTGGTATTGGTGAAAGAACAGACAAATAGGTCAGTGGAACAGGGAGCCCAGAAACAGACCCACATTAATGTAGTCAACTGATCTCTGACAAAGTGGAAAGGCAATGCAAAGGTGAAAAGACTGTATTTTCCACAATGGTGCTGGAATAATGGTGCTGGACATCCACATGCAAAAAATGAATCCACATAAAGATCTTACACTGTTCATAAAAATTAACTCAAAATGGATCACAGACCTAAGTGCAAAATGCAAACCATAAAGCTCATAAAGAGAGCATAGGAGAAAACCTAGATGACCGTGGGTATGGTGATGACTTCTTAGATACGACACCAATGCCATAATCCATGAAAGAAAAAACTGATAGGCTGTACTTCATTAAAATTTAAGATTTCTGCTCCACAGAAAACATATGAAGGACTGAGAAGACAAGCCACGGACTGGGAGAATGTATTTGCAAAGAACACATCTGATAAAGGACTGTTATCTAAAATATACAAAGAATTCTTAATACTCAACATTAAGAAAACAACCCAACTAAAAATGGGCAAAAGATCAGAACAGATGTTTTATCAAAACAGATGTTTCATCAAAGACAATGTAAAGTGGCTAGTAAGCATATGAAAAGATGTTCAACATCATATGTCATAAGGGAATTGCAAATTAAAACAATAATGAGATACTATAACAAAATTATTAGAATGGCCAAATCCTGTAACACTGACAACACCAAATGCTGACAAGGATGTGAAGCAACAGGAACTCTCACTCACTGCTAGAAGGAATGCAAACTGGTACAGCCACTATGAAACAGAGTTTGGTAGTTTCTCGCAAAATTAAACATACTCTTACATATGATTCAGCAATTGTGTTCTTTGGTATTTGCCCAAATGAACTGAAAACTTACTTACCCACAGAAAAATTTACACACAGATGTTTACAGCAGCCTTATTTATTTATAACAATTTATAATTGCCAAAACTTGGAAGCAATCAAGAGACCCTTCAGTGAACAGATAAAATGTGGTACATACATAAATGGAAGATTATTTAGCACTAAACGTAAATAAGCTATTAAGTCACAAAAAGACATGGAGGAAATTTATGCAAATTACTAAATGAAAGAACCTAGGCCAAGTGCAGTGGTTCATGTCTGTAATCCCAACATTTTGGGAGGCTGAGGCAGTGGATTGCTTCAGCCCAGGAGTTTGAGACTAGCCTGGGGAACATAGCGAAACCCGTCTCTACAAACAATACAAAAATTAGCTGGGTGTGCTGGTGCATTCCTGTAGTCCCAACTACTTGGGAGGCTGGGGTGGGAGGATCATTTGAGCCCAGGAGGTAGAGGCTGCTGTGAGCCAACATCACAACACTGTACTCCAGCCTGGGCAACAGAGCAAGATGCTGTCTCAAACAAACAAAAAACCCAATTTGAAAAGGCTACATACTGTATGATTCCAACTATATGATGTTCTGGAAAGGGTAAAACTATAGAGGCAGTAAAAAGACAAGAGGGTGCTAGAAGTTAGTGAGGAAGGAAGAACAGGCTGAACACAGAGGGTTTTTAAGGCAGAGAAACTTTTCTGTATACTACAGTGGCGGATACATGTCATTATACATTTGTCAAAATCCACAGAATGTACAACACCAAGAATGAACCCTAAGGTAAAGTACGAACTTGGGGTGATGATGTGTCAATGTAGGGTCATCAATTTTAACGAATGTACCACTCTAGCGAGGGATGTCAACAGTTGTGCATGTATGGGAACAGGCAGTACAGGGGAACTCTCTGTGCTTTCTTCTCAATTTTGCTGTGAAAACTGCTCTTGAAAATAATTAAAAATAGTAATAATGCTGTCTAAATCTGCCACTGCTTCTAAATTATGACCTTATGAAAGAATTGTTCCTAGATTATTTTTAAAAATTATTGTAAAAAACACGTAACATAAAAATTACCATCTTAACCTATGTGTATAGTTCAGTACTGTTAAGTATATTCACATTGTTATGCAATCAATCTCCAAAACTTTTTCATCTTATAAAATTGAAACAGTATAACCCATTAAGTTGCTCTCCATTTTCCACCTCCCCACAGAATCTGGCAACCACTACCCTACTTGTTGCTATGAATTTGACTACTCTAGGTAAGTGGAATTGTACAGTATTTATCTTTTCGTGATTGGCTATTTCACTTAACATAATGTCTTCAAGGTTTATCCATGTGGTAGCATGTGTCAAAATTTTCTTCCATTTTAAGGCTGGGTAATATTTTCTTGTATGTATATACCACATATATGTATCCATTCATCCCGTGATGGATACTTGGGTTGCTTCAAACGTTTAGCTATTGTGAACAGTGCTGCTACAAACATGGGTGTGCAAGATCCTGCAAGATCCTGCTTTCAATTCTTTTGGATATACACCCAGAAGTAGTATTACTAGATCATACTGTAATTCTATTTTTTAAATAAAATTTTTTATTTCAATAGCTTTAGGGGTACAAGTGGTTTTTGATTACATGGATGAAGTACGTAGTAGGGAAGTCTAAGGTTTTAGTTCACCCGTCACCCCGGTAGTGTACATTGTACCCTATAGGTAGTTTTTTATCCCTCACTCCCCAGCACCCTCCCCTCTTCTGAGTCTCCAATGTCCATTATGCCACTCTGTGTGGCTTCGTGTACCCACAGCTAAGTCCCCACTTATAAGTGAGAACATGTGGTATCTGGTTTTTTGATTCCTGAGTTGTTTCACTTAGAATAATGGCCTACCATTATTGGTTCTATCCAAGTCACTGCAAGATATTATTTCATTCTTTTTTGTTAAGTAGTATTCCATGGTATATATAAACCCCATTTTCTTTATCTACTCATTGGTTGTTGGGCACTGAGGTTGATTCCATATCTTTGCAACTGTGAACTGTGCTGCAATACACCTATGTGCAGTTTTGATATAGTGACTTTTTTTCCTTTGGGTAGATACCCAGTAGTGGGAATGCTGGGTTAAATGGTAGATCTACTTTTACTTCTTTGAGATCTCTACATACTGTTTTATCACCAGCAACGTATAAGCATTCCTTTTTCACCACATTCATGCCAACATCTACTTTTTGACTTTTTAATCATGGCCATTCTGGGTGGGGTAAGGTGGTATCTCACGGTGGTTTTAATTTGCAGTTCCCTGAAGATTAGTGATGTTGAACATTTTTTCATGTTTGTTGGCCATTTGTGTATTTCTTTTGAGAAATGTCTGGTCATGTCATTTGCCCACTTTTTAATGGAATTACTTGTTCCTTGAAGATTCTGGATATTGGCTGTCAGATGCATAATTTGCAAATATTTTCTCCCATTCTGTAGGTTGTCTGTTTATTCTGATGATTATTTCTTTTGCTGTGCAGAAGCTTTGTTTAGTTAAGTTGCATTTATTTATCTTTGTTTTTCTTGCATTTGCTTTTGGGGTCTTAGTCATAAATTCTTTGCCTAGGCCAATGTCCAGAAGAGTTTTTGCTAGGTTTTCTTCCAGAATGTTTATGGTTTCAGATCTTAAGTCTTTAATCCATCTTGAGTTAATTTTTGTATGTGGTGACAGGCAAGGGTCCAGTTTCATTCTTCTACATGGTTATCCAATTTCCTCAGCACCATTTATTGAATAGTGTGTCCTTTCCCCACTCTGCTTTTGTATGCATTGTCAAAGATCAGTTGGTTGTATTTGGCTTTATTTCTGGGTTCCCTATTCTGTTCTATTATTCTAAGTACCTACTTTTATGCCAGTACCACACTGTTTTGGTTTACTATAGCCTTATAGTATAGTTTGAAGTGGGGTAATGTGATGCCTCTAGATTTATTCCTTTTGCTTAGGATTTTGGCTATTTGGGCTCTTTTTTGGTTCCATATGAATTTTAGGATTTTTTTTTCTAATTCTGTGAAAAATTATGCTGATATTTTGATAGGAATTTCACTGATTCTTTGGGCAGTATGGTCGTTTTCAGAATACAGATTCTTATGGAATGTATTTTCATTCGTTTGTGTCATCTATTATTTCTTTCAGCAGTGTTTTGTAGTTCTCCTTGTGAAGATTTTTTGCCTCCTTGGTTAAGTGTGTGTGTGTATATGTATGTGTGTGTGTGTGTATGTATGTGTGGTGTGCGTGTGTGTATATATATATCAATTGTAAAAGGAATTGAGTTACTGAGTTGATTCTCTGCTTGGCTGTTGTTGGTGTATAGCAGTGCTACTATTTTGTGTACACTGATTTTGTATACTGAGACTTTATTCAATTCATTTATCTGATTGAGGAGTCTTCTGGAGGAGTCCTTAGGGTTTTCTAGGTATCCAATCATTGGCAAACAGAGATCACCGGACTTCCTCTTTTCCAATTTGGATGCCCTTTGTTTCTTTCTTTTGCCTGATTCCTCTGGTTAGGACTTCTAGTACTATAATATGTTGAATAGAAGCAGTGAAAGCGGGCATGCTTCCCTTGTTCCAGTCCTTAGGGGGAATACTTTCAGCTTCTCCTTGTTCAGCATGATGCTGGCTGTTGAGTGTGTCACATATGGCTTTATTTTGAGGTATGTTCCTTCTATGCCTAGTTTGTTGAGGGTTTTTATCATAAAGGGATGCTGAATTTTATCAAATGCTTTTTCTGCATTTATTGAGATGATCATACCATTTTTGTTTTTAATTCTGTTCATATGATGAATCACATTTATTGACTTGCATATGCTGAACCATCTCTGAATCCCTGGAAAGAAATTCACTCGATCATGGAGAATTACCTTTTTACTTTTTTTTTTTTTTGATAAGAGTCTTGCTCTGTCGCCCAGGCTGGAGTGCAGTGGCATGATCAAGGCTCCCTGCAACCTCTGCCTCCTGGGTTCAAGTGATTCTCCTGCCTCAGCCTCCCGAGTAGCTGGGATTACAGGCCTGCACCAACACTTCCAGCTAATTTTTGTATTTTTAGTAGAGAGGGGGTTTCACCATGTTGGCCAGGCTGGTCTGGAACTCCTGGCCTCAAGTGATCCACCCGCCTTGGCCTCCCAAAGTGCTAGGATTACAGGCGGGAGACACTGCACCTGGCCTCATGGGGAATTATTTTTTTGATGTGCTATTGGATTCAGTTTGCTAATATTTTGTTAAGAATTTTCACATCTATGTTCATCAGGTATATTGGTCTGTAGTTTTCTTTTTTGTTATGTCCTTCCCTGGTTTTGGCATCAGGGTGATACTGGCCCCATAAGATGAGTTAGGGAGCAATCCCTCCTTCTCGAGTTTTTGGAAAAATTTCAGTAAAATTGGTACCAATTCTTTTTTTTTTTTTTTTTTTTTTTTTTTTGAGATGGAGACTTGCTGTGTTGCCCAGGCTGGAGTGTAGTGGTGTGATCTCGGCTCACTGGAGCCTCCGCCTCCTGGGTTCAAGTGATTCTCCTGCCTCAGCCTCCCAAGTAGCTGGGACTACAGGCACATGCCACAGCCCAGCTAATTTTTGTATTTTTAGTAGAGACGGGGTTTCACCATGTTGGCTGGGCTGGTCTCGAACTCCTGACCTCAAGTGATCTCTGCCTTGGCCTCCCAAAGGGCTGGGATTACAGGCATAAACCACTGTGCCCAGCCAGAACTGGTATCATTTCTTTGAATATCTGGTAGAATTCAGCTGTCTCCATCTGGCTGTGGGCTTCTTAAAATTGGCAGTTTTATTTATTTTTTTTAAATTACTGAATCAATCTCACTGCTTGCTATTGATGTGTTCAGGATTTCTATTTCTTCTTGATTCAAGCTTGAGGGGTTGTATGATTCCAGGAATGTATCTATTCCCTCTAGATTTTCTAGTTTGTATGCATAACAGGTGTCCACAGTAGTCTCGAATGATGTTTTGTATTTGTGTGGTAGCAGTTGTAATGTCTCCATTTTCATTTCCAATTGAGATTATTTGAATCTTCTGTGTTCTTTTCTTGGTTCATCTAGCGAGTAGTTTATCAGTTTTGCTTATCTTTTCAAAGAACCAGCTTTTTTTTCACTGATATTTTGTATTTTTTTGTTTCAATTTCATTTAATTATGCTCTGATCTTTGTTATTTTTCTTCTGCTAGCTTTGGGTTTGATTTGTTCTTGTTTCTCTAGTTCCTTGAGGTGTGATGTTAGGTTGCCAATTTATAATATTTCATATTTTTTTATGTAGGTGTTTAGCACATTTGTTAGCACTGCTTTTGCTGTATCCCAGAAGTTCTGAAAACTTGTTTCACTGTTATCATTCACTGCAAAAATTTTTTAAATTTCCATCTTCATTTCACTGTTAACCCAGACAACATTCAAGAGCAGATTGTTCATTTCCATGTCTATGTATGGTTTTGGGTTCTTTTTAGAATTGAGTTCCAGTTTTATTCTGCTGTGATCTGAGAAGATACCTGATATAATTCTGATTTTTAAAAAATTATTGAGACTTGTTTTGTGGCCTATCATGTGATATACCTTGGAGAATGTTGTGTGTGCTGATGAGAATCATGTTTATTCTGCGGTTCCTGGGTGGAATGTTCTATAAATATGTTAGATCTATTTGTTCTACAGTGTAGCTTGACTCCAGTGTTTCTTTGTTGACTTTCTGCCTCAATGATTTGTCTACTGTCACCAGTGGAGTACTGAAGTCCCAAACTATTTTTGTGTTGCTGTCTGTGTCTTTTCTTAGGTCTAGCAGTAATTGCTTTACAAACATGGAAGCTCCAAAGTTAGGTGCATATATGCTTAGGACTGTAACATTTTCTTGTTGAACTTTTTACTATTATATAATGACCTTGTCTTTTTTTTTTTTTTTTTTTTTTTACTGCTGTTGCTTTTATAGTCTGTTTGATCTGATATAATGGCTACTCTTGCTTGCTTTTGATTTCAACTTGTGCGAAATCTTTTTCCATCCCTCTACCTTGAGTCTGTAAGAATCCTTATGTGTTATCTGTGTCTTCTAAAGTCAGCAGATACTTGGTTTGCAATTTTTTTATCCATTCTGCCAATCTGTATCTTTTAAATAGATCATCATGTTGTTACCTAGTGACTGTTTTCTTCACTGTATTATTGTTTTATGAAATCCTTGTGAATTTTATGCCTTCAGAAATTTCTATTCTGATATGTATCAACCTTTTGTTTCAAGATTTAGAACTCCTTTTAACATTTCTTGTAGGGCTAGTCTAGTATTGACAAATTCCCTTGGCATTTGCTTGTCTTGAGACTTTATTTCTCCTTCATTTATACAACTTAGTTTTGCTGGATGTTATTCTGTTTAATGAGACTAAAGATAGGACCCCAATCCCTTCTGGCTTATAAGGTTTCTGCTGAGAAGTCTGCTGTTAGTCTGTTTTTCTTTATAGGTTACCTGATGCTTTTGTCTAACTGCTCTAGGAATTCTTTCCTTCATGCAGACTTTAGATAGCCTGATGACTATATGCCCTGGTGATGTCCTTTTTGCAATGAGTTTCCCAGGAGTTCTTTAAGCTTCTTTTATTTGGATGTCTAAATCTCCAACAAGGCCAGGGAGTTTTCCTCAATTATTCCCTTAAATAAGTTTTCCAATTTTTTTTTCTTTTTCTTCTCTTAGGAACACCTATAATTGTTAAGTTTGGCCATTTTGTATAATTCCCTATTTCCGGATGACTTTGTTCATTTCTTTTAATTCTTCTGTCATAATTTTTGTCTGACTGGGCTGATTCAAAAGTCTTGTCTTTGAGTTCTGAAATTCTTTTTCCTACTTGGTCTAGTCTATTGTTAAAGCTTGCCACTGCATGTTGTAGTTCCCTAAATATGTCTTTCGCTTCCAGAAGTTCTGGTTGGTTTTTCTTTAAAATATCAATTTAGAAAATTTTCATTCATATCCTGAATTGTTTTTTAAATTTATGTTGGTTTTAGCCTTTCTGTTCTTTTGTATCTCCTTCAGTGACTTAATAATCAACCTTTTGAGTTCTTTATCTGGTATTTCAAAGATCTCATCTTAATTTGGATCCACTGCTGGAGAAGTGGTGTGATCTCTTGGGGGTGACTCTCCCTCTGTTTTTTCATATTGCCAGAATTAGTTTTCTGGTTCCTTCTCATGTGAGCAGACTATTTCTTCTAACTATTTTTTGAATTTATTTTTTATTGTACTGGGTTCTTTTAAAAATTTCCTTTTCTCCCCCTTGAGCATGTGACTTAAATGTTTGTAGTTTATTGTCACTTAGCTTCAGCTCCGGGTGCTTTCAGTGGTGAAGACTCTGTATGAGTTCCTTGGTTATGTAGAGTCTTTGTGTGATGGCTTTGCCAGATGCCAGTCGCAGGAGAAATGTGCTGGGTGTGTGATATGGTTTGGATTTGTGTCCCTGCCCAAATCTCATGTTGAACTGTAATTCCCAATGTTGGAAGAGGAGCCTGGTGGGAGGTGATTGGATCATGGGGGCAGATTTCCCCCTTGCTGTTCTTGCGATAGTGAGTTCTCATGAAAACTGGTTGTTTCAAAGTGTGTAGCACTTCCCCCTTCATTCTCTTCCTCCTGCTCCAGCCATATAGGATGTGCCTGCTTCCCCTTCACCTTCCACTACGACTGTAAGTTTCCTCAGGCCTCCCAAGCCATGCTTCCTGAACAGGCTGTGGAACCATGAGCCAATTAAGCCTCTTTTCTTCATAAATTACCCAGTCTCAGATAGTTTTTTTAGCAATGTAAGAACAAACTAATACAGTGTGTGAGAAGGTTCACTGTCTCCTATGGGGCTGGAATGGCAGAGGTCTCATGAAGCTTATTGTTCCCCAGTAGTGTGCACTTTCTAAATTTTTTTCCCCAGTATTTTATTCACCAGGTTGAACAGTTCAGGGTTTATGCCAGTAGGAGGTGCCCATGGGTAAAAACTGGCCGCAGCAAAGACAGGTGGGTAAATGCAATACTGCAATGGTGGGCAGAGGTCCCAGCCTTGACAGAAGTGGCTGTGGAAGCTCTCGGTGAAATGCACTGAGGTCTTCTTTGGGGGTGGGGGGGCCACCACAGCTCTTCTTCCAAGCCAGCAGGAAAGCAGTCTACCTCCCAATCACACTCTTGACCCAGTGTTCCAGCTATTCAGATCACAGACAGGCACCTCTTTTCATCTGCAGGAATGCTGATGTTACACATACAGAAGAGTTGTGACTCCACCTCTCATGCAAACCTGAATCTGGAAGGCACTCCTCCTATGTGGATGTAGTCACCCTGAAATGTTCCAGAAATGCTGTCTAAAGAGGCACCCGCAATGAGCTCCCTAGGAGAAGCTGTAGCTATGTTTGCAGTGGTGGGCAAGAGGGAGAAGTAATCTCCTTCTCCAAGACCCTTCAGGAGCACCAGGGCTGCCTGACTGTTGAGGTAGAGCTGCACTTTGTCTACCAAGCCCAGAACTGCACTTGTGCCTCTGCTGAAAGAAACTTCCCCCAAGTAGAAAATTCATGGATTCAAGGCCTGCAGTCTAGTTTCCTTTGTCCCACGGGGTACTCCCTTAATGTGGCTCACTCACTCACTCCCTTCCCCTAGGAGTAGCAGTCGCTGAGGGCCCATACTGTGAATCCTGCTGCTCCTCTGGGTGTAGCTGCCCAGTGAAGCTGCCATACTCCAGGCTGGTGCTGGGGAATGTCTGCAGTAGATTCAGTGACGTAACCTGTCCTCTAGTCTCCCAGCAGCAGGTACCAGCAGCAGCTCCGATGGGGGTGGGAGGGAAGTGACGTAGATGGAGATTTCCTTGTAAAGAGCCTTAGTGTGTTGCCTTTCTGAAATGCCAGCATAGCAGTAATGTACTGGGTACATGAACAGACTGAAGGCCTTCTAGTTAGCCAGGGTGATGCAGGCGATGGCAATAGTTGAGGTCATGCCACAGTTTTCTCTTTCCTGAGTGCTGTGTTATTGTGCCTGCAGATGCTGTAACGGGGCTGTGCCAGCTGTCCATCAGCCAGGAGGTAGCACTTGCAACTGCACCAGCTACAGTGGTAGTGGTGGAATTTGTGTTTGCCTTATGTTACCCAGGGGAGGTACTCTGCTGCCTCAGGTAATGGGCAGGGCCATGGGGTTCCCAAAGGCCCCTGCCCATTGTGTTACACGACCAGGGCAAGTGAAGGAGCAAAGCTGGGTGGGGGCTGGGTCAGGCAAGTCCTTTCTCTGGCTCCCCAGGTACGAGCACAAGCAGCAGCACCTTGTGTTCAGAAGGTAGTTTCCTGGCTGCTGGGGTAATGTTCCAGGGAGAAGCGCACATGCTTTTGTTGTACAAAAGAATCTGCGTGGGAAGGAGGGGTTGCAGGCAGCACTAAGTCCCACTCAG
Source organism: Homo sapiens (assembly GCF_000001405.40). Classification (NCBI taxonomy): domain Eukaryota; kingdom Metazoa; phylum Chordata; class Mammalia; order Primates; family Hominidae; genus Homo; species Homo sapiens. The sequence goes on along the minus strand of NC_000004.12, from coordinate 152,818,826 downwards.
CTCCTATGCACTTGGCAAGGCAGGTCTCACAACCCATAGTGTTCTGCTAGCAGCAGCCACCTAGGTCCTAGGCAGCCTACATTTGGAAGGCAAAACTGCCCCCAGGCCACCAACCTATTCAGAGACACAGAAATCACAGTTTCCGAGAAACACCATTCCCAGTCTGTGGAAGCAGGAGTGCCCAGTTTCTGTGCCTGTGGCTACAGCACACTTACTGTTCCTCCCTTAATTCTGGCCAAAGGTGTTCATCCTCACTCAAGTTTATAGCACAAATCTCAGTTGGGAGCTTCTCTCAACCTGTGACCTCAGCCTGAGTTAGCTGACATGAGGTCCCCTGTGATAGGGAATGGCTTCCCTCCGTCCCTGCTGGAGTCTGGGCGTGCATGCAAAGCCCATCCTGATGGGGCTCCTTCCCATATATTCCCCACTGCTCACTAAATCAGCTCCAGTGCTGGACAGGGTTAAAGCCTTCCCCTCATGGCCTGGATTACTGGGTTCCCCAGTGGGAGTGTGTGTCACGGCAGCTGTCTCTCCCCTTCCCAAGCTCTGGAGACACCATTTTCTGTCGGGTTCATGGTGTAGGCTACTGCCTGCTGCTTCTTTCAGAGGGTCTGTAGTTTCCGTTTTTCTGTTAAGTTCCTATGTTGCTTCTTGGAAAAATGTTCACAGTGTGAATTTCTACACACTATTTTGTTTTTCCAAGTGGGACAGGCATGCTAACAATGTCTCCAGTCTGCCATCTTGGGGAAAAAAGAACTATTTTTAATTTTTTGGGAAACCACCATACTGTTTTCCATAGCAGCTGCATCATTTTACATTTCCACCATCAGTGCACAAGGATTCCAATCTCTGCATCTTACCAACACTTGTTATTTACTGTTTTTTTCTAATAGCTGCCATCCTAATAAGTGTACAGTGATATCTCATTGTAGTTTTGATTTGCATTACCCTAATGGTTAATGATATTGAGTATCTTTTCATATGCTTGTTGGCTACATGTATATCATCTTTGTAGAAATATCTATTCAAGTCCTTTGCCCATTTTAAAATTGGGTTGTTAGGGGGTTTTTGTTGTTGTTGAGTTATACAAGTCCTTTATATATTCTGGATATTTACTTCTTATCAAATGCATAACTTGCAAATATTTTCTCCCATTCTATAGGTTGCCTTTTCACTCTGTTGTGTCCTTTGATGCACAGAAGTTTTTCATTTTCTAGTCCAATTTGTCTATTTTTACTTTTGTTGCTTGTGCTTTGGTTTCATAACCAGGAAATCCTTGCCAAATCAGATGTCAGAAAACATTTCCTGTTTTCTCCTAAGACTTTTATAGTCTTAGGTCTACATTTAGGTCTTTGATTCATTCTGAGTTAATTTTTGTATATGGTGTGAGGTAAGAGTCCAACATCATTCTTTTGCATGTGGATATCCAGTTTTTCCAGCATGATTTGTTAAAGAGACTATCCTGTCTCCATTTAATGGTCTTGGCATTTTTGAAATACCTATTTTCCTTCCTGTCACTGCATTCTCACACTACATCTAGATTATTTGTGGCTACTGGAGTTAAGTTTCTGTTCCTTGCAAATAAGAGATATACACACACTAGTATTTGGACTCTAATTAGGAAGACTAAGATCCAGCTCTCTAAATAATCACTACCTTTTCAAATTACGCTATTATGTTCTACTTCATTCCTCCTAAAAACAGCTGGTGATTCAACAGGTATTTACTATATACCTACTATTGTGGGCAATGTGCATGAGATAAAACAGAAATATAAATCAGTTTTCAGCCTTCTAGAAACTTAAAGTGTTTTTGGCAGATAAAAAATTATAATCAGTGTTGTGAGCATGAAGAGGGAAACAATGTTGTGAGCAATAAGATGAAAAACTTAACAGAGGTAACATTTAAGCTAAATCTTGTACGATAACAGATTACGAATATAGTAAAGGAAAGATCCTCAATAGGAGGAATAAGAAGGAGAGTGGAAAAAGAGTCATATATTCTAGAAACTGCAAGTAAAGCAACTTGGCTAGAATGGTGATTGCTCACTCACACATTCATCAGTCCAACTAATTTATCAAACTCTATAATGTGCTAGGTACAATTTCAGACATACAGTATATTTTGTGATGTTTTGTGAAGAACAAAACGGACAAAGCCCCCTGCTCTCATAGAGCTTACATTCTAGTTGGGAAAAACAAACAAATATACATGTCATATAGTCATAAATGTTCATGGTCATGTATGTGTATATGTGTTCACACTTGTGCTGTTTTAGATATGGTGGTCAGGGAAAACCTCAGAAAAGGTATATTTTTGTGAGACCTGAATAAAGTGAGGGAGTAAGTCATAAAGACAGCTACAACACTGCAGGCAGAGAGAACAGTAAGTACAAGTATCAGGAGGTGGTATCATGCTCAGCTTTTCAAGGAATGGCAAGAAGGCCAGGTGGTTTGAGGGAAGACAGCAAGGGGGAGAAAAGGAGGAAATGGCAGAGAGATGGCCAGTGGCAAGAACGTGTGTGACTTCAAAAATTATCACGAGAACTCTGGATTTTATTCTGAGTAAGATGAAAATCTAGCTGAGAGTTTTGAACAGTGGGGTAAAACAATCTGACTCAGGTTTTTAAAGTACTGTTGTTTTGCTACTGTGTTGGAATTAAACAATAATCATGCACAGGCAGAAGGAGAACAATTAGGAGCCTACTGGAATAGTCTAGGCAAGAGATGATAGTAGCTTGGAGTAGGGGAACAGTAGCTGAGGATGTAAAGAAGTGGTCAGATGGCCGGGCGCGGTGGCTCACGCCTGTAATCCCAGCACTTTGGGAGGCTGAGGCGGGCGGAACACGAGGTCAGGAGATCGAGACCATCCCGGCTAAAACGGTGAAACCCCGTCTCTACTAAAAATACAAAAAATTAGCCGGGCGTAGTGGCGGGCGCCTGTAGTCCCAGCTACTTGGGAGGCTGAGGCAGGAGAATGGCGTGAACCCGGGAGGCGGAGCTTGCAGTGAGCCGAGATCCCTCCACTGCACTCCAGCCTGGGCGACAGAGCGAGACTCCGTCTCAAAAAAAAAAAAAAAAAAAAAAAAGAAGTGGTCAGATTACAGGTATATTCTGAAGGTAAAGACAACACGAATTCCTTACAGACAGATGTGAGATAAGGAAAAATGAGAAGTCAGGGATAACTCTCAAGAGTTTTGGCTGAATAGCTGGAAAGATGGAATTGCCATTGGACAAGATTGGGGGAAGAGCACAATGTAAGGGAAATATCAAGAATTTAGTTTAGGACATATCAAAGTTTACAAGCCTATTATATGCAAGCAAAGAAGGTAAGTAGGTTACTGGATTTATGAGCCTGAGGTCCAGACAAAAGCTTGAAGCTGGGAATAAGAAATTTAGAAGACATCAGTGTGTAAATGCACTTAAATCTCTGACTGGATGAGATCACCTAGAACAGGAGTCAACAACTTTTTTCTATGAAGGGTCATACAGTAAATATCTAAAGCTCTGTGGGCCATAAGGTCTCTGTTGCAACTACTCAATTTTGCTGTTGCAATCCCAAAGCAGCCACTGACAGTATGCAAATGAATGAGCATGGATTTGGCCTGACTCCTGCCCTAGAAAGTCTGTAGAGATTAAAAAAAAAGAAGCAGAAGAATCTAAAAACTACACTCTGGGATATCCCAAAATCTGAGATACAGGGAAATGAAGAGGCACTAGCAGAAAAAACTCATAAAGAATGGCATGTAAGGTAGAAGGAGAAACATAACAGGGGGCTTCTGAGGACAGGTAAAAAGAACACAGGTTCCTGCTTCTGAGACTGATGACAAAGACCCTACTGAACCTCCCCACACCTGCAAGAATGCAACTACAAAACTGAACACAATTTAAAAAGAAATCCCCTGAAAGTATCAGAAAGTAAACAGAAACTCTGGTGGGGAGGTCGTGCTCACTTGCAGAATGGAAACAGGGATCTATGCAAGTAACTTTCCGTCTCCTAGGCTTTTAGCTTTGAGCTAAGTGCTATCCATGCTGTGCATCCAGCAGTGGCCAGGGTACCCAGGGGGAAAGTTGTAGTCTTACTTTTGCTTATTCTTTTACCTTTACCTTACCTTATCTTACCTTATTTATTTTTTGAGACAGGGTCCCAGTCTGTTGCCCTTGGCTAGCAGTGCAATAGGGTGATCATGAATCACTGCAGCCTTGACTGTTCAAGCTCAGGCAATCCTCCACCTCAGTGTGCCACCATGCCTGGCTAATTTTTTGTTTTTTAATTTTTTGTAGAGACCAGGGTGTTATTATGTTGCCCAGGCTGGTCTCAAACTCCTAGATTCAAATGATCCTCCCACCTCAGCCTTCCAAAGTGCTGAGATTACAGGCATGAACCAATGCACCTGAGCTGAAACATTTTTAAAGTGATGAAAGACAGAAACTGGCTAGGAGTGGTGGCTCATATCTATAATCCCAGCACTTTGGTAGGCTGAGATGGGTGGATGGCTTGAGCCCAGGAGTTCAAGTCCAGCCTGGGCAATACGACAAAACCCCGTCTCTACAAAAAATACAAAAAACATTAGCTAGGCATGGTGGTGCGCACCTGTGGTCTCAGCTATTTGGGATGCTAAGGTGGGAAGATCACCTGAGCCCAGGGAGGTCGAGGCTGCAGTGAGCTATGATCATGTCCCTGCACTCCAGCCTGGGTGACAGAGTGAAACAAAAAAAAAAAAAAAAAAGAAGAAGAAGAAAGAAGACAGAAGAAGAAGAACAAAAGAAAAACTGTCCACCTAGAATTCTATATCGAATAAAGGAGAAATAGATATTTTTGGACAAAACCAAAAGACTTGACTTGCATTACAAGAAATATTAAAGGAAGTTCTTCAGGCTGAAGGGAAATGAAATCAGAGAGAAAGGTGGATTTTCAGAAAAGAAGGAGGAGGAAGTGAAACGGTAAATAACTTGGTAAATACAAAAAATAACCCTATTTTTTCCCTTTTGCCTTTTCCTCTTAATTTATTTATAATCCACATAATTGCTTGAAGAAAATGTTATAAGATTATCTTCTGGGGCTTAATATGTATCAAGATATAATATCTATAATAACAATTATTATCAAAAAACAGGGGAAAGGTAAGGAAAATATGGACCTAAAAGGTTGTAAGATTTCTGTATTTCAAGTGAAGCAGTGCATTATTACTTGTAAGTGGACTACAAAATTTCAGGATATATACTGTACTCCTATGGCAACCACTAAAAGTATAATGCAAAGAAGTACAGCTAAAAAGTAATCAGAAAAATAAAAATGGAATTCAAATAAAAATATTCCAATAATCAACATTAAAAATATTCAGATTATCAAATAATAAATGAAAAGGCAGGAAAAGAGGAGGAGAGGAAAAACGCAGAGTAGAGAAGCATAAAAACAAACAAAAAACTGAAAGGAATAAGAAAGCAAGAGGAGTCTGATCAATTTACAGTCATCCCTTGGTATCTGTGGGGGACTGGTTCCAGGACCCCCCAGCCCACACTCCCCATCCCATGGATACAAAATTCTACCGATGCTCAGGGCCCTTATATAAAATGATGTAATATTTGGATATAACCTATGCATATCCTCCTGTACACTTTAAATCATCACTAGATTATCTGTAATACCTAATTCAATGCAAATGCTATATAAGTAACTGTTACACTGTATTATTTTTTATTGTTTTTCCCCCTCAAATATTTTCAATCCAAGGTTGGCTGAATCCATGGATTAGAACTCATGGACAGGGAGGGCTGACAGTATTTTAAACAGCCTGGTGGGAGGCTAGACTGAAGGAAAGCATCACAGACTGAAGACAGAAAAGCTATTTGAAAGACTATTTTACAATATAGTCAATAAATCATAACAACTGGAATCAAAGTTGTGGGAATGAAAAAAGGTGGATTCAACAGATATTAAGGAAGCAGAAATAAGAGACTTACAGAGTAACTGGATTGTGGAAATGAAAAAGAAGGAGGAATCTAGAATGACCTACCTCTTCTCACTGTCCTCCAATTTATGGCTTGGGCAACTAGAAAGATAAACATGTCACTCACCAAAATAAGGAAAGCAAGAGGTTTATTTGGCTTGGAAAGGCCAGAGATTGAGTCTAGTGTAGACATTCTGAATTTGAGAATGTTTGTGGGGTATCCAAGTCCACCAGTTCATTTGGAATTTCAAAATGCAAGTCTAGAGCTCCAGGCTGAAAACATAAACCTGGAAATCATCACTTTAGGGATGTGGATGGCATTAACTGTTAAGAATGACAAAAGAACTCAAGAGAAGAATCGTGTGGAACATTAAAAGGAAGAGAAGGCCAGACGGGGCGGCTCACACCTACAATCCCAGCACTTTGGGAGGCCAGGAGGGAGAATGGCCTGAGCCCAGGAGTTTGAGACCAGCCTGGGCAACATAGGGAGACCCTGTCTGTACTTTTATTTTTAATTAGCCTGGCTTGGTGGCATGTGCCTGTGGTCCTACCTACTCAGGAGGCTGAGGTGGAAGGATTGCTTAACCCAGGGAGGTCACAGTTGCCGTGAGCCATGATCGTGCCACTGCACTCCCGCCTGGCTGACGCAGCAAGAACTCATCTCAAAACAACAACAACAAAAGGCAGAAGATACTGCAAAAAAGATTCTGGGGGTAAGGGGAGTAAATGGTTCATGATGCAGATACAGCAGAGAAAATTACAGCAATGGAACTATGTATTGTTCCGGGTTTGTGACTTTAAATAAAAAACCGATGTTCTGAAAATCAGAAAGACAATGATAAACCAATACTACTTTATGCCGTAAAGTAGGTAACAAGAATACTCATTTGCCAAAAGATATGCAAACATTGCAACTATTATCTATTCATTTTCTTCCCTACAAAGAATGACCCATTTTGGGGGAACATCATTTACTAACCATTAATTATAGTACTGAAAATTAACAGCCAACATACAAATCGGCAGAATAAGGCCCCAAACCAAAAGCTCCATGTTATCTCCCTGGACAAAAAATATACATGATACCTCACTCATGCTTTAAATTGAAATTGAATTTAAATTCAAATTAGACAACCAAAATAATTATACAAAATGCTTTGGGACATAATTATGTCCTTTAGGAATAAAAACAATCTCTTTTGTTCTAAGGTTGAGGCTATTTAAGGTCCTTCACAATAGGTTCCAATCAACTTTTCGGGCTTCACTTCTTTTAACTTTACTCTTCTAGATATCCTCTATTACTGAATCTACTACTTACCATTTCTGGAACATGAAATGTACTTTGATATCTATGAACATTTGCTGAAATTGTTCACAATGCTCGAAATATTCTTCCAACTTCAATATCTAGTAAGATCCTGCCCATAACTTAAGGCTCAGCTCAAATGATCTCTCTTCTATAAAACTTATTCCAAAGCCTCAGAGATACCACACACTATAATGAGAAGACTAAGGGCTTTGGACTTGGGTTAAAATCCCAGCTGTACAATATAACAGCTGCTTTCTGATCTTCATTACTTAATCTTGTTTTTCTCATCTATAATATTAAGAAACATATCGGATAATACTTGAGGAAATTAAGTAAAGATTTATTCAAAGCACTTATGAAGGGTAGCCGGCACACAGAAGGCATTCATTGAATAAAGAACAATGTCTCCAGAGTGGGTGTGCTAGTAAATGTTTAACAACCAGTTTTCCAAACTGAAAAAAAAAAAAAAAAAAAAAAGGCTTAACCTTAGCATGTGGCTGTTGTCGATTTCCATGTTGCCAATACTTCTACAGTGGCCAATTTCAAGCTTCGAACGTGACCTCACTGAATCCAGAGGCAGGAAAAAGAGACATGCAATAGCACACCATCATACAGTAGAAAGAGATACGCTGCAGCACAACATCATATAGTAGAGATAAGCACAGCACACTATCATACAGTAGAAAGAGATACGCAGCAGCACACTATCATATAGTAGGAAGAGATGTGGAATAGCACACCATCTTTTTTTTTAGACAGAGTCTCGCTCTGTAGCCCAGGCTGGAGTGCGGTGGCGTGATGTTGGCTCACTGCAAGCTCCGCCTCCCAGGTTCATGCCATTCTCCTGCCTCAGCCTCCCAAGTAGCTGGGACTACAGGCACCCGCCACCACGCCCAGCTAATATTTTTTTTTTTTGTATTTTTAGTAGAGATGGGGTTTCACCATGTTAGCCAGGATGGTCTCGATCTCCTGACCTCATGATCCACCCGCCTCAGCCTCCCGAAATACTGCCATTACAGGCGTGAGCCACCATGCCTGGCCAGCACACCATCGTATAGTAGAAAGAGATATACACCAGCACAACATCATATTGTATTTCTACCACGGAAACACCACAGACACAACTTTAAGAGCACAGATAACAGTAAAAGACAGTAACATATTTAGGAACTACTAAGTTTGAGGAGGTATTACTTTTATTTTTAATATATGTATTTAATAATAACTTTACATAATTTTTAAAATAATGGCTGTGTTTAACAGTTGGCTTACAAATTCTTGAAAATTTACCAATCAGCTTTTGCAGGCAGTACAAGCCAGCTTTAGCCACCACTGAATTATTTCCAAGTTAGAAAAGTATTAGGCACACACTCTGTACAGCTGAATCTTTGGAAACAATCTTTAAAAATCCAATATATATGGATGTCACATTCCAATTATGATGTTACTTTTTTGGAGATGATCTAAAGGCATCGTCATGTACCAAACCTGCATACCAACAGAAGGTGAGATTCACTATTATATTCATAAACAAAAAACTGAACATTTTATTCATTTTTTTATTTTACAAAGCAACAATCAAATCATGTGCCTTTTTTAGTGTTGTTCCTTGTTAAGTTCAAGTACATTCTAAATCCACAATCATGTTAAAGGAGAAGATCAAAGCTGAGCAAATACTCTTACATGACCATGACTACTGCTCCAGTGCTAACAGAAAGAGTGCATTTGTAATAGGTGATTTTCTTGAGTTGTATGTAGAATGTACTTTAAAAGCAGAATTAGCATTGTAACATGAAGAGTAATGCAAAATTAAAAATATGAGCATAGAACTTACCTAGAGAGCTAGTATATTGTACAACCAAAAAAGTGAAGGCTGGGAACTAGCTTCTTGAATCCTGTCAATGGGTCAAAGTTGGGGATAAATTAACATGACACATATCTAATAAAGATTTTATAGTTGGTGCTTCATTCCTAAAGGGTACAGCAAGCCCCCTTGAGAAGCAATGGAATATTCCATTTGTACATGCCAACGATTATCAACCCTCTGCATCTCAGAACTACTAGGGGAGCTTTCTGCCTCTCCACGGAGATCATAATTTTAATCTTTTGAAATTAATCAAGAGTTGTTGCATGCATCAGTAGTTCATTCCTTTTGTATTGCTGAGGAATATTTCATTGTATGTATATATCAATTTCTTTAGTCATTAACCTAATGATGGACTTTTTTTAGTTTTGGGCTCTCGTAAGTAAAGCTGCTATGAATACACATCTACAAGTCAGGACCCATATGAATGGCCACTATGCATTTAAAGTAGTTTTAAAAGCTCACCAGGTGATTCTAATGTGCAGCCAAGTAGAACCAGTGCTATAAGCATGCCCTATATAAGAGAGGAAGGTTAATACAGCAAAATTAGCTATACAAATATCTTTTGTATTTACACAAAAACCCAAGAACACCTACTGTTATTTAAGGACCTGTGTTTACATGCTACAACACTTGCCACTTATTTTTTTTTTGAGACGGGTCTTCCTCTGTCGCCCAGGCTGGAATGCAGTGGTGCAATCTTTGCTCACTAAAATCTCCGCCTCCCAGGTTCAAGCCATTCTCCTGCCTCAGCCTCCTGAGGAGCTGGGATTACAGGCACATGCCACCATGTGGTGAAACACCACGGGGTTTCACCATATTGGTCAAGTTGGTCTTGAACTCCCATCCTCAGATGATCTGCATGCCTCGGCCTCCCAAAGTGCTGGGATTACAGGCAAAAGCCACCACGCCCGGCTCCACTTTGTAAAACACACAGAAAACCTTAGCATTGGGAAGGAGCTACAAAGTCATTCAGCTCAACTTGTCATGCAGATTAAAACCACCAGATACCATTATACACCCATTAGAAGGCGGAAACTAGAAAGACTGACAAAACCAAGTAGTAGCCAGTATGTAGAGCAACTAGACTCTTATACATTGCTGGTACAAGTAAAAGTTGGTAAAAATCACTTTGGAAAACTATTTGGCAGTACTATTTGAGTTAAACATACGACTATCCTATAACCCAGCAATTCCACTCCTAGGAAATATACCCAAGAAATATAAATACACATGTCCATTAAAAGGCAAGTACAAGAATATTCATAGCAGCTTTACCTATAATGGCCAAAACCTGGAAACAATCCAAATGTCTATCAAATAAACTGTGGTGGAGTCATACAATGAACTACCACACAGCAATAGAACACAACAAACTACTGCTACAAAAAAAAAAAAAAAAAAAAAAAAAAAAAAAAAATGGAGGCCAGGCGTGGTGGCTCACACCTGTAATCCCAGCACTTTGGGAGGCCAAGGTGGGAAGATCACCTGAGGTCGGGAGTTCAAGACCAGCCTGACCAACATGGAGAAACTCCGTCTCCACTAAAAATACAAAAATAGCCAGGCGTGGTGGCGCATGCCTGTAATCCCATTTACTTGGGAGGCTGAGGCAGGAGAATCACTTGAACCTGGGAGGCGGAGGCTGCAGTGAGCCAAGATCGTGCCACTGCACTCCGGCCTGGGCAACAACAGCGAAACTCTGTCTTAAAAAAAAAAATGGAAAAAACTTCACAGACATAATGTTCAGCAAATGAGACCAGAACCAAAGAGTACATATTACATGATCCAATTCAAAAAGAAAACCAGTAAGTGTTGATGATATAGGCAGAACAGTGGTTATCTTGGGGTGGAATAGTACGGAGTCATGACCGTGGGTAAGCAAAATTTCTTAGACACAAAAAGCAAAAACAAGAAAAGAAAAATACTGATAATCTGGACCTCATTAAAATTAAAAACCTCTTTTCAAAAGACACCATCAAAAAAAAAACAAAAAGGTGAACCACAGACTAGGAGAAAATCAGTTACAATATCTATATGTGACAAATGACTGACAGCAAAGACATATAAATAACTCTTGCAATTCAATAGCAAGAAAACACAAATGAAAAATGGCCAAAACGTAACAGAACACTTCACAAATGAAAGTACAGGAATGGCGAGTAAGTACATTAAAAGATGCTCAACATCATTAGTCATCAAGGAAATGCAAATTAAAACCACAATAAGATGCCACTACATAACCACTATAACGGCTCAAGTAAAGATGACTATAATACCAAATGTGAGTGAAGGGCAACTGGAACTTGCATACATGAATGTAGGAAATGCAAAAAGTACTTCACTTTGGACAACTGTTTAGCAATTTCTTGTAAAGGTAAATATATACTTGACTATATGACTTAGCCATTCTATACAAAAACATTCACCAAAAAGAAATTAAAATAAACGTCCTTACTTGTAGACATGTACTCCTAGCAGCTTTCCTTATAAGAACCCAAAACTAGAAAAAAAAAAAAAGTCCATCACTAGGTTAATGAATAAACAAATTGTGGTATATCCATACAATGAAATATTCCTCAGCAATACAAAAGGAATGAACTACTGATGCATGCAACAACTCTTGATTAATTTCGAAACATGGGTTTAACACCAAACTGGGCAACATAGCGAGATGCTCTCTAAAAATAATTTTTTTTATTAGCCTGCTGTGGTGGTACATGCCTGTTAGTCCTAGCTACTCAGCAGGTTGAGGTGGGAGGACTACTTGAGCCTGAGAGTTCAAGGTTACAGTGAGCTATGATTCTGCCACTGCATTCCAGCATGGGTGTCAGAGTGAGACCTGTCTCTAAAAAAAAAAAGAAAGAAAAAGAAAAAAAAACTTACGTTGAGCTAAAAAAAAAAAAGTCAGGCACAAAAAGAATACATACTATTATGATTCCAGTTGTACAGAATTCTAGAACATACAAAACTAATTTGTTATGACAGATCAGTGGTTGCCTGGGAGACAAGTAATGTAGGGAAGAACTGATTGCAAAGGGACACAAGAAACTAACTGTATGGTGATGGAAACATTCTGTATCTTGATTATGACTGTGGTTTTCCAAGTTTATATATGTGTCAAAACTCATTAGACTGCACATTTTAAATGAGTACACTTATATGTAAATTTTACCTCAATAAACTGTTGATTTTGAAAAAAAGGTAAAAATTACATTTTATCATCTCTAATGGCAGAGGACCTATTTTTCCTGCAGGCCCCCAATCCACCCAGAGAGCAACCATACCATACCAGTCTGGTGGCGGGAGGTGTGTGTGACCCTGATCACAGTGCCCACCTACAAAGAGGAACTATATCAGCTCCACAACCCAGCAGCAAAAGAAGTTTGTCATTTTCCAAAATGTGTCCTGCCCACAAAAAATAAATTACACTAATACTCTCTCACTAGAAAAATGACTGCATAGTTCTAAGTGTCATTTACAAACCTATTTTCCCTGTGTTTGATCCAGAGTCTGAAAATTAGAAGTACTGCCTCAAAGAGAATATCTAAAGAAAGGCAAATATCTGAAGAGTGGCAGAACATAAAATGCAATCACGAAGAAAAAAAATTCTTCTGTTCCTCATTTTAGATCTTTTAAAATAGCAATACAGGCATAACTGGTTTGCCAAGTAAGACTTTAGCCAAGTATGATGTATATTTCCTTATTTTTGGCTGCCCAGCCCCAGGCCCCAACCAAAGTTGGGGAAAGCCTCCACATTGTGAGGCTTGGGAAAGGGCAGAGCCCGCCTTGTATTACATAAAAGCTCAAAATACCAGACATTCAAGCAAATATCTGAAGCCAGATTGTTTGTGTTCAATTCATGGCTCCTCCACTAGCTGTGAACCTTAGGCAAATTCCTAAAGCTCTCTTCCTTCATCTGTAAGATGATAATGGTACCTACCTCATAGCATTGTTGTGGCACAAAATAAAAACATAAAGTATTTAGAAGAGCGCTTGACATATGAGTGCTATATTCAGTTACATTAATACTATTCTTTCCCAAGCTCTAGGGCACTGCCATCATGATCTAGGCTCTGCCAAATCAAAGCCCACTTGCCCCAGACTTAGAATCAGAAACTAGGGTTACGAAGAAAGATATCAAAGAACTCACTAGGGGGCAAAAATAATCAGCAAGATCAAATTTCCAGGTCAGAAGTGACCATAGTGGCAGCATCCAGTCACCAGAGCTACAGGTATTGGCAGTGCAAACTGCCAAATCCAGTGTTAAGCAATGATGCCGTCATTGGACCACTGCTCAACCATGATTTGGATCAATATTCCTAGATATGTGGGCCTGGATTCTGGTTTTCCAATGCTCCAGGCAATTCTATACACTACCTCATAGCCTCTTGGTAAATCCCTTTTCTAAGTAAATGAGCTGGAACTGGTTTCATTTGCTTACAACATAAGACCTTGACATCAGATTTACAATCAGGAAGTAGATAAATGGAATATGGTCTTCCAATATCTTTATGAATGCTTTTGAGTATCAGGTGATAACTCTGAAATGGTCTAGCAAGTTTTTAGAATGTCAGAATGCTATAAAATTTGTTTGATACCTTCATAGTTCCCTACTCTAATCCTAACACTCATCACTAAAAATCTGGCCTTTATTGAGAGTTTACTACATGCCAGCCACTGTGCTAAGCACATTACATAAATCATTTCATTCAGCCTTCACAACTACCCTGGTGAAGTAAATATGATTTTCCCAATCTTACAGATGAGGAGACTGCAGCCTAAAAAGGTTAAGGAAATTAACTAATTTAAATAATGTATCCACTTGCAAATGAAGCTCTACAACAATAAGAGCTAGCATTTAATGAGTACTCACCATATATCAGGAACTAGTCTATGTTTTTCACATTAATTTTACATATTAACTGATTTAATTCTACTCACTTTATGTGCATTATCTCATTTAACCTCACAACAAATCTCTGACCTAGGTACCATTATTATTCCTATTTCACACCAATACTCTTCACACATAAGAAAACAGAAAGATTAGGAAATTTGCTTAATGATACACAGCTAGCAAGTGATGACGTGGGGATTCAAACCTGGCAACCTGGTTTAAGTTTTTAATCTTTATATTACACTGCCTCTCCTAGAGTGACTGAAATACATGAACAGGCCCTCCCAACTATATATATATATATATTATATATATATAAATAATATATATTATATATATTATATATTATATATAATATATATAATACATGTTATATTATATATAATATATAATACATGTTATATTATATATAATATATAATACATGTTATATTATATATAATATATAATACATGTTATATTATATATATAAAATATATATAATACATGTTATGTTATATATATATAATATATATAATACATGTTATGTTATATATATAATATATAATACATGTTATATTATATATTATATATAATACATGTTATATTATATATAATATATAATACATGTTATATTATATATAATATATAATACATGTTATATTATATATAATATATAATACATGTTATATTATATATAATATATAATACATGTTATATTATATATAATATATATTACGTTATATTATATATAATATATATTACATGTTATATTATATATAATATATATATTACGTTATATTATATATAATATATATATTACATGTTATATTATATATATAAAATATATATAATACATGTTATATATATACACATTCAGACATTTATATGAATCAAACACACTGCTTTCTTGATGTTGACAACTTGTACTGTTGTTTCTTTTATCTCCATATTATCATGAGCAGTTAAGAGCAGCACCCCTCTTAATTTACTCTGACCCTTCACTTCCAACAACTGCAGACTGATGCATTAACCTCCATTTATATCATTAGGGCTGTCTTCTGCTAATCCCAGAGCCTTAGAGACAGCTGCATCCAGGAACCTCCTACTCCTAGCAGTTGGCAGTTGCAGAATTAAACTAGGACACCTGGAAATTAGGAGTGCCAGGATAACAAGCCTGTTGTTGAAAATGGCATCAACCGCCCAAAAATATGCACATGTTATCATTGATCATGACAGCTCAGTGGTTTTCAAACTGGGGATGTTGGGGGTGGATTTTGACACCACCTCCCCACCACCCACCATTTAGCAATGTCTGGTTGTTATAGCTGGGAATGGTGTCCTCCTGGCATTTTGAAGGCAGAGGCCAGAGATGCTGGAAAACATTGTACAATGCTGTTTAAGACAATTCCCCAAAATAAAAAATTACCCAAATATGTCAATAGTGTCAAGGGTGAGAAATTCTGTAAATTGCCTGATGCTATAAATTGCCTCTTAGATTGGCAGGCCCTATGGGTCTTTTCACTCAATGTCATAAATGTAACCCATTTCAACTGCACTGGGGGAGAACAGCTTCCCTCCTGTCCTTTGGTGGACCAAACAGCACTCCAGCAAACTTTCTCAGTACTACAATCGTGATAACGTGGCTCATAAAACTGCTTACAGTCTGACCTCTACCTACTTCTCTAGCTGCTTCTCATACCATAGTCTCCCCCTCCTTTCTTCATACTGGCCAATTTGGACAGTGGACAAATCTCCACTAACTTCATCTTTACCCTGAGGATACACAGTAATTCTCCTCCCTGACAATTCAACCCCTACTGTATAGCCTTTTCTGTAGCTGCCCAAGGCAGGGCTAAAATTTAAAAGTCAATGTACTTTTTTTCTCATGCTACTTACATTTTTCAAATCCTGAAAATACACTTTGACACTAACATAAATAGCTTTACATTTGACAATTTAGCATTTATAGGCTAATACCATATGGAAAATAAGAGTCATCCAAAGACTAAAACACTATCTTAATAATGCAAAAGAAAGGCACACCAGAAATAAGTTTCCTGCTATTCATTACATTATTCATAGTAAAACGTAATTTCTAAAATGCTTAGAAACAATGTAGAAACTTTCTAGAAAGGATCTAAAAGAACTTGCCTTAGCCTTGGTTAGATTTGTGGAACTGCGTAAGACATTATATTTTCTAAAACACATTTACATTGCTCTTTAATCCAGTTTACCACTGAGCAAACAAAAACAAAGTGGTATAATAAAGTATTTCTAGCTGTTTCTTAAATCTACTATTTTTTTAAAGTTATTTGAAAATGCAATAAAAAGTACTGTGAAATATTTCCAATGTTCAGGTTATTAACTACATATGTCAAGTAGCTATTTTGTTCTGTTATCAAGTAGTTATATTTTCTTCCTATTTAAAGGATCAAATTCTTAAGTTCAGTCAATTCCAGGCAAAGCAATGAAGAAAGTAAAGAAAGTGAAAGAAGAAAAGAAAGACACAAAGCTAATTCAATCCTAACTGTTTTAGTTATGGCTTCAGACAATGAAGGCTGCAGTGCTTAGTGGACTAATTATGCATCTCAAGAGAGATCATATTTTGTTCCAATACCAAAAAACACAAATGCCTTCTGTGTCAGATGAAATTATTCAGATTTTTGCCTACGAAAAAAGAAAGTAATTCTATTAAATTCATAATTCAAATAGTTTTTGGAATTTCCTTCTGTATTAGTAAAAATATGGCCTTTGAAAAGTGGTTAATGTATTTATTACAATGTGGTAATTCAACATGGTTCAAAACTATTAGGTGAATAAGCCTACTTAATGAAATTGCAGAACTAACCAACATATTAAGAGACATGGACTTAAGGTCCAGCTCTGTCTCTTTTTATCCTTTGCATCTCACTTTACTTGTATAACTTTGTTTCCTCATTTATAAAATGAGATTTTTAACCTCACCTATATATAACACAGCTGTTGTGAAAATCAAATGTAAAATTATAGCACACTGATTTCAGCTCAAGACTAACAGAACAAATGTTGAAGTAGTTCCAATAATACTAGTATTTACCAGCACAGCTACTCTTTGTAACTTTGTCACTATGGGTACCCTAAATGTACTTTTCTAAAACAGACCACAATCAAGACAGATTTGAAATATGATTATAAACGTTACTGTCTGCAGCCTTGTGTTTCTTTCTTTCTTCTATCTATCTTGGCAATTTCATGGCCTCAGTAGGAAGGTAATTCTCAAACCTATTATTATAAATGAATGAATAAGGCAAATATGGTGAAATCCGGATAATTACTGAACACAGATGATACAGAAATTCATTTACTCTAGGGAAAGCCATCCTAGCTGCTAGCTACATCTTGAACCACATTCCTTTCCATCTTTCCTGACAGGCAGTTCTACCCACAGAGCCCTCTCCACTGTTTCTCAAACACACCAATCTTACTAATATTTTTGCTCTTGCTCTTTGCTCTGTCTGGAAAATTCTTACTCCTGGATTTTCACGATTCTCTTCCTCACCTCATTTAGGTTTCTGCTCAAACATCAACTCCTCAGAAGGGCTACCATTGACCAATCTATGTCAATTAGCACTCTTGATCACTCTAGCCCCTTATGCTTTACAGCAGTAAACACTAGTTTACATTACATTATAAAATAACTTACGTATATCTTTAACATGGTCTGTCTCCCTCCCCGATGTGTCTACAATGTAAAAGCCGACTCCTCAGCTTGACACTCAAAATCCTTCCTATGGTCTGACCTGTTTTCTTTCTACCAATCATGTTTCTTCAGATACCCTATGAAATCAAACTTACTCTTCTCCATACGTATTTCTCAATGTTCTTTATCTGTGCTTTTGTTCAAGTAGTTCAAATTGTACCCACGCTATAAGACTTCAGAATAAATGGCACCTTCACTGATATTCCTGGCTGCTACTCCTCTGAACTGCCACAATGCTTGACTTGTACCACGCTAAAGGAATTATTATTCTGCATTTTATTTCATTTAAATTTCCTCTATTAAACAATACGACCTTGGATGCAGGATCTGTACTCGTTTCACTTTTTAGATGTCTGAGTTACACAAAAGAAGAGTGCAAATATCTGTATATTTTCCTTAAATATTAGAAATAGGTATATGTTCTAGTGTTACTATATTGAAGGACAGACAGAAGAATTAAGACTACAATCTCAGGATAAACTAATAAATATCTAATGCAATTTCTTTGCTTTTTTTGTTGTCACTGTTATAAAAATATACCTAATTTGCTTGTTTCCCCAATTTCTTGCTTCTACTTTTAAATAGTTTTTTTCTATACAGTTTCCTAAATTTACTCATCTTTTCTTTCATTGAGGCTCAAATCATAGCTCTGCTCCTTAAAAGCTATGTTGACCTTTCCAAGTTTTAGTTGCCTAATCTATAAAATGGGAGAAAAACATCAACAGGGTTATTGTAGCATTAAACGAGATGATATATGTAAAACCTAATACAACGCCTGACACTTAATAGGCCCTCAATGAATGTTGCCTATTAGGCTACTGTTCTTCTGGTAACAAATCTGACCCATAAGTTTTAAACATGCAGGTTTAAATTAGTAGAATACTAATGAGTAGGGAATTTTAAAGTCATAAAATATTCCTAAACTGTACTTTTGTTAACTGTAAACTCATATAATGCTTTTAAATTGGAGGATAAATTCAGCTTATACTCACGTACCTGTTCTTTTTTTAAATTTAATAAGAATGTTCCCCATGAATGCTGCATATTTGGGTATAGCTAAAAACACAAGGAATGCATAACATGGATTTCAATGTTAATTTCCAGACAAGTATGAACAATCAATTGCTTGGCAGTAGTTTCCTTCAGATCACCGTCATCCAGACTTAACTCCCTATTGAGCAGGAAATTTCTAGTTTAGCATCTATCAGAGTGACAATTACAAAGACAAAACTCACAACAGTAAACCACAAACAGAATACTTTCATTTATTTTTATGAATCCCATCATTGGCTAGGCTGTCAATCTTTCCTAGAACACACATGCACAATCTTCCTCTGATCATCTCTCAACAGGATAGATTCAGAGATCTGATCTTAAAAAATCAAATCCATGAACTAAGATACGTACCGTATACATAATTCTCTAGCTTCTCAGGATTACCTGTAACTACAACACTGCTTTGCCAAATGTGAAACACTCAAGCTATTTTAAATCACAAGGAACCCTGAATCCCCCGCAAGGAATACATATTGTGCAAAGAATTTGTCTTTGATTTTTGGACTAAACATAAATAATCCAGCTCTAAATCCTACATTAAAACTTATCACACTGAATCACAGTAGCTTGGCTTAGTTGAAGAAACACTGTGCCTAGTACTGTGTCACATAAACAGATGGCAGATTGGCACAGAAACACTGTAACTGGAGACAGAAAACCCCATATTGTGCTCCAGCCTTACCAATTCCTCTAAATCAGTCGCCATTTCTCTGAAGGTTAAATTTGTTCAACTAAAAAATGGGGAAAATAATAACTAATTTATTTGTATTCAGAATTTGCTTTTCAAAATTATCCATAATCATATGTATATCTATTCATTACAACAGGCAAACCATTCTAAAGACAAATAAAAATTCAGAAAAATTATTTGGCAAAATGTAAAAATGCACACTGCAATAAGTAAAAATTAATTTCATAAGATCATTTAGATATGAAACAGATTTTAAAAGATCAGAGCGTCAACTGATTTGACAAATGAAAAAACTGTGATGTCTGATGCCAAAATGTTAGTTTTTGTGACCTATGTAAAACAAAGTTCCAGACCAGAACTCAGATCTCCCTGACCTTCATGTGGTGGTTAGTGCTCTTTAGGACTGATGTGACTGTTTGCTAAGTGAAACATTATACTCAAATTTCATTCAAGAAAAGTTTAATGTGCTATTTCTGTTTCTATTTTTGTTCAGTAAAATTTAGATGTTACCAACTACATATGAAGAATTCTGCTAGGCACTAAGGGTAATAAAAAGTAAACTCTAGTTCCAGCTCTAAAAGCACTCTGAATCTAATCACAGAGATAAATATACACACAAATAAGTACCAGACACCATTTTAGCTACAATAATGCAAAGAAACAAATTTTTACTCTAGAAATACACTGGAGGGAATGATTTTACTGTTTGCTAACAGAATGTAATACATTAAGAAAATAATACAACATGGCCAAATGGCATTTATCCTAGAGGTAAAGGATTGGTTCAATTAGGAAATCTATTAGTACATACCGTATTCATAAATCTAAGGCAGGTAGGAAACATACAATTTTCTCCATACCACTAAGATGGAGTGTATGTGACAAAATTCAACACCCATTCGAAACCCAACACTCAAAGAAACAAGAATTAGGACGTAATTTCTCAACATGATAAAATATATACATTTTAGTCCTACAACCATTAAATTATTTAATAAAGAAATAACAGAGGCATTTCCACTAAGATCAGGAAAAAGGCAAAGATGCCCACCATTTCTACCACTATTCTTGTTTTTTGAGACGGTGTCTCGCTCTGTCGCCCAGGCTGGAGTGCAGTGGCGCGATCTTGGCTCACTGTAACCTCCGCCTCCCGGGTTCAAGCGATTCTCCTGCCTCAGCACCTGCCCCAACCACCCAGAGTAGCTGGAATTACAGGTGCCTGCCACAATGCCCAGCTAATTTTTTGTAGAGACAGAGTTTCGCCATGTTGGCCAGGCTGGTCTTGAACTCCTGACTTCAGGTGATCCACCCGCCTCAGCCTCCCAAAGTGCTAGGATTACAGGCATGAGCCACCGCGCCCGGCCATTTCTACTATTATTCAACATCATACCAGCGGTATTAGCCAAATCAACTAGTTAAGAAAAATCAATCAGAGGAATAATAGGTAAGGAGAAAGTAAAACTATCTCTATTTGCAGATGATATAATGGTAGCCTAAAAACCCTTGAAGAATCAATAATAAAATTAACTCAAAAATAAAATTCAATGAAGTAGCAAGATAATTAACATACAAAAATGTTCTCCTATACAAAAACAATAATCAGGGAAAATAATGGCAGAGAAAATCCCATTTATAATAGCAATAAAAAGACTAAATAGTTAGGAATAAACTAAACAATGTGTAAAAACTACACAAGGAAAATTTCAGCACCACTGAAAGACACTGAAGAACACTTGAGCAAAGAGAAAGATATCCCCATTCTAAGACAGGATGACAACATTATAAAGATGTCATTTCTCCCTTACTTTATAAATTCGATACAATACAATGAAAATACTAACAAGCTATTTTGTAAAGTTTGGCAAGTTGATATTCAAGTTGTGTGGAAAATCAAACACGCAAGAATAGGTAGGAAATCATTGAAAAAGGAAAACCACAAGGAGACCACCTCTATCAAACACTACAACACCAAAAAACATCTATAATTAAAGCAGTGTGGGACTAGCACATAAATAGGCCAGTGGAATTTAAAAAGTCTAGAATTAGACCCAAATATACCCAGAAATTTAGTAAATAACAAAGGTGGCATCTCAAATCACTAAAGTACAGATGGACTTTTCAATAAATGGTGCCAGGAAAACTAGGTATCCATCTGGAAAATATAAAATTCGATCTCTATCTCACATCATATTCCAGAATAAACTCCAAATGGATTAGGAATCTAGATATAAAATATGAAACCAGAGAAAGTACTAGAAAAAAATGGATGAATTCTGCTCAAAGTTGGTATAGGGAAAGGAGAATCCAGAAACAATAAAAGAAAATATTGACTACATAAAATTTTTTAATTGGACAACACACATAGTACATGCAAAGCAAACTAAGATGAAATATTCGCAACATACACCATAAAAGGCTAATATATAAAGAATTCTTAAAAACAAAGGTAAAGGAGAGCATTTTTGCACCCCAAGGGCTGCTTCTGGGTGCTCTGCAGCCGTCACTGTGCCACAGAATGAATATATTGAATTACACCATAAATGCTATACCATTTGGATTACCATGAGAGAAAGAGAAAGAAGGAAAGTCGAGAAGCTCAAGAATGTTCAAAGAAGGCAAAGAAAATGATTGGTCTGAAGGCTAAGCTTAATCATAAACAGCGCCATGCTGAGAAAATACAAATAAAAAAGACCATCAAGATGCATGAAAAGAGAAACACCAAACAAAAGAATGATGAAAAGATTCCACAGGGAGCAGTACCTGCCTATCAGCAGGACAGAGAGACAATCTCGAGCTAAAGTACTTTCCAATATGATTAAACAGAAACGAAAAGAGAATGAGGGAAAATGGGAAGTCCCTCTGCCTAAAGTATGTGCCCAGGGAGAAACAGAAGCATTAAGTTATTCAAACAGGAAAGAGAAAGAAGAAGGCATGGAAGAGGATGGTTACTGAAGTCTGCTTTGCTAGAGATGTCTTTACAAGAAAACCACCTAAATATGAAAGATTCATCAGGCCAATGGGCTTGCATTTCAAGAAAGTCCATGTAACACAACCTGAACTGAAAGCCACCTTTTGCCTACCAATACTTGGTGTAAAGAAGAATCCGTCATTCCCGCTGTATACAACTTTGGGTGTTATTACTAAAGACTGTCACTGAGGTAAATGTGAGTGAAGTGGGCCTTGTGACACAGGGAGGCAAAGTTATTTGGGGAAATATGCCCAGGTTATCAACAATCCTGAAAATGATGGATGCATAAATGCAGTCTTACTGGTTTGACAGCAATTTTATATATAATTATTGAGCACTACACACCAACTGAAAAAACTACCATTACTGTAATGTTTCTGAGTACTACCAAACAGCTATACCTGTCTGCAATCATCAAGAGATTATTAACTTGTAAACATTAAAATGGGGCGGAAAAAAACAAAACAAAGGGAAAAAGGACCAAAAATCAGATACAGGAAAAAAGACAGTCAATTCACCAAAAAAAAAAAAAAAAAAAAAAAAAAAAAAAATTACAAGGGCCCTCAAGTAACAATCGCTCAAATTCACTCAAAATTAGAGAAATGCCAATTAAAACAACACTGAAATACCATTTCTCATCTATTAGACTCGCAAAAATTTTAAAATATGACAAAACATTCCATTAGTGAGGATGTAAGGGAAACAGGCACTTACATGCATTGCTGATGGGAATACAAATTGGTACAACCATTCTAGAGAGAGTGTTGGTAATGTGTAACAAAATGACATATACACTTAACTTTGGCCCCAGCAATTCCACTTCAAGGAATCCACCCTGGGAATATACCTCCAAATATACAAAGACAAATACACACTCTAGCATTCTTTGTAATTGTAAAATATTGGAAACTTGGATGTGCCATATTCAATTACCTTTCTATGGTAGGAATATGGCACATAGGAAAGTGACTGAATAAACTATGGTACATCCAAGTTATGCAACTGTGGGGGGAAATAAAGAATGAGGAAAATCTCTATAATATGAAGTGATTTCCAGGACACAGTGTTAACTGAAAAAAGCAAAGTCTGAAAAAAGCAAAAAAATCCCTATGGTATGTTATGTTCATGTAAGAATGAAGGGGGATATAAGAAAATACACATTTCTACTGAAAAAGCAAAAACAAACAAACAAACAAACAAACAAACAAAAACACCGGAAGGATAAACCAGAAACTAAAGAGATAGGTTACCTACCCTGGGCAGGTGAGAAAGGGGTGGAAAGAAGAGTGAAAGGGCTTGGGAACAGAGTAGCAAGGCTAAGGATGGAGTGACACTTCTCTGGATACACGATATATTTTGTAATAATTCTGACTCTCAGAACCATAGTAATTTCCACATGCTGACATGGTGTCAGAAAATAAAGAAAACTTCAAAAACAGATGGGGGTTTGTTGAAAGAACACAGGAGCCAACCTGAAGGAGCCCATAACAGCCAATGCTGGAACGAATACAGCAACAAAATAAATGATAGTACTAGATCAAAAACAAGGAGTAAAATATTAATGAGTCCATATTGATATAAACAATCTGATAAGTAAATGGAGGAAAAGCGACAACTCTTCTTCACAATAGACGATAAGTAAATTAACATAGGAAGCAAAGTGGGAAACAATCAACATCAGGCAAATATCACAAATACTGCAGACAAGATCCACTTGAGAGATGCTAAAATTAGAGAGCAATAGTTTGAGGAGAAACAGGATTTACACAGTCTCCACGTAGCTCCAACAAGATACTTACCAACTAAAAAGGGAAAGATAGTAACTTCACAGTGTAAAAACAACACACTCAACCAAGTGATCAAGTAATCATAAGTAGTAAGACATATATCATAAACCCCTCAATACAATGCACTAAGAAAGACACAACATCATTTTTGTGGTATTCTTGCCAAAAATGCATAGGCTCAGTCCAATCATGAGAAAACATCAGACAAACCTAAACTGCGAGATATTCTAAAAATAACTGATTAGTATTCTTCAAAAGTGTCATAGTCATAAAAGACAAGCAAAATGTTAGAAACTTTAAAAGAGACTACGGAGAAATTGCTAAATTCAATGTGAGTTCCTATATAGGACCCTGGGACTGAAAACAGACAGTAGTTGAAAATTTGGTTTCATTCTAATAAGAGCTATAGTTTAATCAATAATATTATATCAATGTTCATTTCCTACTTGTAATAATTATATTATGGTTATGTAAGATGTTAGCATTAGGGGAAATGGGGTGAGGAATGTAAGGGAACTCTACTATTTTTGCAGCTCTTCCGCAAGTCTAAAATTAGATGAAAAGTTTTTTAAAAACAGTAAGAAATTCTGAACAAAGGTAGAGGAATTACCCTTTAAATAAAAGAAGAAAATCTCTTCCAGTGAGGCCAGAATAAAGGAAGAAGGAACCTGTAGAGATAGTGAAGAGTAACATGGAAAAATGGAAGGTTCAGGCAGTTCGTTTTTGCTGTCTTACTTTCTTGTGAAATAGGAGTTATCATTTGACCGCCTGTATAAAACAGCACCAATGAGGAAAATATAGTAGGTCCCCCACCTTATCCATGTTTTAGCTTCCCACAGTTTATCAGCTGTCAACCATGGTCTGAAAATAAACCTCTCTTCTTTATAAATTACTCCGCCTCAGATATTCCTTTATAGCAACTCAAACAGACTAAGAAAATATGTTGTTATAATTGTTCTATTTTATTATTACTGTTGTTAATCTCTTATTGTGTCTAATTTACAAATTAAACTTTATCATAGGTATGTATGTATAGGAGAAAACTTAGTACATATGGAGTTTGGGACTATCCACAGTTTCAGGTATGTGGGTCTTGGAACATCTCCCCCAAGACTATGGGAAGACCACTGTACATCATTATCATTCAGCTCTGGAAAAGACCAAATAACTCAAGGCAGATAGAGAAACATAAATCAAATTTCTGAGAATTACAGAGATAGGTACTAAATATTATATATATATTATATATATATATATCATTTTTTTTTTTTTGAGACGGAGTTTCGCTCTTGTTGCCCAGGCTGGAGTACGATGGTGCTATCTCGGCTCATTCTTTAAGTGCTCTGATCCACTTCATATTTATTTCTTAAAGGTCTTCTTGTTTATAACTTTGATAACAAAATACATGGGAGTAACAAGACTTAAGAAGTTAATGACCTATATAATTTATGCTGTTTAGGTTATACATTTTCTAATTTTTGTATGAATTCAGTTATCTTTGAAAGCTGTCTTTAAAACAGAGTGATAAATTACTATTACAAAACCACCACTGATGTTCAGCCCTCACAAACCAGTTATATTGGAGGCCAAAATGTCATTAAGTCATCTCTGGGGGTTCTACTGTAAATCAGCCAGAGGTATTTGCTAACAAAAGAGTGTAAGAACCAAAGACCTACAAAGTGAATTATTAATTAGAATTTGTCACCTCAAGTTTAAAATCCATCCAACTCTTTGTAGCTGCTTTGATTTTACTATAAAAATCACATTTTTATATATACATACTGAATAGACCAAATCTATACAGAGGAAAACCTTGTAAGATCATTTCCCAAATTTTAGTGAGGGAGAGTTTTATACTCTACCACTCTTAAATGCATTTAAGGTCTTCTTAGCACCCAGGAAAGAGAGGGCAGGAGGTATTAGATTTGCCAGGATCCCTAAAACCCCTTCAGAGTCTCCATGACAACACTGAGTTTAAAGATTCAGAAGTCTAATGATAAAGGATCTGTGGCAGGAGTGTTGTTGAACATAAATCATAATGGGAGCTTTTCAAATTCAGGTACTCATATAACAGGTGGTCTGAAGTGGTATGCCCAAGACACAGGAGGGCAGATACAACCATAGCAGACAAGATAAACATGGCACATCATACTGGAATATGAATTTACATTATTTTTCACTAAATATAGAATCTAAAGCAAAATTCACTTGAATAAAACAACACACATAAGTCTTCAAAGAAATTTACTGAATTTTTATGATAAAATATGAGTCTTCAAAGAAATGTCTAAAGGGTTATTACTCTTTCTAAAGGTACTTTAGTAAAAAAAAGTTTGAAAAGTACTATAAATAATGATATACAGCATCAAGAACTTCTGACTGGTGAGTCAAGGACAATAAAAGGAGGTAAATAGAAAACACTGAGAGCAAAAAGTAGCAAAACTTGGGCTTGTTTTAAAGTGATTTTGCTTAGTTTCTTTAGACTTGATATTCCAGAGATCAGTTATTATTCTAAAGATTTTTTTAAGTGGCTCTATTTCTTTCACTTTTGATGAAATCTACTGGAATATGCCCATCTTTTCTCATTCATGGATAAACAGGAACAGAATGGTAAGATCAGTTTTTTCTTTACCATTAGAATATATTTATTTTGCAAGTTATTTTTAATGCTTCAGCCACAATTTCCACATATTTTTATATTACCACAACTTTTAAAAATACTTTTTAAACATCAGATACAGAATTTGTTCGAGGTTAAAAAGGAAAAACATATTCTTTCTGTTGAATAATATCACATTATATTTAACTTAAAGACTATTAACCTTTTGAATAGCAAGAATTGAAGCAGCTGGTGGTCATACTTATTTGTAGGTCCCAAAATAGCCCTGAGGTCTGAAGAGGAAAATATCTTTTATAAACTATAACAAAATTCTCACCTCAAAATAAAATACTAAGAAATTTGCAAAATTATATCTGTATTTACGTCTTTACAAAATCCAGAAACCTACTGGATTTTTAGAAATTACAATGAAAATAGGTTTATATTCAGAAAACAGAGCTTATACCAAGATGACATTGCTTAAAACCTGGAAAAGACTTGTTTTGATTTCGTAACTGAATATTAATTTTCAAGTTGAACTGACTTGTTTACAATAAAAAATTGAGTTACCATACATGACTCCATTTTAAAACTATATGTTCAGAGTTGAAAATATCCAAAATATAGAAGCTTTTCAGTCAAAACAATTTAAAATGATTTTGTTTTCTGATGACAGTTCTCCTAACAAGAAGAAAAACGAATCATTTTCCTTACTGTCCAATGCAAAAGAAATGGAAATGGCTTACCACACAATATGTTCAAAGTATATTACATTTATTTTTATAAATAGAATAACCAAAGAAGATAATACAGAATAACTTACATTATTCTTCTGTCTTTATATTAACAACTATCTGGTATCTGTAAAAGCTATTTTGCTAAATACCTACAAGTTCTTTTACATATTGATAAATTAAGTTCAGGTTGCTTATTAAGATAAACACATCGGGCCAGGCATGGTGGCTCAAGCCTGTAATCCCAGCACTTTGGGAGGCCAAGGCCAGTGGATCACTTAAGCCCAGGAGTTCAAGATCAGCCTGGGCAACCTGGCAAAACCTCGTCTCTATAAAAAAAAAAATACAAAAATGAGCCAGGCATGGTGGCACGCACCTGGGGTCCCAGTGACTCAGGAAGCTGAGGTAGGAGGATCGCTTAACCTGGGAGGCAGAGGTTGCAGTAAGCCGAGACTGTGACACTACACTCCAGCCTGGGCAACAGATTGAGATTCTGCCTCAAAAAAAAAAAAAAAAAAAAAAAGATAAACACATCAGTCTAGATAATTCAAAAATAGAAAGCCCTGACAAAATAGTTACTTCTGAATTATATGCATAATAAGAAACAATTTAAAAGTTAACCTAACAGATTTTCAACTATGCCTATCTCTACCACCATAACCAACTCTTAGGTAACAAAACTGACTGTCTGCAGAAGTCTTTTTAAATTTCCCCACTCAGACTGTGTTACAGAGAAACCAATGAGAAGTAAAATGATAAGACTCTCAAAACTAAATTACTCTCTGAAAAGAAAACTAGCTGTAAATTAACTCTAAATTATTCAGTATGCTGTGGCCTCATTCTTCATAGATGGCTCAGTTCCAGAACATTAGCAGTGAAGCCAACCAAGAACCAAGAGAGGTGGTCATCTCTGTTGTTGTAATTGATTTCATTCAAAGATCAAACAGGTTACCTGTTATTTGGTATTATCTGAACTGCTTTTGTCCCTTAGCAATGGATAATTGGAGAGTTACTTTTTGTTACTAAATTCCCAAAACCATGTAAAATAAACCCCTTCAATATTCACAGGTAATTTTTTTAATGAAAAATGCTCACAGGAAATAAACTGAAAATATAGCTTAACATATATATAGTTACATATAGAAATATTTATAGATATGTGTATATACATGAGTTAGTGTACACACATATATTTCCTTACTCTGTCCACTGGGAGGGCCTAGAAGCAATGACATTCCAACAGCAATGAGCAAACATAGTGCCCAGATATTGGTTTCTAATACTATTCTCCAATAGAAGGAATCAGTGCTCCTTGGAGAAAAGGCTGATTCTAGGCCTGTGGTAGGTAATACACAAGGTGAGCCTAGAGCATTTTGTAATACCAGAAAGTTAAAAGTGCTCAAAAACAAACAAACAAACAAAACAAGAACAAAAGTCTCACAATGACAGGAGTATGTCAAAGGAATACAGGAACCAACTAAAAGAGCTCCCAGTGGCCACAGCTGAAACAATTTGAGCAACAAAGTAATAAAGTACTACTGGATTTACCCTTAAGTATAAAATAAATATCCATGAGTCAGACTGATATAAATAAACGACTGAAAGGGGAGAATAGACAAAAAACTCTTATAGAAGATTTTTCAAAAATTTATGTAGACACTTCACCCTTAAAGAGGTAAAGCATAATTCCCCAATTCCCAATTGTGTGCTTCACAGAGAGACTTTCTTCTAAAAAGTACAATATACAAAAGGAGGGGGAAAACAGAGTAACTTTACAGTGGACAAAACTGATGAACATTATCTCAAGCCAAGTAGTCAAGGTTAATATCAATGGTACTGTCATATTAATAGTTTGTATTCTTGGCCAGGTACAGTGGCTCACGCCTGTAATCCCAACACTTTGGGAGGCTGAGGTGTGTGGATCACCTGAGGTCAGGAGTTCAAGACCAGCCTGGCCAACATGGTGAAACCTCTCTCTACTAAAAATACAAAAATTAGCCGGGCATGGTGGCATGTACCTGTAGACCCAGCTACTTGGGAGGCTGAGACAGGAAAATCGCTTGAACCCAGGAGGTGGAGGTTGCAGTGAGCCGAGATTGCGTTACTGCACTCCAGCCTGGGCAACAGAGTGAGACTCTACCTCAAAAAAAAAAAAAAAAAAAAAAAAAAAAGTCTGTATTCTTGATATGATGTGATGGGAATGGCACTTTACTTCTGTGATCTTCCTCCTAGAAACATATCACCCAGTCTAATGAGAAAAACAGCAGACAAGTCCCAACTGAGGGACAGTCTACAAAATACCTGACCAGGCAGTAATCTTCAAAACTATCAACTTGTCATCAAAAACAAGGAAATCTGAGAAACTGTCAAAATGAAAGGATACATGACCACTAAAGGTAATATGCTATCCTAGATGGGATCCTTGAACAGAAAAAAAAAAAAAAAAAAAAGACATTGGGGAAAAGTGAGGTAATCTGAATAAAATATGGACTTTAATAATTACGTGCCAATATTGGTTAATTGTGACAAATGTAC
The DNA here is from genome assembly GCF_000001405.40 of Homo sapiens. Classification (NCBI taxonomy): domain Eukaryota; kingdom Metazoa; phylum Chordata; class Mammalia; order Primates; family Hominidae; genus Homo; species Homo sapiens. The sequence goes on along the minus strand of NC_000004.12, from coordinate 152,788,716 downwards.
TATGCTAATGTAGTATGTTTTTGTTTTTGTTTTTTTGAGATGGAGTCTCGCTCTGTCATCCAGGATGGAGTACCGTGGCATAATCTCTGCTCACTGCAACCTCCGCCTCCTGGGCTCAAGTAATCCTCCCACCTCAGCCTCCCAAGTAGCTGAGATCACAGATGGGCACCACCATGCCCAGCTAATTTTTTGTATTTTTGGTAGAGATGGGGTTTCACCATGTTGCCCAGGCTGGTCTTGAACTCCTGAGCTGAAGCAATCCACCTGCCTTGACCTCCCAAAGTGCTAGGATTACTGGCATGAGCCACTGTGCACAGCCTATCTTATAATAGGGGAAAGTGGGTATGGGAAGCTCTATTCTATCTTCACAGTAATTCTGTAAAACTAAAACCATCCAAAAATAAAAGGGTCTATTACAAAATAGTGTAAGAATACTGTGCTATATTGCTATATTTTATATAGCTACTAATAACACATTTTTTGTTTTGAGACGGAGTCTTGCTGTCGCCCAGGCTGGAGTGCAGAGGCACGATCTCGGCTCACTGCAACCTCTGCCTCCCAGGTTCAAACGATCTTCCACCTCAACCTCCCAAGTAGCTGGAATTACAGGTGCAGGTCACCACGCCCAGCTAATCTGTATATGTATATTTTTTAGTAGAGACAGGGTTTCACCATGTTGGCCAGGCTGGTCTTGAACTCCCAACCTCAAGTGATCCACCCACCTCGGCCACCCAAAGTGCTGGGATTACAGGCGTGAGCCACTGTGCCCGGCCTAATAATTTATTTCCATACACTTGAAAGAAATAGTCAAACTGAAAATTTAATTACAGGTTGATTATCCCTTTTCCAAAATGTTTGAGACTAGAAATGTTTTGGATTTCAGATTTTTTTGGCATTTGGAATATTTCCATATGCATAATGAGGTATCTTCAGGAAGGGACCCAAGTGTAAACACAAAATTCATTTACATTTCATATACACCTTATACACATAGCTTGAAGGTAATTTTATATAATACTTTTAATAATTTTTTGCATGAAACAAAGTTTGTATACACTGTACCATCCAAAAGCAAAGGTGTCACTATCTCAGCCACTCATGTGGACAGTCTGTGGTTGTTTGACATCACTATCATTCCCGTCTCTGAATTTATATGCTACGTATAACCAATCATTTCTTACACATACACATGGCATTGTATTGCCCTTTGCGGGCATGCTTGCGTAGGTGCATCTGGCTGTGTGAGGAAAAGATATATGGCAGCTGAAGGGGGCTAGGCAGGTCTTTTTTCTCTTGGAGAAACTGTTGTACACCTGCATTCTGACTTTGATTCATCACATAAAGTTGGGTGTAGAATTATGTACTTGTAGCATCATGTTGGGCTCAAAAAAGTTTTGAATTTTGCAGCATTTTGGATTTCAAGTTTTTGGATTAGGAATGTTCAAACTGTACTACCATTTTAACACTATTTTTATAAAAATTCATATTCAAATTCTTGTATTACAAAACTCGATGAACTGAAATCCTTAATACCATTAACTTGGAAATTTAATGAGTCAAATTTAGGTGTCAGGTACTGAGCTAGGTTCTAGGGATTCAAAAATGAGCCAAAAAAGAAAACAAGATATGGACCTTACCTTCATGAAGTTTATAGGCCACTGAACAGAAAGAAAATCTTACAGTCACATGAATAAATGTAAATTGCAAACTGCGGGAAATGTATGATGCTATTACCTTAATGTGGGAAGTGAGCATATTCTCTAAGGATGCAAAACTTCAGCTGAGGTGTGAAGGATGACTAGGAACTAACAAGTGAAATGAAATGAAAGTAAAGAAAGAATGGTCCAGACAGAGAGAAAAGCATGTACAAAAGCCTTGCAAAAATGGCAGGGAGCAAGGTGCATACAAAGGACTAAAGAAGGCCAGCATGGTTGAACTGGAGAGTTATGCAGAACATGGTACAAGATGAGTCTGGAGAGCTAAAGGCTGTTAAGCAGTTTTATTTTGATCCTAGAAGCAATGGAAAGCCATAAAAGCACTGGGGGAGGAAGAAGGAGAGTGATAATCCAATGTGTGTTTCAAAATAAATCACTGTGCCTTCAAGATGGGTAATGAATTAGAGAGGACAGATAAGAATGGAGGCTATTGTAAAAGTTTCAGGCAAGATGAAGTGGCAGTAGTGGAAACAGGAAGAAATAGAAAAATTCAAGAGTCATGTAGAAAGTAAGACTTTAAAAACTTGTTCAATCATTGGATCTATCAGGGAGAGGGAATTAAGGATCACTTCTAGTTTTCTGGATTTTACAATGAAAAGATAATTGTGTCATTCACTGAAAAAAGGAACAAAGAAAGAACCAACGTTGTGCAGTTTTGTAGGGAGGGAAGGGGAAATCAGTTTCATTTTAGACATACTGGATTTGAGATACCTTTAAGATATTCAAGAAAGGATGTCAACAAGACAGCAAGACATACAGATCTACAGCTCAAAGCAGACAGAAAACACTCATGCCCTTAATGAAGCTGACATCTTTATCCTAGAAAAGCAGCTAACTATAATCCCCAAATATCCAAGAAAAATGTTAGACTTAGACTTTGACCATCTGGATTTAGTTAAAACAAAAAGCTGAGAGAGAACATGGCAATAACATTTCATCAGCTAAAACAAAAACTGCTAGGCACCATGGGTAGCAGATTTTTAAACTCGTGGTTCAACAATATAGGAATTATGTATCACATCATATCATGTCGCATTTTAAAGTTTTATCAGGGCTGGCCAATGTTGTTGGAAATGTTCTAAATTTGCACTGTCCAATAAAGTAGCCACCAGCCACATATGATACTGACACTGAAATGTGGCTGGTACAATGAGGAACTGAATCTTTTATTGTATTTAATTTTAACTAACTTAAATAGCTACATGTGGCTAGCATCCCTGGCATTAGACAGTGCAGGTTTACAGCTTTCTCATATATTTCATCTGATTCCCCAATACCTACTTTTCAAATTAACTGGGAGAGAGGTGTGGTGGGTGGAGAGATTAGAGGAATAGAAAAAACATCCTTTCCATTTTCTGCTTATTACTTGAATCTTTATTTCAAGAATTTATAATACTTATGCTGGATGCAGTGGTTCATGCCTGTTATCCCAGCACTTTGGGAGGCCAAGGCGGGAAGATCGCTTGAGCCCAGGAGTTCAAGACCACCCTGGGCAATATATAGCACTGAAACAAAACAGATAAGGTCCTGGCCATTTTAGAGATTACAGATCACGGGCTTAAACCCAGGGGCTCTTTCCACTGAGGGTATAAATTCCTGATCCATCCCTTTTTAGGTATGTGACCCTGGACAAAGCACTTTACCTAAATCTCAATTTCTTTATTTCTAATGTGGTGATGTTATCTGCTCTACCTATTTGGTATGGCTGGAGTAAAAATAAAATGAGGATGTATGTGAAAGTGCTTTGTAAATTATTACATGCTAAACAAACAGAAGGTATTAAACAGAGTAACATATTCCTTTTCTCTAGGGCAAAGATTTCCAAACAGTGTGCCAAGAATGGATTACAGATGTGCTGAAATTGTGACCCATTCCCCCACTCCACAGCTTCCAAGGAACCAAGGAGGGCCTGGCTCTAGTCTGCCATACAATTATAATCATTTTTTATGTGTGCCATGATGAGTATCTCAGGCTAGCAGAAACTGGAGTTGGCGAACTGACTCCCTCCTCTGGAAGATTTAGGGCTTACCACTAACTCTGCTGCTTTTATGATCCTGTTCCAAAGGCAGTATGTCACTGTTCCCCAGGGACCAATGAGGCTCAAGCTTCAACATCAAGGAGCTGCTAGTCCAATGCTATCACAGATATACAAAAATAAAATATAAATTCTTATCTTAGGTGAGAACATGGTAAAGACACTGCCATATTTTCACAAAAGATTTGAGCAATTGCCTGTTTTGCAACTACCTTCAGATCCCCAAATCTTTGTCTTTCAAGAGAGGATCTGATTTTTTCCAAATACCCAAAGTTATTCAGATTCTGGTGACTGAGGTCACGAAGTGACGAAGCCAGGCAAGAACTTCATTTTTGTATGTCTCAATCTGAACCGACAGTCATACTAGAAGAAGATTTCAAAGCAGATTGCCTACTCTGAAAAACAGCATTCACTTAAATAAGTATGTTCATTAAGGGAAAAAAGTGTATTTCATAAAGAGACTTTATATTCCTTTTTCAGGAACAACTAAAGGTTTGAGCAACACCTGCCTATGCCCATCCTAAGACAAAGGCTTAGAAGGAATGGAGGAGAATGGAATGAGAGATGGGAGAAAGAGGAGAATAGGAATAAAGGAAAAAGAAAAAGAAAATAAATACTTTTGTCTCATAAAGAATATCTGTTAATCTGCAAGAGCCATTCGGCAGCTTCCATGACTGCCAAAAGCTACTAAAGATCAAGGAAAACAAAATTATTTTCAGGCCAATAGTCTTTTTCATACATCCAGAAGTAGTGCTACATATCTGACTTTTAGATTGTCATGATCCTAAGTCATCAACTTCCATATTAAGTGGAACAACTCACTTTCCATTCTGTACAAATATTTTAGTTTTTCATCCATAACCATATTAAAGTTTCCTGTTTAATTTACTCCTTCTTCCATTCTGAATTTATTCTTTCCATCCCAAATGTATTATTCTAAAATTTATTTATACTTCCAGACTCTTACAATGCCCAGTTTATTACTTATAATCTTCATTTTCACATTTTCCCCTCCTCATATACACACACACCATCTGCTTATTATTTGAATCTTCATTTCAAGAATTTATAATACTTACAATTCTTTATTTCAAGTAGGTGTGTGTGTTCTAACACACACACACACACACACCAGAGACTTATATCCATCCCCATAGGAAACCCCTACCAACTGCCTCCACCAAATTCACTTTTTTGTCAAACTTCTCAGTATGATATTCAACCAGATGTTCATCCACTGAAGATTAAGAAAGGAAACAACCTTTTCTCAACACCTGATAGAAAGTCAGGTGATATATCTCCAACTCATTTCAAAAAGGACATAATGGACGCATGGTAGAAGTTGTCTACAGTAGTAGTCTAGAGTCAGACAACGTAGGTGGAGCCATGCACTGGCTCCACCAGCGCAATTCTGAGCAGACTACTTTAGCTTCAGTTAATCATTCAGCTTTATTTTCTTCACCTACAGAAATGAGGACTTTAGCCACTTTATAAGGTTATCATTTGAGATAATAATGTAAAGCACTTAGCTTAATGCACATGGTAAGCAAATAAATGTAACTGTTACAGTGTTAGATATAAAATATCTTCCGAATTTGTCATTACCTTAAAAGGAAACTAATTTAGCATAAGCTAGTCTGTTGTTGATGTTGTTTTTGAGATGGAGTCTCACTCTGTTGGCCAGGCTGGAGTGAAGTGGTGGGATCTTGGCTTACTGCAGCCTCCGCCTCCTGGGTTCAAGCGATTCTCCTGCCTCAGCCCCTCCCAAGTAGCTGGGACTACAGGCATGCAACACACACCCGGCTAATTTTTTTATTTTTAGGAGAGATGGGGTTTCACCATGTTGGCCAGGTTTTGAACTCCTGACATCAAGTGATCCACCCGCCACAGCCTCCCAAAGTGTTGGGATTACAGGTGTGAGGCACCGTGCCCAGCCTAGCATACGCTATTCTCTATAAACTTATGTTGACTGCTCCCCCAAGTGAGGTTGCTAGACAGAGGAAAACTTATTCTGTGAGCAGAAGAAACTGGATACTCATGATAGACTATGATGAGCTGTATAGGTCTCTTCAAGTTAACATTCTAAAAAAAAAAGTATCAGACCTTTAGAACTGCAACCCTCAATCAACAAATAATTCACAACCAAATCAGTAAGTTCAAATATGTACTCTAAAACTTACATTAAGCTTGGAAGGATACTAACGTATTCACAAGAGAGAAACAATCATTAAAATATCTCATACAGAATGGAGGGAAAGGGGATGTCAAGATAAGCAACAACATTCCAAAGGACCACACCACTGAAACATCTTGTTTGTTTTTCATAGCAAAGCCAAATCAAATCCTAAGGTACATGCCTCAAGCAAAAAAAATTAAGAAAATGAAAGCAAAATACAACTAGAATTTAAATTTTTTACTCTGAACTGTGCCTAGTTGGTTGGTGATATTTAATACATATTAAAGATAGGCACATCAGTTTGTAAATCCACTGGATCTCCAGAGCATGGACCACAAACAGCTATCCCTAAGAAGAAACCTCAAAACCACAAATCAGGAAATAAAGTGGGCAGCCTCATTTCCTTCTGTAAGTCTAGGAAGGAATTTAGAAACACTAATGTTTTAAAGGAGAGATTTCAATATCAAACTAGAAGAATCCCTGCATTCTCCTTTCCTTGGTCCCAAAGCAAACAATTTACAGTTTGGGAAAACACACACACACACACACACACACACACACACACACCCCTACCTGTTTTCACTAACTTCAACAAGACACTGCCTAAGTGGTGGTTTTAATCTATCAAGAAGCTATATATCTCCTTTGCACAGTTTGGGAAAGCACACACACATACACACCTGTTTTCACTAACTTCAACAAGATACTGCCTAAGTGGAAAACACACACACACATACACACACAAAACCTGTTTTCACTAACTTCAACAAGACACTGCCTAAGTGGTGGTTTTAATCTATCAAGAGGCTGTATATCTCCTTTGAGAATTTGATAAAAACAATGGACACTTTCCCCAGGGGGGAAAAAAATTCACTCAAACAAAACTGCATATAATTTCAGGGGTGGGAATGAGGAAGACCCCTGAAAGTTGTTGACCCTTAGGCCATGAACCCCAAGTCATCATCCAGGATTAAGGCAAATCATAATCCAAGGAAAACCAGTTTATCAATTTGGAAAGAAACTAAAGTAACTGAGGCAGGGATTTAATCCACAAAATACATTAGAAATCTTTTCTCTTTTCTCAGATAAAAGTGTGTTAGACTTGGTAGTTGGGAGAAGACGTGGGTCATGCTAAGCAAGGAAAACAAAACAAAAAACACCACAGGACAAACGAAAGAAAAGCAGAATTAAGGCAGCAGTAAAATATAGTAATCTGTAGCCGCTCTGAGAGAACAGCAATGAAATGGCCAATTCGGCCGGGCGCGGTGGCTCACGCCTGTAATCCCAACACTTTGGGAGGCCGAGGAGGGAGGATCATTTGAGGTCAGGAGTTTGAGACCAGCCTGGCCAACACGGTGAAACCCCGTCTCTACTAAAAATACAAAAATTAGCTAGGCGGTAGTGGCGCCTACCTGTAAACCCAGCTACTCAGAAGGCTGAGACAGGAGAAAAGCTTGAGCCTGGGAGGTGGACGTTGCGGTGAGCCGAGATCGTGCCAATGCACTCCAGCCTGGGCGACAGAGTGAGACTCTGTCTCAAAAAAAAAAAAAAAAAAAGAAAAAAGAAAAGGCCAATTCCTGAAGCCTTAACAGACGGCTGACTTAAGGTAACCATTTCTGGTGCACATTTCTATGCCAATTAAGTTAATTAAATGGCAAACATGAACACACCCTTACAGGTGAAAGTATGAAAGCAAAAGTTTATGCGAAGTTCTGGATCTCTTCCGGCTTTTCCTTATCAAATAATAATGTAGTTAGATGAATTTTATACTTTAGGAGAAAACAGGGTAGGGGCGGGGGACAGAAATCCTAAGAGTGGCCAAAGGATCTGCAGGAAGTATAAAGTGTAAACTTTTTGAAATCAAAGGGCTCAAGAGGAAGGTAAGAACAAAACAAAGGAAGTAATAACAAAATAAAGTAAAAGGGAAAAACGTCTAGCATCTAAAAACTGTTTTTAAAAAATTATTTCCTTTTCCTAGACACGTAAACAGTAGTAACTTGGCAAACAGGAACGGAGCAGAAGACAATCGAACAACTCCCTTTCCAAAACTCCAGCATTCCTTAGTCAGGCTTGGGACATTTCACAGGCAAGACTCCTCTCTGCACCACTGCCAGATGAATCTCTCAGAGGGACTGTCACTATCTCCCTTCCTCCCACTGCGGGAGAGAGGAAGCTGGGGATGCAGGGAGAAGAGGGGAGAAATGAGGGTTGGACAGCAAGCCTGAAGGTGGCCCACTCCGACACTTTGTCAAGAAAGGTCCGGATTCTGGATCCTGCAACTCCTTTTCCCACCCAATGTATGCAAAGCCAAGAGAGTGCCTCCCTGCAAGGGCCGGTCCTACACCTTCACTCGACTGTTTCGGGGGCACACTCAGAGGGACAGAAGGAATGAAGGACAGAAGAAACCAAAGGCATAACACTTGGGCAGATACGGCACAGACTAAGGAGAGGCGTGCCCTGTGAAAGTTCGGAACGGTGAACCCGTAGGCAACGTGCCCGCCCCACCAGCCACCTCAAACCATCTTTCCCCCGCCTTTTCCCAGGCGAGCCAGCTCCGCCCTCACCTTTCTTAGGGTAACTCGGTAGCTTCTAAGTCGAGGCTTATCCTTTCCGCCGCTCTCTGGAATCGCCTCAACCCTGGCAAAAACTGAGCGGAAACGCGACCCGGACCTTTTCCTTCTTCCCCTTCCCCCACGCACCTCGGCTGCTCGGGGGCGGGGAGCAACTGCAGCTGTCACAAATTCACACTGACCAACCGCCGAGGACAGTCGGACCGGCGACCTCTCAACCCAGCCTCCAGAACCAGAACCAAGAGCAGCGAAGCCGGAAGTGAGGAGACCGGAAGTAGCGTTGTCCCTGGCCCTGGACGGCCTCTCTCTCCCTCAATCCGGCCTTGCCCGGCCACGTCTCGGTGGTGTCAGCGCACCTCCCACGAGGATCCCTCCGCCCTTCTCCGGGAGGCGGGCTACGCCCCTCCCTCTGCTGCCCTAGCAACCACATCCGGGACTCCGGCGGTGTCGTTGCCCGGGTAATTTTCTGGCAGCGACCTAATGCGCGCGGGGCCAGAGGCACCGGCTAGAGCTGGGAGCTTGCGGAAGGGCGCCCCTGCCTGGTCTTGAGAGGTCGAAGGTCTCCAGGAGGCCTCCGCCTCCCTCTTTTTCATTCACACACCCTAGCCTCACACGTTAGGAGGACCCCCCCAACAGACCGTGAGCTGGTGCCGGGAGGGTGGAGGTAGATGTACCTCACCTCCACGCTACCACAGAAGAGCGAAAGCTGCTTTCTCAGCCACCGGAGAGCACGAAGAAGGTTATTCCAGTCCCGGGGGGAAGGTGGGGGTGGTAGGGAGAATGCGAAGATAAGGCAGCAGACGGAATGCGGGCGCTGCCTCGCGCTGCCCCCGTGCCTGGGGAGCCCTCTCCCTTCAGAAAGGCTAGACCCCCGGGCCCGGCATCCCTGAGCTCTTACTTGCTCTGGATTTGTGATCGCTTTTTGCTTTTTGCTCGCTCTCTCACAGTAGATTCCTTGATACTTTTCTTTCCGGCTCCTCTTTCTTTTTCCGGATGACCGAGCTCTGCTTTCTTTGCTTGCCCCATTACTTCTTAAATAGATCATTGTTCTGTCACGGAAACTGCTGAACAATTCGCTCTCTCAGAGCCCTTCGTAGTTTCCTAAACGGGGCCCCAACCTGCACTACTCTCCCCATCCCCAGAGCTCAGTGGTGCGAAAGCGTGGCTCCCCCGTGGCGCTAGATAGACCTGAAGTTCATTTACACACTGTACCATACAGTTGGTCCATCACAGAATATCCCTTCGAACTGCTGGACTGCTTTTCCTTTGACAGCTTTGAATGCTCATTTTTACTCCCATTTCACTTGTAGAAATGCGAAGGGTAACTGTGCACACGGCGAGATTTACCCTTCTTTAGACCGTACTTCTCAGCTGCCTTTACTTGTCACAGTAGCTGACAAGATATTTTTAATGACTAATGCCCAAAGGCAGAGCTCTACCTCTACAGATTTCCAGGGAGTTTCAGTGTAGTGAAATATCCCTGGCAGGTATCTTCCCCAGATCTGTGAATAGTAAACACCTATGGCACCATAAATGTTTCCAATGTATAACAATATTGATTGAGCTCTCTAGGATACCACCTCTTAAAAAAATAGTACTGAAATTCCAAAACATAAATCTCTTATCTTAAGTGGTTCTGTCTTAAACAAAAGAAAGGAGCAAATATATATGCCAACCCACTCAAACTGTAACTTCAATTGTTATAGCTTACTGTGGATTTTTCTGTACAAAGCCATCTTGTTGGTTTGGAGACCATTAGTCTTCTCAATTATAAGAAAATAATCCCAATCTAAATTAATTACTGCTGTAATTGTGTAGGAACTGAGCAACTACAGAACTTGCAGCTAAGTACAAGTGTTGTTCCTAGGGTTTCAGAAGGGTGACTTGGAGGAAGTGTACGGTAGGACTCAGCGGTGCTTGAATGATGTGGACAATGAATACTAAATTGTTTTTGCTGGCTGTTATCTTAAAGATTCCTGCTAGCTGTCTCTTGAGTTTGGAGATGCTTAGCTTGACTAAAGTTAGTCTAACTATTAGACTGTCAGACTCTGAAGTGTTTCTTATTTTGGAAAGGTGAAGACTTGCTTTAGTTTGTTCATAGTTTCCTTGGCAGCTGCTGATGGTTTTGATGGAGATTCAGATGGATTTGGAACTAATGCTAACTTCTGCTTGGTGAAGATGCTAACCAAGTTAGATACTCTTCAGTGAATTCTGGTACTGTGTACGATTAATCCTCATCCACAGTATTACGCTGTGCAAGGCTATATATACACAGGATTAATCTTTCCATGATTTCCACTGCCCTGAAGGAAATTAGAATGTAGTCTGGCTCCAAGAAAACACTAGAAACTACTTCAGCTGGTGATGGAAAATAGTGGAATTCTATACATCCTTTGAGACAATGGAAGCAGCAAACCAGCGTTCTTTGGATTGGGGAATATTTTTGGTACTAACTGAAAAACATCATTTTAAGCCTGGCCCTGCTTAGAGGAGACTTGTTTTCTCTTCCCTCTCTCCCTCTCTTCCTTTTTTCCCTCCTTCCTCTTTTTCTTTCCTCCTTTCCTTCTTGTCTCCCTCCCTTCTCCTTCCTTCCTTCTTCCTCTTTTTCTTTCCTCCTTCCCTCCCTCCCTCCCTTCCTTCCTTTTTTCCTTTCTCCCCTCCTTCCTTCCTTTTTTTCTTCCTTCCTTCCTCCCTCCCTCCCTTCTTTTCTTCCTTTCTTCCTTTGCCCTAAAACTTGGGGGACCCTGCCTGCTCATTTTGTTTAGAATAGAAGATTACTACTTTTCTCTGAATTGTCATTTATTTTTAGAGAGGTAAGAAAAAAGGGAATAGCTGCCTTCCATATATACTTATGACATGGAGATTATCTACTCATTTAACTTTGCACTGCTATTGGCTGTTTATTTGGCTTTTGAAAAATCAGGTGCTATTTATTCATTGGGCTTGTGGGGAACTCTAGTAGCCCTGAATGGCATTTGTGGCATACTCAATGAAGTCTAATTCTTTATCCTGGCATTAAAGGCTTACCAAGATCTGGCCTCAATCTTGCAAATGAGCACTCTCTTATATACCTGAAGGAAAAGTGCTAATTTAGCCAACTAATAGAGATAGGTATAAATACCAATATAGACATAGATATGAAACTTTAGTTGCAAAGAAATGTTTAATATGCTTCAAAGTGCATATTTCCCTCTTCCATGCTTTATTGTCTATTCTTATCAGCAGAAATGTTTTCCTATTTTTCCTTACCTGTGATGTACCTATCCATCCTTTACAGTTGAGTTCAGATGCTACTTCTGTCATGAACCCATTATTTATCCTCCCTGTGAGAATTCATTTTTCCCTGTTTTTGGATCTTACAGCCTTTGATTTGAGCCCCCATTTCAGTCTGCTTTATACTACTGTCTTGCATGTTTTCCCATGATAAATAAGATGGTTTTTGGGAAACTGAACTTTGGACTTACTTGATTCTCTTATAACACCAGGAAATTGGCCAATTCTAGTTGAGTTATGGAAATATGTTGTCTGCTGCATACCAGGCAAGTTCAAGAATACCAGCAACTCCTGCTACTTAGGGTAATGGTACAAGTAGGATTAAGTGGATATAGTTGCTATCTATCTGTAGAAGACAATGAGTGAGTGCTGTCTTAAGTTTGGAAAGTAGTTGATTCTCTGCAGAGGGGTATAAACTACTGATGAAAGGAGAGTGACTCATTACTCCTAGAGATTCTGAATGGGAAGAATGCCAGCTTTATGTTTTCTGATACTGATTTTTTTTTTAATAACTTGGTGCAAAAGTAGAACATTATTCTAAGATGACTGTTGTGGAAGAAAAAAAAGGTAGAACATTAGAGTTGTAAAAATGTTTTTAACTATAAAGAGGAAAAAACTGAACTTATTTATAATTCATTTACCTAGAGAGAACATTCAACATTTTGGTCAATGTATTTTTTTTCTTTATATCTATGTAGATATATATTTCTTCATTTATTTAACAAATTGCTACTGACACCCTATGGTTTGCTGGAAGTGAGCTGTGTAGGAATAACCATGAGCCTCTGCTCTGATGTAATTTTTAGTGTATGTTGTATTTGTTGACATATAATTTTATATTTTGCTTTTTTCACTTAATGTATCATGGAATTTTTTCATATCATTAAATATTCTCTTTGTGTGGCACAATAGTATTTCAGCATGTAGATATTTTGTAATTTATTGAATGAATCCTTTTTGTTGCATATTTTCAATTTTGTCTGTAATTATATAGCAATGCAGGGAATAGTCCCGTGTAGCAGGTGGAATTCTAAGATGAACTCCAGTGACACTTACCTTGTATAATTCCCTCTCCCTGTGAACATGATGGGATATTACTTCCATGATTATGTTATGTTACTTGCAAGGGAATTTTGGAGATATAATTAAGGTTGCTAATCAATTGACTCTGAATTAATCAAAAGGGCAATATTCTAGGTAGACCTAACCTAATCAAGTGAGCACTTTAAGAACAGAGAGTTTTCTCCTGCTTGTGGCAGTAGAGGAAGTCAGAGAGATTCAAAGTGTGAAAGAGACTCTACAGGAGGAATGTTCTCCATTGCTGAAATGACAATTTCCCACAGACAAGGACCTGAGGGAAGCCTCTAGAAGCTGAGAGTAGTCCCTGCCAACAGCCAACCAAAAAAACTAGGGACCATAGTCCTACAACAGCAAGGAACTGAATTCTGCAAACAATCTGATTGCGCCTGGAAGCAAATTCTTCCCCAGAGCCTCCAGATAAGAGCCCAGCTTCTGACCAACATCTTGATTTCTACCTTGTGAGACCCTAAACAGAGGACCCAGTTGAGCCCACCTGGACTTAAGATCTACAGAACTGTGAGATAATAAATGGGTGTTGTTTTAAGGCATTGAGTTTGTGGTAATTTGTTGCATTAGCAGTAGAAAACTAATACATTTGTAAGAAATTATTTTTACATCTATAATTATTCTTTTGGGATAAAATCCTTGATATAGGCCGGGCATGGTGGCTCACACCTGTAATCCCAGCACTTTGGGAGGCCAAGGTGAACGGATCACGAAGTCAGAAGATGGAGACCATCCTGACTAACACGGTGAATCCCCGTCTCTACTAAAAATACAAAAAATTAGCCAGACGTGGTGGCACATGCCTGTAGTCACAGCTACTTGGGAGGCTGAGGCAGGAGAATTGCTTGAACCCAGGAGGCAGATGTTGCAGTTAGCTGAGATTGCACCACTGCACTCTAGCCTGGGTGACAAAGCGATACTCCCTCTTAAAAAAAAAAAAAAAATCCTTGATATAGACTTGCTAGATAAAACGTTATACACAGTTTTAAGGTTTGTATATCATATTGCAAATTTGCCCTCCATAAGCGTATTGTAACAATTTATGTGCCTCCTAACAACCTGTTACCTCACCCCAGCAAACGCTAGATACTGACATTCTGATAGGCAAAAACAAAAATGTTTTTTTTAAAAGAAGATTATGTTTTTCTTATTAATAGTAGGATTGACCATTGTTTTCTTTATTTGAAATTAATTTGGTGAGTCTTTTTTGATGATTTGCATATTCTTATTTTCTGATTAGCTTAACCATTGACATAGAGAAAATATTCCCTAACATGTAGAATAGCATTTCTCTGCTGTAATATTTTCAAGAGGGAGAATGATTAATGAGCTTGAAAGGATGACTATTCTGAGAAATATTAGCTGCTGCCATTACTCCTTGCAAAAGAATATCCCAGATGTTATACTGTTGGAGTTTGGAGAATGTCAGCTTCATTGATCAGGTAGTATTGATGCCTTATTCTTTTCTAGGGAAAAAGTCTAATTTGTCTGTTTGGCATTAGAAATGTGATTATTTTTAGGAATAAAGATGTATCTTATCATGGAAAATTGTAGCTTTGACTAATGTTAACTCAGGGGAAAAACCTAATCTTCCTAAATAAAGTTATCACATTTTCAATTTTCTCAAGATAATGAGCAATCTCTGATAGTATATATTATGTCACTTTAACCAGGATGGGAAAAGAAGAAATTCAAGTTACTTTTTCTATAATCCTTGCTGTTTGACATGATAGATTTTATTTCTGATAAATGAGATAAGGCAGGAGGGAGAGAGGAAGGAAGGGAGGGAGGAAGAGAGGGAGGGATTGGGAGAGGGAGGAAGGAAGGGAAGGAAGGAAAGAAAAAAGGGAAGGAAAGAAAAGAGGAAGGAAAGAAGGAAGGACGAAGTTGAGAGATTCTCATAGTAAATTTGGTTGGTTTTGTCTTTGAAAAATTAGTTTTTGCTATGTCAATTTCTGAAGGTTGGTATCTTCCTAATAAGAGCAAGAATTTTATTTTTATTTTGAAATAATTGCATATTTATAGGAAATTGTAGGAAAATATAAGAAGAGATCCCATATACAAGCAAGATTTTTTTAATGTTAGTTGTATGGTCAAATCTTATTACTTAGGTTTGCCCTCGCTGACAGATAGAGTTGCTATTTGTGTTCACAGAATTCATAATGGCCTATTCTTCCATGGAGGCCTAATGTTGCTTTTTTTTTTTTTTTTTTTTTTTTAAGGCATTGGAAATGCTGGCTTAGGTTGGTGCTGGGAGCATAGAATCCGTAACTATGGTCACAGGAGGTCCCACCAGTGTGATTCAAAGATACTGTAATATAGTTGTAAAGAATGCTGACTTGACATTTAGAAGCCTGGATTCTGGACTGCTCTTAACCACATTGTAACTGTGGGACCAATGAAATCCAGTTTTACCTTCCTCCTTAGTTATTTGGAATACAGGTAGTAAAACCATTTAAAAACTAAAACCCTGGGCTATCATTATTTTTAAGACTTTTTTCGAAATGACACTTTTTTAAAAAAAGAATTCCTTTACTGGTTGTAATTCCTATGATAAAAATTCCTCCTTTGAGTTGGACAACAAGGGCAGAAGAATTTTGGCAAAAGTTTTGTCAAAAGATTTTGTGCAAAAAGTTGTGCATCACCTGGGAAACCAGGAAGCCCAGCAAGAAGAATGGAGTGCCCACACTCACACAGAAGTAACACTGCTCATCAAATTAGCTTGTTATTATCTTGGCTGCCCCACAGATTCTGATAAGGGAGGTGCTGACTTGGGAAAGTAGAGGTGAGCCTATCTGGGGCCATGTGACTGTTCTCATGGCTTAAGAAAAGCCCTACTTTAGGCCGGGCACAGTGGCTCACGCCTGTAATCCTAGCACTTTGGGAGGCTGGAGGCAGCCGAGGCGGGCAGATCATGAGGTCAAGAGATTGAGACCATCCTGGCCAACATGTTGAAATCCCGTCTCTACTAAAAATACAAAAATTAGCTGGACGTGGTGGCGTGTGCCTGTAGTCCCAGCTACTTGGGAGGCTGAGGCAGGAGAATCGCATGAACCTGGGAGGCAGAGGTTGCAGTGAGCCGAGATTGTGCCACTGTATACCAGCCTGGGCGACAGAGTGAGACTCCATCTCAAAAGAAAAAAAAAAAAGAAAAGCCCTACTTTGAGTATAGATTTAAGGTGGGATTCTTGCTTCTGTTTGCAAGTAGGATTTTATAGTTTTCCAAATTGTAGATTCACACAGCCAAAAGACATGAGAGAGATAATGATGATGAGATCATCACCACCTATTTGTTGAGCACTTTCTTAAAGTACTAAATACTGTGCTACGTGCTTTACACTCTTTCATTGAATCTTTTTGAATGCACAATAATGAGATAGGTGCTGTAGTTACTCCCATTTTACAGATAAGGAAGCTGAAGCTTCATATGGTTAAGTAAATTACCTGGGATCACATGAGTACTAAATAGCAGAGTCACTTCTCAATTCAGAACTGCCTGGCACCTTTTTTTTTTTACAGATAGAAAGTAGAAGACCTGAGACGTTAAGACTTGTGGTCACTATCCTTCCTGTTCTTAGTCTACATCTTTTTCTGCATTATACTCTCCTAATTGTTTGTTTCTATGCCTTTTGTCCAGTATTTCTGGCCTCTGTACCTTCAGCTAATGTGTCAAATTAATACAAAAGTTACTGAGTTCTTAGCCTACTAACAGGATAAGGGTTAAAAAAGAAAAAAGAGAGAAAAATTTTAAATCATAAAAATAAAAAGGTATTGGGTTTTTAAGCTTTTAGGTCGAATGGGATTTAGATTTTTTTTAAATAGAATTGTCACTTGATTTTTTAGGGAAGCATTTTCTGTCAGACTCCTATAAAAGAGACACTGTCTCCCATATGCTATTAAAAGTTGAACCTTGTGACTACTGTCTGAGTATGTTTTCTTTTGGAGAAGTTAGAGGGTGCAGTCTGTGACCTCATGTGAAAAATAGCCACCAAGCATCTATCCAGCATCATTTTTAGTTCTTTAATTTTGGTAAGCCCACATTTTCAAAATAGATTAAATTTATCTGATTTATTTCAGAACTATATATTATAAAGCATTCAAAGGCAAGTGAGAATTCAAATCTGTAGAACAGAACTAGAGAGCTTTTACAGAGAGGCCTTTGGGAGGTAAGCATTTCTCTTGGAAACTTTATTGTATTTTCAGAACCATGCTTCTATTATTTTCATTATTAAGAACATAATAATTGGGTATAAGCATTATTTTAATATTCAATTGACATATCGCTAAAATTGCTTTTTTTTTAATTTTTCAAACAACAGAAGAAGATATACTGGCAAGTTCTAGAAGGATTCTACCATTTTCTTCTTTACCATGAACAAACTTGAAAATTAATGGGTAATAGTTGCATGAAAACTTTTGAACGTTTTTTCTTATCTCTGAGGCCTTCTATGGAGAATTAATAGGAGGTTGAATGTGTGCATGGATAAAATGGATCATCTTAAAGGATTGAAGTTCCAAAAATACATCAGCAGGACTGGACAGGTTTTATATAATGAGATTTCTATTTTAGCTTGACTTCTACAACTCTGAATAAGCTATAAACTGAGCTATACAAGGTACTAGGAAGGAAGTTTCTCTTCTAAAATATTCTAGTTGCATATAATATTTTTCTTCAGATCTTTGAAAAAGCATATTTTGTCATCAAGTTCCTACAAAATAAGACTATTAGACACCAACTTTTAGTGTATAAAGTAGGATAGAAAGCAGCAATCTATATTATACTGGAAAACAAATTTAATTAAAGAAACAGTCACCAGGAAGTTAAGAAGAGTAATCTCTACATAAGCACTGGCTGAGATGGCAGAAGCTTCTGTGGATGCCTCAACTCTGCCTGTAACAGTGAAGAAAAAGAAAAGCCTATCCATTGAGGAAAAGATCGACATCATAAATGCAGTGGAAAGTGGCAAGAAAAAAGCAGAGATTGCTGCTGAATATGGAATAAAGAAAAATTCATTGTCTTCTATTATGAAGAATAAAGACAAAGTTCTAGAAGCCTTTGAATCTCTAAGATTTGATCCAAAGAGAAAAAGACTGAGAACTGCTTTTTACACAGATCTGGAAGAGGCATTAATGAGATGGTATCGAATTGCTCAGTGTCTAAATGTACCAGTTAATGGTCCGATGTTACGTCTAAAAGCTAATGATTTTGCCCAGAAACTGGGCCATAATGATTTTAAGTGCAGTAATGGTTGGCTGGATCGTTTTAAATCCAGGTATGGTTTAGTATTCAGAGCTCAACCTGTAGAAGCTACAGGTGTACCAGTAGACCCTTCGACTGTCTGGTACCAAAATGTACTTCCTTATTATTTAAATGATTATCATCCTAAAAATGTTTTTAATATAAAAGAGACTGGGCTGCTTTATCGAATGTTACCTACCAATACATTTGCATTTAAAGGCGAAACATGTTCAGTTGGAAAGTTATGCAAAGACAGAATAACTCTGGTGGTTGGCACAAACATGGATGGCTCAGAGAAACTTCCTTTGCTTGTCATTGGAAAAAAGAGAACTCCACATTGTTTCAAAGGTTTAAAATCATTGCCTGTGTGTTATGAAGCTAACAGAATGGCATGGATGACCTCCGATGTATTTGAACAATGGATGCGAAAGCTTGATGAGGAATTTCAAGCCCAGCAACGAAGAGTGGTGATTTTTGTTGAGTCTTTTCCAGCACATCCAGAGGTAAAGAACCTAAAATCCATTGAGTTAGCATTCTTTCCATCATGTTTATCTTCCAAATGTATAGCTATGAAACAAGGTGTTATTAAAAGCCTTAAAATCAAATATCGACACTGTCTTATCAAGAAATTTTTAAGCTCTGTTGAAGGTAGCAAAGAATTTACATTTTCACTACTAGATGCAGTTGATACATTGCATCTTTGCTGGAGGGCTGTAACCCCAGAGACTATTGTTAAAAGCTATGAAGAGGCAGGATTCAAATCTCAAAAGGGAGAAAGTGACATAACAAATGCAGAGAAGGATACTGGTCTGGATTTGGTTGCTGATGCTCTGGGGGCAGGAGTAGAATTTCCTGAAGGTTTATCTATAGAAGAATATGCTGCCCTGGATGATGATTTGGAGACATGTGAAGCAGCACCAAATGGTGATTCCATATGCACCAAAGAAAGTAAATCGGATGAAACTGGATTTTACACTTCTGATGAAGAGGATGATGATGGATCTCCAGGAACTGAACTCCCTTTACCATCAAAATCTGAGGCAATAACTGCTTTAGATACTCTGAAAAAATTTCTCAGAAGTCAAGATATGAATGACGGACTTCAAAATTCTTTAGCAGACCTTGAAAATTTTATTAACTCTTTATCACCTAAGTAACTATGTATTGTACATCTAAAGAGTAATAGCTTTTCCTGATACATTTTATTATATAAGGTATGTAAAGGAGTTGTACCACACCACTTAAACATAAAAAATGGAAAACTGCTAATCCTTGGTTTAATTGCAAAAACCTTTGGTTTGAATAGCAAAACTCCCTAGTAAATAATGATTGAATAAAAAAGTACAAATTTCTATTTAACAAGGTTTTAGGGAGTAAAAGTATTTCAAAGGGCTATACTAGACACATGGTCAATATGTCAAACATAAAAGGAACTCTTCTGCTATATTTACACATTGAATTGGTGATTTCTATTTTGTTTTTTTAAGTTCAGATTATGTTCTAGAATATTTTAATTTATCTACCTAATCTCAGAAAAAAATCTAGCAATAGTTTATTTTTATAAAGATATATATATATATGCCATATGTATTCTAACTAGACTTAAATATCAAAGATAAAGTAATTTTAAATTATTTTTCAAATAACTAGCTGACCTTTCTAATAAGAAATTACGGAAACCTGCTGAAAATAAAATCTGACTTAACTATATACCAAAATGATTAAAAATATGAGTCTTACTACTTTCAAGTTATTTGTATATCAGGTCAAATGAAAAGCTGTGACCCTATCAGGTTTGTCATCTGTAACTAGAAGCTATGGATTCTTCCTAAATATTTGTATGTATATTTGTGTTTAATAGAAAAATATATTATTGAAACATTTATTAAATTCTTGTGATATTTATAGTGTAATAGTTATGCCTAGATATTTTTCTAATTTTAACAGCTCAAGTTTTTAATCTATAATATGTAATTATTTTTTGGATTTTACTGAATTTTATTTTCAGGTAAAACTAAATGTCCTTTTAGCATATTTTGATGTATGTAATCCTTTTTTCCCCCAAATTTGATGGGTAACACTTTGGATTAAAATTCTGTTTGAGGAAGTTTTATCTATAGAATGTTTTAAAATATTGTATGGAATTAATTGATTTCCATCTATAAAGTAGTCTTTAGATAGTAGAATATTGTAACAATAATTTGAGACTTTTCCATTGTTAAATTTTAGCTAGTTTGCTTATTTAACTTATTACACTCAATTTAGTATCCCCTTTGAAAAATATTTTATAAAAATGTAAAACATACAGATTATTTTTACTATGAATTATTAGTCTGCCAACAGATGACACATTTGGAAGGAAATATCTTTAGGAAGCATTTTTATTTTTCAACTGTTGATTTATTCTGCTTTTGAGAGTTGGTAATAGTAAGCCTTAAAATGTATTAAAATTAAAGTTTCTTTTAGAGTGAAATAAGGATTACTTGAAAGCATTTTATTAATGATTTGATTTAAAATTGTAATTTGGTACAATCATGGGTCTAATGGAGCTCTTAGGAGTTCCACTTTAACTATAGTACTTGGCATATATTGGCTCCTCAATAATTTTTTTCTTTTTTTGTGGTCTGTTTTATTTAATCATTCCAGATATTCAATGATAAAAGAATTGTTATCTCCATTTTTATAGATGAGGAAATTAAAACCTAGAAAGATGAAATGATTTGGTTAAAAATATCTCAGAGCCAAAACTAAAATGCAGCTGTTCCCTGTCACCTAGTCCTGTATTCCTCTATGTACCACAATGCTTCTTATCTATACTCTATGAAGGAAAATTGTATTATTTTCTACCCTTGAGTTTAGGGGACTGAGGGCAAAGAAAATATGCTGGATCCATGCTGGTAGCACTATTCATAAGAGCTCTTCTGAGAACACTATCACTAGTGAAATACTGGGACGCCATCAGATTTGGTAATTCTGTACCAGTCAATCACAGAGGTTCGTAGTTCTTTCGAAAATATTTAAAATAAGTTCAATATTTCCAAAGTACTGAAAGCAATCTCTTTTTTTTCTCCTATATGACATGATCCATTCCATGATCCATAAATATTTCTGAGGCATAATGTATCTAAAGATAATATAATAAGACAAGGCTGGGCATGGTGGCGCACATCTGTAATTCCAGCACTTTGGGAGACCAAGGCAGGAGAATCACTTGAGCCCAAGAGTTAAAGACCAGCCTGGGCAACATAGGGAGACCCCATGTCTACAGAAAATAAGAAAATTAGCGAGATGCAGTGGCACGTGCCTGTTGTCCCAGCTACTTGGGAGACTGAGGTGGGAGGATTGCTTGAGCCCAGGAGTTGAGGCTGCAGCAAGCAGTGATGGTGCTACCACATTCCAGCCTTGGTGACTGAGTGAGACCAAAAAAAAAGTAAAATTAATCAAAAAAAGTAAAATTAATTAAAAAAAATAAGACAAAGCTATTATAAATAAGAATTTAAAATGCCCACAGATTTAAATTCAAAGATAAGTTGTTACTGTGCACTCTTTTGTAGTTTAGAAGACATATAAGCAATTTTTGAATAAAAATTTTAGAAATTAACTTTTCCTCAGATGACAATCACTGCTGCATATCTTGCTCCTGATTTATCTTCTACGTACACAATCATTACAAAGTTAGAACTAAATATTACTTGTCTTTTCAAAACACAACTTTAGTTTGCCTGTTTTTCAATTTAATGTGGCATTATTTTCATTATTCTTGCCTTGCAAATCCCTACTGTTTCAACAATGTTTTTGCTTCCTTCTACTTCATCAAGAGCAAGTCTTATGTTGAATTTGGGACATCATTTCACTTCCAATGGCCACTTAACTACTAGTGAAAGGTTTAGTTCAGGATAAAGTAGGACAATGAGTAAATTAAGGCCTATGAGTTTCATGTGGCCTGCCTGGCTTCCCATTTGGACCTGAGATCAAATCTCAAACCTTCTTTTCACTGTATACAAAGCAGATTAACCAGAATGGGGAAAAGAGGAAAGAGAGGGTTGAAGGAGAGCTTTCCAAGCAAATACCTCAGCTGTTAAGAGACACCCTTTTCAATTCTGGTCCAGTAGGGGCTCCAGTTTGGTAGGGACTGGCAGAGAGAGGTTTGCACCTTAGGAGAGGCAGCACTACACATCTGGCTGTGGTTTCAGACTCCAGTGGTAGGCTAGATCCTTAGATCTAGCCTGAGCTAAGTAAGTACAGTATGGCTTGAGTCTGTCAAGAAGCTAAGAGAAAATCCGACCACCACAGCACAGAAAGACCTAGGGTGGGGACCATAGTGTGCATACAATACATTCTCAGAAAAAGTTTCATTCAGTGGAATAAGTCAAATCAAACTGTAGTTCTCTGCTAACTTGTGATAGACGTATATTTCTCTGAATCTGAGTTTACTCCATTCATAGAATGAGACTGAAAGAAAATTTTGCATACAAAAATATAAATCCCTCCCCCTCTCCCGTCTTCCACTTTCCACGGTCTCCCTCTGATGCCCAGCCGAGGCTGGACTGTACTGCCGCCACCTCGGCTCACTGCAGCCTCCCTGCCTGATTCTCCTGCCTCAGCCTGCCGAGTGCCTGGGATTGCAGGCGCGCGCCGCCACGCCTGACTGGTTTTTGTATTTTTTGGTGGAGACGGGGTTTCGCCATGTTGGCCTGGCTGGTCTCCAGCTCCTGACCGCGAGTGGTCTGCCCGCCTGGGCCTCCCGAGGTGCCGGGATTGCAGACGGAGTCTGGCTCACTCAGTGCTCAATCTTGCCCAGCCTGGAGTGCAGTGGCGTGATCTCGGCTCGCTACAACCTCCACCTCCCAGCCTCCTGCCTTGGCCTCCCAAAGTGCCGAGATTGCAGCCTCTGCGCGGCCACCACCCCGTCTGGGAAGTGAGGAGCGTCTCTGCCTGACCGCCCGTCGTCTGGGATGTGAGGAGCCCCTCTGCCCGGCCGCCCAGTCTGGGAAGTGAGGAGCGTCTCTGCCCGGCCGCCCATCGTCTGAGATGTGGGGAGCGCCTCTGTCCCGCCGCCCCGTCTGGGATGTGAGGAGTGCCTCTTCCCGGCCGCAACCCCGTTTGGGATCTGAGGAGTGTCTCTGCCCGACCGCCACCCCGTCTGGGAGGTGAGGAGCGTCTCTGCCCGGCCGCCCCGTCTGAGAAGTGAGGAGCCCCTCCGCCCGGCAGCCGCCCCATCCGGGAAGTGAGGAGCGTCTCCGCCTGGCAGCCGCCCCGTCCAGGAGGTGGGGGGCAGCCCCCGCCCGGCCAGCCGCCCCTTCCGGGAGGGAGGTGGGGGGCAGCCCCCGCCCAGCCAGCCGCCCCGTCTGGGAGGGAGGTGGGGGGCAGCCCCCACCCAGCAGCCGCCCCGTCCGGGAGGTGGGGGGCGCCTCTGCCCGGCCACCCCGTCTGGGAAGTGAGGAGCCCCTCTGCCCGGCCGCCACCCCGTCTGGGAGGCATGCCCAACAGCTTATTGAGAGCGGGCCATGATGACGATGGCGGTTTTGTCAAATAGAAGGGGGGAAATGTGGAGAAAGGAAAGAGGGGTGGGATTGTTACTGTGTCTGTGTAGAAAGAAGTAGACATAGGAGACTCCATTTTGTTCTGTACTAAGAAAAATTCTTCTGCCTTGGGATGCTGTTAATCTATAACCTTACCCCCAACCCCGTGCTCTCTGAAACATGTGCTGTGTCCACTCAGGGTTAAATGGATTAAGGGCGGTGCAAGATGTGCTTTGTTAAACAGATGCTTGAAGGCAGCATGCTCGTTAAGAGTCATCACCACTCCCTAATCTCAAGTACCCAGGGACACAAACACTGTGGAAGGCCGCAGGGTCCTCTGCCTAGGAAAACCAGAGACCCTTGTTCACATGTTTATCTGCTGACCTTCCCTCCACTATTGTCCTATGACCCTGCCAAATCTCCCTCTCCGAGAAACACCCAAGAATGATCAATAAATACTAAAAAATATATATATATATATATATATATAAATGTATTTAGTAAAGTGTTCCACAAGTATAAGGAATGACTACATTGTACTTCCATGTTACCACTTCCAAATATGCCCAAATGGTAACGTGGTCACTAAACATCAATAACAGTTTTCTCATTGGCATTCTTCTATGCAATAAAATAGGGAAACCAGCATTTCTAGAAATGTGGAGCCCAGAAACTATTTTCAGGCCAAGGCAGGAGGATTGCTCGATGCCAGGAGTCTAAGACCAGCTTGGCCAACAGAGCAAGACTCCATCTCTACACAAAATTTAAAAATAAAAATTAGCTGGGCATGGTGGCAGGAGCTGGTAGTCCCAGCTACTCAAGAGGGTAAGGCAGGAGAATCACTTGAGACCGGGAGCTCAAGGCTGCAGTGAGCTAAAATCATGCCACTGTACTGCAGCATGGGTGATAGACACCTTGTCTCAAAAAATAAATAAAAACAGAGAGGTTTTCATTTTGAATGAGGGAAAAAGGTGACTTAGAATCCTTTATTTTTTCTGAATCCTTATGCAAAGCAATACAGTAAAATGCACTTTACAAACAAAATAGCCCTTTCTATTGCCATATTTGCTGTTTCAGTTCTCCTATTTCCTTGGGCTATAATTAACTTGTGAAGCCTGGAGTAACCCAGAGTCTGGGGACACACTAAGTAACAAATATATTACTGTATTTGTCTGCTTGGACTTCCATATTGCAGTATCACAGACAGGGTGGCTTAAACAACAGAAATTTATTTCTCACAGTTCTGGAGGCTAGAAGTCCAAGATCTGGGCATCGGCATGGTTGGTTTCTGATGAAGGCTCTCCTCTTGGGTTGCAGACTGCCACCTTCTTACTCTGTGCTCACATGACCTCTTCTTTGTGTGAGCATGGAGAGAGAGCAAGCTCTCTGGTGTCTCTCATAAAGGCACTAACTCCCAACATGAAATCCCAACTAACCCTAATTACCTCCCCCTCATTTCCAAGTATCACATTGTGGGTGAGGGCTTGAACATACGAATTTTGCCGAGGGTCGGGGGTCGACACAAACATTCAGTCCCTCACAACTACCTAGTACAAATAAAGGTATTCACATGTTAATCAATTTAGTTTTCCATTTGCTAAAAATTAAAAGGGCATGCTTATTTCAGAACTTGTTAATCAGCTATAGCTATTAAAAAGGACTTTAAAGTTTATGAAACATACATAAAGTTTATGAAGAAATGACATTTTATGTTCTTGAATAAATGAGAAGACTCAATATGGAATATGCTAGTTTTCCTCAAGTTAATTCCAATCAAAATCCCCAGGCAGTTTTGTTGAAAACTTTGCCAATGCATTCTGATTTTCATGTGGGAGAATAAATGTGTATCAATACCTAAGAAAATTTTGAAAAATCAAAATAATGGAGTATTTGACATACCAGAAGTCAAAACAATATGGTGTGGGCAAGAGAAATAATAGATCAGGCTGTGTGCAGTGGCTCATGCCTATAATCCCAGGACTTAGGGAGGCTGAGGCAGGCGGATCACTTGAGGTCAGGAGTTCGAGACCAGCCTGGCCAACATGGGGCTGTACTACAAATACAAAAATTACAAAATAAAAAATTTAAAAATACAAAAATTAGCCGGGTGTGGTGGTGCATGCCTGTAATACCAGCTACTCAGTGTCTGAGGCATGAGAATCACTTGAATCCAGGAGGCAGAGGTTGCAGTGAGCTGAGATTGCGCCACTGCACTCCAGCCTGGGTGACAGAGCGAAACTCGGTCTCAAAAAAATAAATAAAAAAGAAAGAAAAGAAATAATAGATCAATCAAAGGATTAATATATAATATCTAGAAGAATACCAGTAATTTAGTATGCAATAAAAATGGAGTTTTTAATCAGTGGAGAAAAGATGAATTATTCAGTAACTGGTATTTAACTGGTACTGGGGCAACTGGCTAACTCTATAGGATATTTTTAAAGTCGTATACGAAAATTAATCCTAAAAGGATTAAACTCTGAAAAGGAAGAAAGGAAGGAAAGACAGTAACAAACAGGCTTGCAAATACTAAGAAAAAATACAGGAAGATGTAAATATTGTAATAGGAAATGTAAATATTGTAATAGGGAAGATCTTTATAAAATTGTGACACTCAAGAAAAAGAGCGTAAAAATACTAATGGTTCATGAAATTAGGAAAATATTTTCAACATCGCTGGAAATCAAAGAAATGTAAGCAAAACAATGGGATCTCTCTCTCTTTGTTTTTTGGCCTGTCACAATAGACAAAAATGATAATACCAAATGTAGACAAAAGCATAGGGAAATGGATGCACTGTTGTTAGAAAGATAAATTGGTTATAAATTGGTGCACTCTTATGTTATCATAATTATAGCTGACATGTATTAAATGCTTACTAATTGCCAGACATTTTAAGTGTTTTGCATATGTTACCTCATTTAATCCCTAGAATAATTCGAAATCTTATCCCCATTTTACTGATGAAAAAATTTAAGTATAGCTACAGCTAATAAATGACAGAACAAGGATTCAAACCCAGATAATTTGACTTGATATGTATACACGATATACATTTATCCTGACAAAACAAAAATGTTAAGGATATTTGTTGCAATGCCTACAGTTCCAAAGTCCCATATTCAAAACTCTGGGGCATATGTGTTTCAGAATTCAGAACTTCTCATATTTAAAAAAGATAATATTGCATATGCTGTATATTGTATAACACCCCCAGTAGGTACTGGAACAACACCCTACAATAAAATAATTCTGCAGTGAAACATATATTCATGTGAAGTCAGCTAAGTGAAGATCATAAGTAGCTTAATAACTTTGTAGGTTTTATTGCTAAATAAGTTCACGTCCATTCAGCTTTTACCACAAAATGGGTTACAAAAGTTTTCAGAGCTTTTTGTATTGCAGAACCTTGGAAAAAAGGTTGCAGTACTATAATAGCATAAAACAAAAATAAAAGATTGAAACTATTTAAATGTTTCTAATAGAGAATTGACTCAATATACATGTTTATATATTGAATGAAATGTGAAGGCTCAAACTTTTTTTAACTTCTTTTATTATACTTGAGTGTATATGCTATGATGTTGGCCTGAACTGAAGAGGGTATTTTCTAAATTTGACTTGCAAATTCTTCTTGTTGAATATTTTACCATCACCACAGGGCTAGAAAATTCCTTGCCAAGTAAAATAGAAACTATAGGATGGTATTGAATTGGTGAAAAAGTAGACTTGCTGGTTTAACATAATTAATTATATGTTCATCTTTGTACATTAGCCTAATTTAAGGCCAAAGGAGTCGGCTTCTTTGATCAGAAAACTCTTAGCCATTGTGTCAAGGAGAAAATCAAAAGATAAAGAGCCCCACTTCACTCCACTTTAAATTATTTTTTTCTTAGTTGTCAAATCTCAAGAAGATTGTGAATATTTTTAAAGGTGAGACTATCGTATAATTCCTTTGTATCTCCCCAAGAGTACCTACTAAATACGTAGCAGACTATTGATATGATTAAATATTTGCTCAATGGAAAAAGTAAATTAAAAGATACAGATAGTCTTGTTTCCTGTATTAGGAATAAAGACTTGGCTTTTGTTTTCTTTTCCCCTAACTTTTTCTTCTAAGGCAAAAAACTCTTCTAATCATTAATGCAAGGTCACTGCCTGGGTTATTGGCTGGTATTACACCTTATTTTCTTTGGAGTTTTGCTCTTGTTGCCCAGGCTAGAGTGCAATGGCACAATCTTGGCTCACCACAACCTCTGCCTCCCGGGTTTAAGCAGTTCTCCTGCCTCAGCCTCCCAAGTAGCTGGCATTACAGGCGCTCGCCACCATGCCCAGCTAATTTCGTATTTTTAGTAGAGGTGGGGTTTCTCCATGTTGGTCAGGCTGGTCTCGAATTCCTGACCTCAGGTGATCCGCCTGCCTCAGCCTCCCAAACACCTTATTTTCTGTATTACAAAATAGACTTAGCATAGAGATAGGAGCCATTTTCATGTCACTACCTGCTCAAATGAGGAGCCATTCCCCCAAAAAGATCCAGAATTGCATCTCTCAACTCTTGGAGTACTTTGCAGAAAGATATTCACCCCACACCATAGAGTGACTAGTTTACTGTTTAGTTATGCCTTTTCTATGTGTAACAAGTCCTGCATCTGCACCCAGAGGTTATGCTAGGGAACAGTTTAAAGATTACAATGTCTAAATAACGTGTGTGTGTGTGTGTGTGTGTGTGTGTGTGTGTGTGTGTGTATTTATTTATTTATTTTGAGAAAGAGTCTCGCTGCATTGCCCAGGCTGGAGTGCAGTGGTGTGATCTTGGCTCACTGCAACCTCCACCTCCTGGGTTCAAGCATTTCTCCTGCCTCAGCCTCCCAAGTAGCTAAGACTACAGGTGTGTGCCACCACATCTGCCTAATTTTTATATTTTTGGTAGAGACGGGATTTCACCATGTTGGCCAGGCTGGTCTTGAACTCCTGACCTCAGATGATCTGCCCACCTTGGCCTCCCAAAGTGCTGGGATTACAGGTATGAGCCACTGCACCCAGCCCAAGACAGTTATATTTAAGTGGAAAAATTAAGTTTGTTATTTTTCTGCTACCAAACAGAAATGGGGGCTTGAGAGCAAGTAAAGTTTAACTTGTTTAAAAAAGAATATTTCTTCATTCCTGGATTGTAGTATGTGCAATTTAAATCTACTATGAAGCTAATAACCTTTTACAACATCTACTTGTACTTAGGCTACAAGTACAAGCGGAATTAGGAATTGTAATTAGGCTACATGTACAAGTGGAATTTCAACTTTCAGCCTTTTTCTTCTAAATTTGGTCATTGTCCTCCAGATTTAGTTATTCTGTTAGAGAAATTACACTAAATCCTTTGGAAGTCCAGATTGGTCTGACCTAATTTATTTAGTTACTGAGGGGGTTTTCACAAATAGAATTGATGCAATCCTAGTGACTCTAAAGATTACAGTGGGGGAGAAAAAGGACTTTATTCAGCAAGAGCCTGTCATGCTCCTCTTGTTAGGCACTGAGGATTTAATGATGAGAGTGATTAAAAAATCCCTGCCCTCAAGGAACTGGCAGTGTAGTGTGGGAAGCAGACACTACCCAATAAAGACACTAACAAATATAATATTGCAATTGCTATAAATGCTCTCAAGGAGTGGTACCTACTTTTATAAAATTGCATAATATGGGAATTTGACCTAGACTCAAGGTCAGGGAAAGATTCACTGAAGTATCAGGAGCTGAGACCTGAGATTTGAATAATAAATAGGAGTTAAGTAGACATGAGCAACTAGAGGAAGGAGAAGACCATTCTGGACAAAGGCTCTGGGGGAGAGAGAGGCTGTATCAGTTCAGGAACTGAAAGCCTCTAGAGTAAGGAAAAGTGTGGTGAGGTAGAGGGCAGGCCTTGCAGGGACTGACCTGTAATTAGGGCTGGGAAAGTAGTAGCTATCTTATTTACAGGAAAAAAAAAATGTAGGAGGTGAGGGAGAAGTCTTCCCATCTTTGTTTTTGAAAGCCTGGATCATAAGCAGAATAGTGGGACGTGGAGCATAGCCAAGTGTTAGCAAGAAAGTAGAGTTTGAGGAAAGAGGATTTGCCTCTCAACATTAAAAAGGATTCCCTCCAGGCATGGAAAGAAAGTGGATGGGGGGACTGAGAGCAGGAAGATCAATGGAGCCTCCCAATAATGAGGACTATTAGAGCCAAGGTCACTGGGAGGGACATTATTTGAAGTTCAAGGAGCTGTGGGAGCTGAGTTGGCTCTGCAGATGGTCCAGCCCTCACTGGAATGAGCAATGTCCATTGCCTGGACCTATGGGCTTGCATTAATGCCTCTTCCTCCTCTCAGCATCTCTAGAGAGGACTTCCTTTGACAGCAGCCAGTACTTTTCCTGGTGACCACCTTGCAGAAATGATTCCAGTCTTAGCCTTAGACTTTGGCCTATTTTGTCCACTTCTCTATGTGGGCAACCTCTCTTTGAACTCCCCAGAGAAGGGCAGTAGGGCCTGGAGACCTCATGAGATTGTAAGGGTGAGGAAGGGAAATCTTCCCATACCTACCCTTGAAATAGAACCTGAACTGAGCCCATTTGAGATCCCTGTAACTGCCCCGCACCAAACATCCATAAATTATAAGCTGGTAAGAATGAGCATATGTGGAACAAATACATAGGTCATGCTATAAAAGACATCCTTACAAAAACAATAATAGGGATTTTAATATTATTGTTAATATTCCTGATTCCCTTTCTGCCACTTCTTTACAAATATATATAAATATAGTATGTAATAATAAAGCACACACTGAATGATAACCAGGGCTCTCCTAATTCTGTGTTGAGGTATAGTTTTTCATGGGGCAGCTTGAATTATGTTAGGTCAGTGATCTCAAATGGCCTCATTGGTAATTAACATCCTACTTGGAGAGTAATTGGAAAAGAAGTAAATAATCCACCTGAAAACTGTATTTTAAGGTTTGAACCTCAAAAGGAAGATTTGAAAACACTCAAAGAAAAAAAAATTACAAAAGGCAAAACAAATATTTATTGAGAGAATAAGTGATTAATAAACAATATCCCATTCTTTTTTATTCTCATTCAGTATAGTAACAAGATGTGTTCTGTAGGACAGGTTGGGGCTCAGGTGTCAAGAAGGAAGAGTAAAAAGTTTAATTTTAGGATATGTGAAGCACAGAAGATAAGTTTCTTTCTCAAATTTTTAATTTGGGGTATTTTCTTTGGTATTTTAATTATATTCTGCAGCTATCCTTAGCATAAAAGATTTAAAAAATATTTTTAGAACTGTTCACCATCCTTTCCAAATTCTGTTATCACTGGAGTGACCGATGTTCTCCGCTGGAGTGTCATTCACTGCATTATGATGAGCACATTAAACAGGAACAAGCGTCTTTAAAATGACTTTCACTGAAAGCTGGTGTTTCTTCTCACCCTGCTCCATTCCCACTCTGTTTAATAAATAAAAAGCCAGACTTCTTGAAAACTGACTTTATTCCACATAATCCTCCTGGTTACAAGATAGTTTTGATTTTTATTTTCTGCAGGAGTTTTTACCAGAAGCACAGGCAACCTTTCTTCTTTTAATAATGTGTGTAATAGACACACTATGCTGAGCAGTTTGAAAACTTCTTGGAGTCTGGGAAAGGCATAGTTCCTAATTAACTGCCCAGAGAATGGTTTAACTATGTGGGAGTCAGTTAAGTGCTTCTAGTGGGTTTTGTGGGACCAAAGGGAGATGATACTATATTTTTAATCAGGCAAACTAAAAAGCTAACACTTTTTAATGACTTAGCAGCCCCACTCCTATGAGGACTCCAGATGTTCAAAGCTCTCAAGAGCAACTCTAGAAATCCTTGTCAAGTTCCCTAGGTCCAAGGGATTATTATATAAGTTAAGCCTTTGAATGCTACCTGTGTTTTGTTTTTCTTTTTAACTTTGAGACCGATAAAGGTAGAGGGTTTTTGTTTGCTTCAAAGTAAGTAAAAAATGCACTGAAACTCGAGACATACTTGGAATAAAGGTAATTTGGAAGTATCTTCATCTCTCCTATTAAACTCAGAGTAAGGCTGGGTGCAGTGGCTCACGCCTGTAATCCCAGCACTTTGTGAGGCTAAGGTGGGCGGATCACCTGAGGCCAGGAGCTCAAGACCAGCCTGGGCAATATGGTGAGACCCTGTCTCTATTAAAAATGCAAAAATTAGCAGAGTGCGATGGCACACACCTGTAGTCCCAGCTGAGGCAGTAGAATCACTTGAACCTGGGAGGCAGAGGCTGCAGTGAGCTGAGATCGTGCCACTGCACTCCAGCCTGGGCGACAGAGTGAGACTCCGTCTCAAAACAAACAAACAAACAAACAAACAAACAAACAAACAGAGTAGTGAGTAGGAAGAACGCTGTGTTTTTAAAATCTCTTTTGATTACAAGCTCCCCTTTGGGAATACAAATAAAGCTTTGGATTTTCTCCAGAAAAGGGACATGTGCAGTCATCTCTTGGTATCCACGGGGAATTGGCCAGGAACGCCTTGGTTACCAAAATCTATGAGTGCTCAAACCTTTTATATAAAATGGTTTAGTATTTCCATATAAGCTACACACATCCTTCTATGTACTTTAAATCATCTCAAGTTACTTATAATACCTAGTACAATATAAATGCTATGTGAATAGTTGTTATCTATATTGTCAAGGGAATAATGACAAGGAAAAAAGTCTGTACGTGTTCAGTACAGATGCAACCATCCATTTTTTTTTGTTGTTATTTTTTCCCGGAATATTTTTGATCTGAGTTTGGTTAAATCCACAGATGTGGAACTCATGAATATGAAGGGCCAACTGTATATAAAATTTATTTAACATTTCAGAAGATTCACTGTTAAGAAATCTTGCTTCGTCTTTTCACTACTTATAAAGTCTTCATTATTAAAAGCTGAACAAAATCTTAAAAATGAAAGAAAAAAAAACAGTTGCTGAGGAGATTGAGCTAACATTCCACATTTGGCCTCTTTTTTAAACACTTCAACGTTATCACTAAATACTTAAATGAATTTTAATAGAATTCTTTTTCTACACTTTTACTTGAATTAAGCAATTTCGCTTTTTTGTATATTATTTTTAGCCTTCTCCTTTGAATGTTATTTTTAATAGTTTGCTTGTCTATTTTTGCAAGGAATTAACTCTCCTTGCCAAATCCAATTAATAAATAGAACTATCTGTGGACTTGTGCTCTCTAGAAGTTGAACATAGAGTCTGGAATTAGTACCAGGCAGAATCTCCATAATGACTTGCTCATTGTGACACTCTCTGATATTATCAACTAGTGAAGTATCAGAAATACAAGAATGACATGTTTTCTGTTTTCAGAGCAAAGAAAATTATTCAATCATGCAATCATTATTAGCGAAGCTATTTCAGAACTGAGAAGAAGACTGTCACATAAACATAAAAATGTTATTTTGAGGGCCTTCTCTGCCAATGCATTGTGTTAGGTAGTGAGCTGGGATACACAGGAACTAAAGACCTGTTCTCTACCTTGGATTTTACCCTTTAATTTGGGAAGACAGAATAAATGCACTGAATGATAAAGCTAAGTTTCAAATCAGTGAGATAAAATAATTCCAAAAGTGCAGAGAAGAGCTTGGTATGAGCTATGTAGTCGGGACGGCTTCATGCAGAGAGTCTCAAGCCTGAACAGGTAAAGTGCAGGGAAATAAATCCAGGTAAGGAAAACTGGGCAAAGGACCTGAGGCAGAAATGAACAAGGCACTTGGGAAAAATTTGTAAAGGTCTTTAATTTGATCTTTCATGTCATATATAAAGAAGAAAGTGTACATTTACAATATTTCCAAATATAGATTGTAGAAGATGAGTCTATTAATTCACCTAGAGCTTGCATGTGTTGTAGATAAATCTGCAAACTCCACCCTTGATTGCATGAAGTTCCAACGAGAAAATGCCATTTCATTCCAAGTGTGCATGTAATCTTCACAAAGAAACTTTTTTAAATGATTAAAATAATTCCCACAATAGATATGAAAGGAAAAGTTAGGCCTGAACTCACGCTCCTTTAAGATATGGGGGTTAGCCTGGTGCAGTGGCTCAGGCCTGTAATCCCAGCACTTTGGTAGGCTGAGGCGGGCAGATTACAAGGTCAGGAGATAGAGACCGTCCTGGCTAACATGGTGAAACCCCGTCTCTACTAAAAATACAAAAAATTAGCCGGGCATGGTGGCGGGTGCCTGTAGTCCCAGCTACTCGGGAGGCTGAGGCAGGAGAATGGCGAGAACCTGGGAGGCGGAGCTGGCAGTGAGCCGGGATTGTGCCACTGCATTCCAGCCTGGACGACAGAGCGAGACTCCATCTCAAAAAAAAAAAAAAAAAAAAAGAAGATATTGGGGTTGGGGTTGGAGTTGGATAAAAGGATCAAGTAGGAAATACCAGTCTAAAAGAACACTGAGGTCAAGAAAAGTATTTTGGGAGCTAGAAGTTTATATTAAGCATTTTAAGGAGTGGCTGGAAAGTCATGTGTCTCATGTTACTTCTTGTTCCTTGCCCTGGCAGCAAGTTAAAAGGAGCAAACCTCTGTCTGCATGAAAGAGTTTGAAGAAAGAGCAAATCACCTCTCCACTAAATTTACTATTTGGTTTACTTTTCAGTAATTCAGTTGCAAAGTAACTTTAACCAACTTAAATACAAGTATAAAAGTATGAAAGTTATTCTAAGTCATATACTTAAAACCAATTCCCACTCCATACCCCAAATCCAAACCATTAAAACTTAAGACTCCACTTAAACCAGATATATGTTATTAATAAGGTCTTATATAAAAGTGAAAAATCACAAAGTTAATGATACATTCTGGGGAACCACGACTAGCTCAGTTCTTGAATGGAATTGGCTATTTTTCGCATTGTCTCATAAACTTCTATGTCTACCCCCTTTTTTTCCTTTTTCTTTCTTTCTTTCTTTTTTTTTTTTTTTTTTTGAGACAGGGTCTGGCTCTGCAACCTCTGCCTCCTGGGCTCAAGCCATCCTCCCACCTTAGCTTCTCAAGTAGCTGGGGCTACAGGTGTGTGCCACCATGCCCAGCTAATTTTTGACAGGTTCTCATCATGTCGCCCAGGCTGGTCTCGAACTCCTGGGCTCAAGCAATCCACCTGCCTTAGCTGCCCAAAGTGCCAGGATTACAGATGTGAACCGCTGGACCTGGCCTATGTCTGCCCTTAATGGTAAACAGTAGTACCAACTACCTATATGCTTACAATGTGCCCAGCACTGTACTAAGCATTTTATGTTCATTAGTTCATATAACATCCTAATAAAAGTAACCCATAGGGCAGATATTTTCTTGATTTTACAGATGGGAAAACTATTAAATAGCAAACCAGAAGTCAAGCACTTTAGAGGATGACTCTAACACTACCCCTAGCTACATATATTTCTCCTCCTAGAATGTCCTTCCCACTCCTCTTTGCCCACCCACATTTTGTGAAGGCCCAGCTTAAATCCTAGTAAGTTCTCTAGTAAGTGCTCCTACTGCCTACATTGACCTCTCTCATCTCAGAATTCTTAAAGCATTTACTTATTGAACTCAGAAGAACATCATTAGTAAAATACAGAGTAATAGAGATTTCACAACCTAATCAGAGTTAAAAACGTATTGAGTGCTTAGTCTGTATGAGGAATTGTTCTAAGAATTATATATGGATTAACCAATTTCATTCTCATAACAAATCTATGAGGTCAGTAGTGAGTACTGTTATTTCCATTTTTAAATGTGCAAAATGAAGCAGAGATAGGTTAACTAACTTTCCCAAGGGCAAAGATTAGGAAATTTTCTCAGGTTGGTGAAGATCTAGGAATTGAGGATTAAAGAAATTAATATGTGGAAAGCCTATAGAACAGTATCTGGTACATAGAGTGTTAGCTATTATTACTATTTTACTCTACACCCTCCCTGAAAACATCTCTGACTCCATCCAATTGAGTCATCTGCACAGGAAGAAAATGAAGCATCTTCGATGAGCCAGATGCTGGGTTTGACAGTTTCATGACCGTCATTTCATTTATTAATTCAACAAATATTTATCGAGCACCTACCACCACCTGGTACTATTCAAGGCATTGAGATTCCAGCTGTAAAACAAAAAACAAAGTGGTTCTTCACAATAATCCCATAAAGGAGGTTCATGAGTTCCATTACTACAAATGACAAAACTGAGGTTCACACAGCTCACCAGTTGGAGGGTTGGGGTTTAAATATAAATCAATTAAAAGTTTCAGATCTTTCTCTCACAGGATATAATGTTACTTCTGCCTGATCCACCTGATAGAACCATTCTCCCCAATGAAACATAATGCATTTGGAAATTAGGAAGCTGTTGTTTCCCTTTCTCATATATAGGTTAGAATTCCCAATAATATCACCATCATCCCCAGATAGTATTTACAGAGTACATGCATGCATTATTATTGTTGAGGCTGCTTTCCCCACCCCTCCCAATGCCTTCTAGCAAATGCTCAGTGGAAAAGAAGAGCTGCTCTAGCTGAGATTGGGGTTGGGATGGGAGTGGATGGGCCTTGAGCACTGGTTGCTCTGCCTTCTTCTAAAGTCTCTAAGGTGCCTGGCTTCCACTGCAGGCACCCGCTTCTGGACAAGGGGAATGTGATGGCACCCTGAAGCTTGAAGACACCAGGAACTGCAAAACCCCAAAGAGGGTGTCACAGCCCTGGCTCAGGGAGCCCCTAGGTCTGGGCTTCACAAGGGACCACAGCTCTTCCCTCCTTCTCATTCCCCGCAATGTGGCAAGCAGGGGATGCATGTTTCAGCCCTGTTTGTGTTACATTTCTTTTAGACCAGCCATTCAGCAGGTCCTGAGTTCTTGTCCCACATCCAAGAAGAATGAGGTAGGCAGACACCTGGAGGGTGAGCAAAGTGGAGAGGAGCTTCATTGAGTGATAGAACAGTTCTCAGGAGACTCAAAGTGGGTAGCTCCTTTCCACAGGAAGGTTGTCCCAATGAGTGTCCAGCTCTCAGTGGAGAAGAGACCTGGAGTGGGTAGCTCCTATCCACAGGCAGGTCACCCCAACATCTGTGCAGCCCTCAGCAGACAGGAGACCCAGAGTGGATGGCTCTTATCACAGGCAGGTCATCCCAACATCTGTGTAGCCCTCAGTGGAGAGGAGACCCTGAGTGGGTGGCTCTTATCCACAGGCAGGTAATCCCAACATCTGTGCAGCACTTAGCAGAGAGGAGACCCTGAGTGGGTGGCTTTTACCCACAGGCAGGTCATCCCAACATCTGTGCAGCCCTCAGGGGAGAGGAGACCCTGAGTGGGTGGCTCTTATCCACAGGCAGGTAATCCCAACATCTGTGCAGCACTTAGCAGGGAGGAGACCCTGAGTGGGTGGCTTTTACCCACAGGCAGGTCATCCCAACATCTGTGCAGCCCTCAGGGGAGAGGAGACCCAAGTGGGTGGCTCCTATCCACAGACAGGTCATCCAGACAGACCTGGAGTGAGTGGCTGTTATCTGCAGGCAGGTCATCCCACCCTCTCTGCAGCCCTCAGCAAAGAGGAGACAGAGTGAGAGGCCCCAGAGTGAGTAGCTCCTATCTGCAGGCAGGTTGTCTCCTTGTCTCTGCAGCCCTCAGTGAAGAGGAGGCCCAGAGTGGATGGCTCCATCCGCAGGCAGGTCGTCCCCTAGTCTGCCAGGGTCTGGCTTGGGGGTTGGGGGTGGGCTTCAGAGGGGAGGAAGTGTGTGCTGACTGGTCCATGGGCAGCAATGGGCGGACCTGGAAAAAGCACCATAAGTTCTCACTCCCGGCGGAACTGGCAGCTCAGCCCCCAGGCTTCAGGCCGTTTCTGGCCTAAGGGGGGTTTCACCGAGGACCCACCGCTTTCTTTTTTTTTTTATTATTATACTTTAAGTTTTAGGGTACATGTGCACAATGTGCAGATTAGTTACATATGTATACACATACCATGCTGGTGCACTGCACCCACTAACTCGTCATCTAGCATTAGGTATATCTCCCAATGCTATCCCTCCTCCCTCCCCCCACTCACAACAGTCCCCAGAGTGTGATGTTCCCCTTCCTGTGTCCATGTGTTCTCATTATTCAATTCCCACCTATAAGTGAGAATATGCGGTGTTTGGTTTTTTGTTCTTGCGATAGTTTACTGAGAATGATGATTTCCAATTTCATCCATGTCCCTACAAAGGACATGAACTCATCATTTTTTATGGCTGCATAGTATTCCATGGTGTATATGTGCCACATTTTCTTAATCCAGTCTATCATTGTTGGACATTTGGGTTGGTTCCAAGTCTTTGCTATTGTGAATACTGCCGCAATAAACATACGTGTGCATGTGTCTTTATAGCAGCATGATTTATAGTCCTTTGGGTATATACCCAGTAATGGGATGGCTGGGTCAAATGGTATTTCTAGTTCTAGATCCCTGAGGAATCCCACACTGACTTCCACAATGGTTGAACTAGTTTACTGTCCCACCAACAGTGTAAAAGTGTTCCTATTTCTCCACATCCTCTCCAGCACCTGTTGTTTCCTGACTTTTTAATGATTGCCATTCTAACTGGTGTGAGATGGTATCTCACTGTGGTTTTGATTTGCATTTCTCTGATGGCCAGTGATGGTGAGCATTTTTTCATGTGTTTTTTGGCTGCATAAATGTCTTCTTTTGCGAAGTGTCTGTTCATGTCCTTTGCCTGCTTTTTGATGGGGTTGTTTGTTTTTTTCTTGTAAATTTGTTTGAGTTCATTGTAGATTCTGGATATTAGCCCTTTGTCAGATGAGTAGGTTGCAACAATTTTCTCCCATTTTGTAGGTTGCCTGTTCACTCTGATGGCAGTTTCCTTTGCTGTGCAGAAGCTCTTTAGTTTAATTAGATCCCATTTGTCAATTTTGGCTTTTGTTGCCATTGCTTTTGGTGTTTTAGACATGAAGTCCTTACCCATGCCTATGTCCTGAATGGTAATGCCTAGGTTTTCTTCTAGGGTTTTTATGGTTTTAGGTCTAACGTTTAAGTCTTTAATCCATCTTGAATTGATCTTTGTATAAGGTGTAAGGAAGGGATCCAGTTTCAGCTTTCTACATATGGCTAGCCAGTTTTCCCAGCACCATTTATTAAATAGGGAATCCTTTCCCCATTGCTTGTTTTTCTCAGGTCTGTCAAAGATCAGATAGTTGTACATATGCGGTGTTATTTCTGAGGGCTCTCAATAGATGCAGAAAAGGCCTTTGACAAAATTCAACAACGCTTCATGCTAAAAACTCTCAATAAATTAGGTATTGATGGGACATATCTCAAAATAATAAGAGCTATCTATGACAAACCCACAGCCAATATCATACTGAATGGGCAAAAACTGGAAGCATTCCCTTTGAAAACTGGCACAAGACAGGGATGCCCTCTCTCACCACTCCTATTCAACATAGTGTTGGAAGTTCTGGCCAGGGCAATTAAGCAGGAGAAGAAAATAAAGGGTATTCAGTTAGGAAAAGAGGAAGTCAAATTGTCCCTGTTTGCAGACGACATGATTGTATATCTAGAAAACCCCATTGTCTCAGCCCAAAATCTCCTTAAGCTGATAAGCAACTTCAGCAAAGTCTCAGGATACAAAATCAATGTACAAAAATCACAAGCATTCTTATACACCAACAACAGACAAACAGAGAGCCAAATCATGAGTGAACTCCCATTCACAATTGCTTCAAAGAGAATAAAATACCTAGGAATCCAACTTACAAGGGATGTGAAGGACCTCTTCAAGGAGTTCTACAAACCACTGCTCAAGGAAATAAAAGAGAATACAAACAAATGGAAGAACATTTCATGTTCATGGGTAGGAAGAATCAATATCATGAAAACGGCCATACTGCCCAAGGTAATTTACAGATTCAATGCCATCCCCATCAAGCTACCAATGACTTTCTTCACAGAATTGGAAAAAACTAAAGTTCATATGCAACCAAAAAAGAGCCTGCATCGCCAAGTCAGTCCTAAGCCAAAAGAACAAAGCTGGAGGCATCACGCTACCTGACTTCAAACTATACTACAAGGTTACAGTAACCAAAACAGCATGGTACTGGTACCAAAACAGAGATATAGATCAATGGAACAGAACAGGACCCACTGCTTTCTGCCTAGGAACCTGTCTGCCCCCTACCGCCATCAACCTGCTGTCCACGAGCCCACAGTGCCCAGGCTGTTCATGTCGAGGTGGGCCTGCAGGCCTGTGCCGAGCTGCCCTCACCACCCCTCGGCCTCCCTCCCATGCTTCTCGGTGCCCAAAGTCCGGAGGGGGCTGAGGTGGCAAGGGCTGGTGAGTCAGCACTGCCCTGAGTGCGTGCACACCCAGCTGGGTCACAACAGTGCCTGGGTTTAGCCTCAACTTTGCTCCAAAATCAGAGCGGGCACTGGGAGCAGGGAGAGGCCTGGCAGTTGGAGCAGACACTTCCGATCCTGCGAGGGGAGGTGGGCTTCCTGGGTCTCCGAGAGTGAAGGGATGCCCGGGTCTGCAGCTGTGGCTGGGCAGCTGCAGTGCGCCCGGGAGGTTGGGGCTCCTGCCCCTCTAACTCGGAAGGGGGTGAGGCTCCTACCTGTTCCCAGCTCCCGCTGGCTCTGTGGAGTGCGTAGCCTAGGCCGTGCCTCCCCAGCCGCTGCCATGATGCCACTACTATCATTAAGGTGATCTTGAAACTAGCATCCAAGGTCACACTACAAGTGCTCGGAAAATATCTGTTGATTTCTGATTCCTAGATGGCTTTTGCCCACTAGCCCATTAAGGACCTTCATGTCTGTAATGTCAAAAATTATAGACATAGCGTGTGTCTATAATGTTTAAGTTCAGTTTTGGGATTCAAGTGCAGGTGAGACAAATGCTCTCTTTTATGAACTCAGCTTCTCCAGTGTAAACTGAAAAGGAAGCCAGGCAGTGTTGTATTACTGAACTAGTTTGGGGCACACAAATATCCTTGTCAGTTTCAGAAGGGTCAGTGGAGTATTCTGTTCACTGAAAATTTTCATACATTGCAAGGAGATGAAATGCACTGAGAATAAAATGAAATGTCATCCATAGTGAAATGAAATGTCTGGGAAAGGGAAAAGGAGACAGACAAGGATGATAGAGTTGACAGTCATGGGCAGACAGCCGTTTAGCATAAGTTAATTTACCAGCCAGCTCAGTCCAAAAGGATGCTTATATCTGGCTTACTCTATGATATATTAGACTGACACGATGGTAGGAGGAGAGGAGGTATAAAGGGCTATTTCCAAGGACATAATATATTTTGTGCATGAAGTGCAAAAGCACACGAAGGTCCAAGAAGAAACTGATAAGTATTTTTCATCTTTTTCTGACTCATGCCACCCTTGTGTCTATGCCAGCTCCTTTTCTGGAAGGCAAGACCCAACCAGTTTTGATGTACCAAATTAAACTATGTGTCATGCAGGTGGATAAGATATTTCATTTGGCATCAGCCAGAGATATGCATATATCTGCTTTCATATATGTAAGTATATGGCTTTTTCATGAGAGTCAGCTAGAAAGCAAGTCAGCCATATTATGTACATATCTCTTAAAATATGACTTTTACTGGATATTGGTAAATAAGGCCTCTGGTTGTAATTCAAACAACATTTAAAATGCAAAAATGAATAAGACCTTGGTTTCTAGATGCTTGAAATATTCAGAAAGACTAAAAGACCACTTGATTCAGCTTTTCTAGTTATGAGCAGCTGACAAAACAGTTCCTATTAAGGTGCCAGAAACTTTTGCCTTTTCTCCCTAAGAATACAGAAAGGGACACCCAGAAGCAATTGCACAAAAGAGTCATCAAGGAAATGAAGACAAAACACAGTTAGATTGTAAGCAATGCTTGGAACACCTTGGACAGAGTAGTTATTGTCAGGCCTCTGAGCCCAGGCCAGGCCATCGCATCCCCTGTGACTTGCACGTATACATCCAAATGGCCTGAAGTAACTGAAGATCCACAAAAGAAGTAAAAACAGCCTTAACTGATGACATTCCACCATTGTGATTTGTTCCTGCCCAACCCTAACTGATCAATGTACTTTGTAATCTCCCCCACCCTTAAGAAGGTTCTTTGTAATTCTCCCCACTCTTGAGAATGTACTTTGTGAGATCCACCCCTGCCCACCAGAGAACAACCCCCTTTGACTGTAATTTTCCTTTACCTTCCCAAATCCTATAAAATGGCCCCACCCCCATCTCCCTTCGCTGACTCTCTTTTCGGACTCAGCCCACCTGCACCCAGGTGAAATAAACAGCCATGTTGCTCACACAAATCCTGTTTGGTGGTCTCTTCACACGGATGCGCATGAAATTTGTTGCTGTGACTCGGATCGGGGGACCTCCCTTAGGAGATCAATCCCCTGTCCTCCTGCTCTTTGCTCCATGAGAAAGATCCACCTACGACCTCCAGTCCTCAGAACGACCAGCCCAAGAAACCTCTCACCAATTTCAAATCCGGTAAGCGGCCTCTTTTTACTCTCTTCTCCAACCTCCCTCACTATCCCTCAACCTCTTTCTCCTTTCAATCTTGGTGCCACACTTCAATCTCTCCCTTCTCCTAATTTCAATTCCTCTCATTTTCTGGTAGAGACAAAAGAGACATGTTTTATCCGTGAACCCAAAACTCCGGCGCCAGTCACAGACTGGGAAGGCAGCCTTCCCTTGGTGTTTAATTATTGCAGGGATGCCTCTCTGATTATACACCCACGTTTCAAGGGTGTCAGACCACGCAGGGACGCCTGCCTTGGTCCTTCACCCTTAGCGGCAAGTCCCGCTTTTCTGGGGAAGGGGCAAGTACCCCAACCCCTTCTCTCCTTGTCTCTACCCCTTCTCTGCTTTCCTGGGGCAGGGGCAAGTAATCCTCAACCCCTTCTCCTTCACCCTCAGTGGCAAGTCCCGCTTTCCTGGGGCAGGAGCAAGTACCCCTCAACCCCTTCTCCTTCACCCTCAGTGGCAAGTCCCGCTTTCCTGGGGCAGGGGCAAGTACCCCTCAACCCCTTCTCCTTCACCCTTAGCAGCAAGTCCCGCTTTTCCTAGGGGGCAAGAACCCCCCAATCGCTTATTTCCACGCCCCAATCTCTTATCTCTGTGCCCCAATCCCTTATTTCCGTGCCCCAACCCTTTCTCTGCTTTTCTGGAGGGGAAGAAACCCCCACCCCTTCTCCGTGTCTCTACTCTTTTCTCTGGGCTTGCCTCCTTCACTATGGGCAAGCTTCCACCTTCCATTCCTCTTTCTTCTCCCTTAGCCTGTATTCTTAAGAACTTAAAACCTCTTCAATTCTCACCTGACCTAAAATCTAAGCGTTTTTCTTCTGCAATGCCGCTTGACCCCAATACAAACTCAACAGTAGTTCCAAATAGCCAGAAAACGGCACTTTCAATTTTTCCATCCTACAAGATCTAAATAATTCTTGTCGTAAAATGGGCAGATGGTCTGAGGTGCCTGACGTCCAGGCATTCTTTTACACATCAGTCCCTTCCTAGTCTCTGTGCCCAGTGCAACTCATCCCAAATCTTCCTTCTTTCCCTCCCGCCTGTCCCCTCAGTACCAACCCCAAGCGTCGCTGAGTCTTTCTAATCTTCCTTTTCTACAGACCCATCTGACCTCTCCCCTCCTCGCCAGGCCGAGCTAGGTCCCAATTCTTCCTCAGCCTCCACTC
Source organism: Homo sapiens (assembly GCF_000001405.40). Lineage (NCBI taxonomy): Eukaryota > Metazoa > Chordata > Mammalia > Primates > Hominidae > Homo > Homo sapiens. Next base: position 152,745,358 of record NC_000004.12, on the reverse strand, counting down.
CTCCACCCTATAATCTTTTTATCGCCTCCCCTCCTCACACCTGCTCCGGCTTACAGTTTCCTTCCGTGACTTAGCCCTCCCCCACCTGCCCAGCAATTTATTCTTAAAAAGGTGGCTGGAGCTAAAGGCATAGTCAAGGTTAATGCTCCTTTTTCTTTATCCCAAATCAGATAGCGTTTAGGCTCTTTTTCATCAAATATAAAAACCCAGCCCAGTTCATGGCTCGTTTGGCAGCAACCCTGAGACACTTTACAGCCCTAGACCCTAAAAGGTCAAAAGGCCGTCTTATTCTCAAAATACATTTTATTACCCAATCTGCTCCCGACATTAAAACTCCAAAAATTAAATTCTGGCCCTCAAACCCCACAACAGGAATTAATCAACCTCGCCTTCAAGGTGTACAATAATAGAAAGCAGCCAGACGGCAACGCATTTCTGAGTTACAATTACTTGCCTCTGCTGTGAGACAAAACCCAGCCACACCTCCTGCATACAAGAACTTCAAAATGCCTAAGCTGCAGCAGTCAAGCATTCCTACAAGACTTCCTCCATCAGGATCCTGCTTCAAGTGCCAGAAATCTGGCCACTGGGCCAAGGAATGCCTGCAGCCCAGGATCCCTCCCAAGCCATGTCCCATCTGTGCAGGGACCCACTGGAAATCAGACTGCCCAGCTTGCCCAGCAGCCACTCCTAGAGCCCCTAAAGCTCTAGCCCAAGGCTCTCTGACTGACTCCTTCCCAGATCTGCTTGGCTTAGCGACTGAAGATTGACGCTGCCCGATCGCCTCGGAAGCCCCCTGGACCATCACGGACACCGAGCTTCAGGTAACTCTCACAGTGGAGGGTAAGTCCATCCCCTGTTTGATCGATACGAGGGCTACCCACTCCACATTGCCTTCTTTTCAAGGGCCTGTTTCCCTTGCCCCCATAACTTTTGTGGGTATTGATGGCCAAGCTTCAAAACCCCTGAAAACTCCTCAACTCTGGTGCCAACTTAGACAATACTCTTTTAAGCACTCCTTTTTAGTTATCCCCACCTGCCCAGTTCCCTTATTAGGCTGAGACACTTTAACTAAATTATCTGCTTCCCTGACTATCCCGGACTACAGCTATATTTCATTGCTGCCCTTCTTCCCAATCCAAAGCCTCCTTTGCGTCCTCCTCTTGTATCCCCCCACCTTAACCCACAAGTATAAGATACCTCTACTCCCTCCTTGGCGACCGATCATGCATCCCTTACCATCTCATTAAAACCTAATCACCCTTACCCCACTCAATGCCAATATCCCATCCCGCAGTACGCTTTAAAAAGATTAAAGTCTGTTATCACTTGCCTGCTACAGCATGGCCTTTTAAAGCCTATAAACTCTCCTTACAATTCCCCCATTTCACCTGTCCTAAAACCAGACAAGCCTTACAAGTTAGTTCAGGATCTGCACCTTATCAACCAAATTGTTTTGCCTATCCACCCCGTGGTGCCAAACCCATATACTCTCCTATCCTCAATACCTGCCTCTATAACCCATTATTCTGTTCTAGATCTCAAACATGCTTTCTTTACTATTCCTTTGCACCCTTAATCCCAGCCTCTCTTCACCTTCACTTGGACTGACCCTGACACCCATCAAGCTCAGCAAATTACCTAGGCTGTACTGCCACAAAGCTTCACAGACAGCCCCCATTACTTCAATCAAGCCCAAATTTCTTCCTCATCTGTTACCTATCTCGGCATAATCTCATAAAAACACACGTGCTCTCCCTGCCAATCGTGTCCAACTGATCTCTCAAACCCCAGCACCTTCTACAAAACAACAACTCCTTTCCTTCCTAGGCATGGTTAGCGTGGTCAGAATTCTTACACGAGAGCCAGGACCACACCCTGTAGCCTTTCTGTCCAAACAACTTGACCTTACTGTTTTAGCCTAGCCCTCATGTCTGCGTGCAGCGGCTGCCACTGCCTTAATACTTTTAGAGGCCCTAAAAATCACAAACTATGCTCAACTCACTCTCTACATTTCTCGTAACTTCCAAAATCTATTTTCTTCCTCATACCTGACGCATATACTTTCTGCTCCCCGGCTCCTTCAGCTGTACTCACTCTTTCAGTCCCACAATTACCATTGTTCCTGGCCCGGACTTCAATCTGGCCTCCCACATTATTCCTCATACCACACCTGACCCCCATGACTGTATCTCTCTGATCCACCTGACATTCACCCCATTTCCCCAAATTTCCTTCTTTCCTGTTCCTCACCCTGATCACGCTTGATTTATTGATGGCAGTTCCACCAGGCCTAATCGCCACACACCAGCAAAGGCAGGCTATGCTATAGTACAAGCCACTAGCCTGCCTCTCAGAACCTCTCATTTCCTTTCCATCGTGGAAATCTATCCTCAAGGAAATAACTTCTCAGTGTTCCATCTGCTATTCTACTACTCCTCAGGGATTATTCAGGCCCCCTCCCTTCCCTACACATCAAGCTTGAGGATTTGCCCCCACCCAGGACTGGCAAATTAGCTTTACTCAACATGCCCGAGTCAGGAAACTAAAATACCTCTTAGTCCAAATAGACACTTTCACTGAATAAGTAAAGGCCTTTCCTACAGGGTCTGAGAAGGCCACCGCAGTCATTTCTTTCCTTCTGTCAGACATAATTCCTCAGTTTAGCCTTCCCACCTCTATACAGTCTGATAACAGACCAGCCTTTATTAGTCAAATCAGCCAAGCAGTTTTTCAGGCTCTTAGTAGGTTTCAGCGAAACCTTTATATCCTTTACGGTCCTCCATCTTCAAGAAAAATAGAACGGACTAAAGGTCTTTTAAAAACACAGCTCACCAAGCTCAGCCACCAACTTAAAAAGGACTGGACAATACTTTTACCACTTTCGCTTCTACAAGGTACAGCCCATTTAAGCTCCTGTATACATGCTCCTTTTTATTAGGCCCCAGTCTCATTTGACACCAGACCAACTTAGACTGTGCCCCCAAAAAACTTGTCATCCCTACTATCTTTTATCTAGTCATACTCCTATTCACCGTTCTCAACTACTCATATACGCCCTGCTCTTGTTTACACTGCCGGTTTACGCTGTTTCTCCAAGCCATCACAGCTGATATCTCCTGGTGCTATCCCCAAACTGCCACTCTAAACTCTTGAAGTAAATAAATAATCTTTGCTGGCAGGACTATGCTGAATCTCCTTAGGCACTCTCTAATCAGATGTCCTAGGTCCTCCCAATTCTTAGACCTTTTATACCTGTTTTTCTCCTTCTCTTATTCCATTTAGTTCCTCAATTCATCCAAAACCGTATCCAGGCCATCACCAATCATTCTATATGACAAATGTTTCTTCTAACATCCCCACAATATCACCCCTCACCACAAGACCTCCCTTCAGCTTAATCTCTCCCACTCTAGGTTCCCACGCCGCCTCTAATCCCGCTTGAAGCAGCCCTGAGAAACATCGCCCATTCTCTCTCCATACCACCCCCCCAAAATTTTTGCCACTCCAACACTTCAACACTATTTTGTTTTATTTGTCTTATTAATATAAGAAGGCAGGAATGTCAGGCCTCTGAGCCCAGGCCAGGCCATCGCATCCCCTGTGACTTGCACGTATACATCCAGATGGCCTGAAGTAACTGAAGATCCACAAAAGAAGTAAAAACAGCCTTAACTGATGACATTCCACCATTGTGATTTGTTCCTGCCCCACCCTAACTGATCAATGTACTTTGTAATCTCCCCCACCCTTAAGAAGGTTCTTTGTAATTCTCCCCACTCTTGAGAATGTACTTTGTGAGATCCACCCCTGCCCACCAGAGAACAACCCCCTTTGACTGTAATTTTCCATTACCTTCCCAAATCCTATAAAATGGCCCCACCCCTATCTCCCTTCGCTGACTCTCTTTTCGGACTCAGCCCACCTGCACCCAGGTGAAATAAACAGCCATGTTGCTCACACAAAGCCTGTTTGGTGGTCTCTTCACACGGACGCGCATGAAAGTTATTCAATTGCTTTTTTTTTTTTTTTTTTTTTTTTTTTAGACAGGGTCTCACTGTTTGACTCAGGCTAGAGTGCGGTGACACAATCACGGCTCACTGAGGCCTCGACCTCCCAGGCTCAAGCCATCCCCCTGCCTCAGCCTCCCAAGTGCCTGGGACCACAGATGCGTGCCACCAAGCCAGGCTAATTTTTGTATTTTGTGTAGAGACAGGATTTTGCCATGTTGCCCAAGCTGGTCTCAAACTGTGGACTCAAGTGATCGGCCCACCTCAGCCTTCCAAAGTGCCGGGATTACAGGCGTTAGCCACTGCACCCAGCCTCGATTGCTTTAAATGAGAGGGTAGAGAGTTTCCATATGAAGGAAGACCAAGGTCTTTTGACACTTAAGGAGATTGTAATTATCCGGTGACGCTGCTCTCACTACCATTTTTGTTAAATGGTAGTCAATCAGAGTAAAGGCCCATAAAAGAGAAAAAACAATGTTCTGGGCAGAGCAACTATGTCCAGCCAGGTTCAGCTTTCCCTCTGCAGTCATTTTTTTACCCCAGACACAGTCTTTCTATTTGCCTGATCTCTAAATGCCTGGTGGAAAGACAGATGGATAGGAGAGGTGAGTGCTACAGTGGGAATATCTTGCCTATTGACAGCTGTCTGCAGGAAAAATAGAAGGAGGTGTAACTTAATTTGAAAAGACTGTGCTCTTGAAATTTTGGATTTAAATATAAAATGGAATCATATTATACATGCACTTTAGGAATTTATTGTGCAAAGGAAATCTAGGGTATACCTTCTCTTAAGTGCAAATCCTGTTACTTTAAATCAAAACAATACAATTATATTTTAACCAATATGTCCTATAAGCTTGACTTTTAAATGGCAGGTTTTCTTATGGAGAAATACCTTTATACTCTGAAATTTATTTCTGTAATAATTCTGTACTCCAAAGCAATAAAAAAGAAATCACTGAAATATAAAATATATTCAGTGAAAATGTTTAAAAAGCATGGAACCAACAAAAGTTGCCCTTTGTATTTTGTAAGGTAAGAATCTATATTTACTATTTCATAAAAGAAATCATACTTTACATGTAAAAAGTAAAAAGGACATAGCATAAAGGATAGTTGGTAATCTGACAACAGAGAGACACAGATGAAATATATTTTTATAAATATATACATAATTTTTGAGTTTAGAAGAGTTACTATATGAAATCCTATTGCATTGTACATAATTGTTAGTTTGATACACATTTATCAGCTTGTGGTTATATATTCAATAGGACACCACAAAGTAGAGCATCAATGTTCAATTTGTTCTCATATCTTTATCATTCATTATGAAACTCAGTTTCTCAAAGGTTTGTTAGCAAAGATGGAAGTAACACTCTTAATGGCATTTCCCTTCATTTGGAATATTCTATGTAAATGAAAGCAAGTTTCCTGATCGCTCTGATGCTGTCCTTATTCCTTACCGGGCCATGAAGAACTTGGCGGGGGCAGATGGTAGAGCCCAGGTGCCTAGAGCAAGCTCTTACTCAGTAGCTCCTCTTAGCTAAGGCTGAGCAACTGAGGCCCTGGGACTTCAATCGAGAGCCCACAGGGATTGTGGAAAAGATGCCTTGGCCTATGAAAGCTTTCCCTCGGACCAGTGCTGTTTCATTGTTTAGCATTTGGGAACCATTTTCCTACAGCATGTAGATAAAGGTCAAGTTTGCTTCTGATTGTCACCAATCATTAGATAGTTGGCTGTAGTAAAGAATAACAAGGTAATCACAAAGAGTAAATCTATTTCCTATGTTATAAATGCATAATCTCTCTTTTTTGTCTATTTTCTGCATGTGTCACACATTATAGTGGGTTGAATAATGTCCCCCACCCAAATTTATGGCCACCCAAAAGCTCAGAATGTGACCTTATGTGGAAATAGGGATGTAATTTTCTTAGCATATGTAATTAATTGTAATTGGTTGAGGAGCTCAGATGAAATCATCATAGATTAAGAGTGGGCCCTAAATCTAATGACTAGTGTCCTTACAATATAGAGGGCACAAAATCACACAGAGAAGACCATGTGAGGGCCAAGGCAGATACTGGAGTTAGGCTGCCCCAAACCAAGGAATGCCAGGAGCCACCAGAAGCTGGAAGAGACAAGAAAGGGTTCTGCCCCAGAACCTTCTTGGGGAGCATGGCCTTGCCAACACCTTGATTTTGGACTTTGGCCTCCAGAACTCTATGAGAATAAGCTTTTGTTGTTTTAAGTCACGAAGTTATGATTAGGAAATTGAGAAATATCTTTCGCTTTTTATGACTCAATTCTTTTTTCTGCTATATCCTTTGCAAGAATGAGGTCATAAAACTATACAAGAGATTCTTTGTGGAATCTCTCTGTTGAATAAGTAACACTTCTCACTTCACAAACTCCTTTGTGTTGGTCGTATTTCATGATCTTGACTCTCAACTGTTTTTGTTTCTGTTTGTCCCCTTCCTGTGCCCCTAGAAGCACTAGCAGGAGTGTTTTGCAGATGGAGGGGTGCCTTGTCTGCTGTCGTCTTTCCATGTAACACTGAGTAGTCTCAGAACTAATTTAGTGGATTTAGATTTGGAAGAATCCATCATGCTCAGGTCTTTTCCAAGACGGTCAGGTTTCTTGCATTCATCTTCTTACATCAGTGCTCAGGCATTTGCCATTGATATTTATAACTGCTGGCCCATTTCAGAGACTCTCTTTTTTACCAAGACAATGTCCTCTTATTTGGCAGCTCCTCCCTGGCCCCTGCATATCTGCTCTGGTGCCTTAGTAATAATCCTCTACTAAATTCAAGGCTGAAAGCAGACTCCCACGGCCTTTTTCTAAACAGCTCACATCATAATCTAATCAGTCCAGAAAGTTCAGAAACATTTATTGTGCACCAGGTAAGGGCCTGACACTGTATCAGGGGTTCTTGTATGTGTATCATCATGTATACACCAAACAGGAAAGAGAGAAACTCCTTAGTCTTCATTTCCAGCCCTCTGGCTCTCCCCAAATACTGGTCTTCTTTCTCCTAAGTCCCCCCAGGGTACCACTGCACCATAGGCAGGGTTGTTACTTTGCTCTAACACCTAGAGTTTCTCCTGCTAATGTGTGAATGAAGGGAAAGATACTTTCTCTGCTGTTCCTGAACCCTATTTTTGCCTTTTGGGTAATAATGCAGAGGGGAAGGGTAAAACCGACTGTGCAGCAGATACCTCTTAAAGGCTCCTGTCCTGGGCTACCCTCTGTTCCCAAGCACCTGACCTACTGCAGAGCATCTCCTCCTCTCTGTCCCCCATGCCAATTTCCAAAGGGAGCCTGCCAAAGGGCTGAGTGCAATCATCACCGAGCAGGGACCCCACAAGTTGCTGGACTATGGGGAGATCTGAAGGTTTCACAGGGGAGAGGCCCATGGAGGGCTTGGGGCAGCAACTAATACCAATTTGTACAGAAATACTGAACATTTTAAGAACTAATATGGCCATGCTAATGGATGCTAACCGTATCAGCCCTGCCTCACTGTGTGATCAAGACGGAATGACTTAACCTCACTGGGACTCAATTTCCATGTGCGTTCAAGGGATCGTATTTGTCTTACGTATCTTACAGCCATTATACTGGATCATTGTCTGTGATGAATACTTACTGCTTAATAATTTAAATGCAGAATTTACATGGCTTTTACTTAAACTTTACCTTTATATTTACCAAGACTCTCTGTATGACCTTGGGCCAATTATTTAACTTAACTGGATTTGTTTCCAAATCTGTGAAGTGGGAGGTAACAATAACACCCAGCTCAGAGAGTTGTAAAGATTCCGCAAGTGAATACAGGTGGGATGGTGGGAAGAGTGCCTGGCTTCATAATAATTAGGTGGCACTGAGTTGGCAGCTCCCTAAGTCCTATAAGTGGAAGGAGGGTCTCTGGGCTCCAGTTTTGAAAATGAAAGCCGTATGGGTGACTGGAAAGGGAGGCTGTACTTTTGTTTGCTGAATATTTATATTTCCAGATGCTGATAGTTACCAAAGACAAACAGAAAGGCAAAAAGGATTATTTTTTGACACTTACATGTCTTCTAAAAATTTCCCTTTGACTTTCTCAGTCATCATATACCTTGCTCCCTCTTTTTAACAATCTTGTTAATTTTTTCCACTATTTCCTTATATGAACTTGGGCAAATCACTTAATTTCTCTGAGCCTCACTTTCACTTCTGTAAAACAGGGACAAATATGTGAGAATCAAGCAAGATAAGGAATATGGAACTCCTTTGAAAATTAGAGGCATTGCATTGCTTTTATGAATGAAGACATTTTTATGGTTTACTAATTACATCAGCACAAACTTCTCTTTAGGATTGGAAATGCTTCCCTAAGGGTCATTAAAATCACAAGATAAATAACAAAACCTGTGGAGATATTCAAAGGGAAGGAGGACTATGTATCTTGAAAGTGGATAGAGCAGAAACCTGGAGAGACTTAATGGTGTTCACATATAGAAAAGGTTAGAGAGGATTATGTCCAGCTGTTTTCCATCTTCATTGATGACAGGATAAAAGAAAATGGGCATCAACAGGAGGGATTTAGCTAGACATGAAGAATTTCTCTGCTGTTGCAGATTTTAAAAAATTGAAATGTACTGCTTGGTCTGCATGAGGTTTCTACTCTGAAAATCCGCAGATTTGATGTGTAGTAAGGACACGAGAATTAGCACACCGGGTCAGATCAGGGGATTTGCCTGAAAACATCACAGATGTTCCCAAACTGCCATGTCCACATCCACACTTTTCTAGAACAAATTTATATTTTTAGCCTTTGCCAGTTTAATGACTTATGTGCTTTCTGCATATAAATTAGCATTCCTATTTATTAGTTAAGGGCTGTTGCATTGAGGTTAGAAGCACACACTTAGGAGTCAAAAAGCCTGAGTTCCAATCCTGATTTTGCCCCTTGGAGCTGTCTCAGCTTAGCAATTTTTTTATTTTTATGTTTTTCACCCTCTGTTGCCCAGGCTGAAGGGCAGTGGTATGAGCTCAGCTCACTGCAACCTCAACCTCCTGAACTCAAGTGATCCTCCCAGCTCAGCCTCTCGAGTAGCTGGTACTACAGATGTGCATCACTGCATGCAGCTTATTTTGTTTATTTTCTGTAGAGATGAGGTCTCTCTATGTTGCCCAGGCTGGTGTCAAATGTCTTGACTCAAGCAATTCCCCCACCTCAGCCTTCCAAAGTGCTGGGATTACAGGTGTGAGACATAGCATCTGGCACCTCGGCTGAGTAATTGAGTGCTATACCTTGTTTCCTTATCTCTAAAATGGAGATCATAATGGTTCTTACCTTATGGGTGGTTGTAAGCATGCCTGCCATGGAGCAAATGCTCAAAAATGGTCGCCAGGATTATGCTAATGCAGCCCCTTCATAGTTTCAAAGAGGTGCCTCTTAGAGCTAGTATGTAAAGATTTGTTATATTACTTCACTGTTTTGTATGTGTCCATTTTCTAGTCTGCAGTTTCTTCTTGTCCCTCCTCCTCCTTGTCCTCTTCTTTCTCCTTTTCTTCAATCCATTCTCACAGGAAAGTACATTTCTCTCCTTGTTTATGCTACTTGCCATTCTCTGAACTCTCTTCAGGTCCATTACATCTTTCTTGAAGGGAAGTGACCTGGAATTGTTCAAGTGTGATCCTCCCTAAAGGCAGAGAGATGGACTGAATAATTTATGAAGATACCTTCTGGCAATATCAATCTATGCAATGACTTTCAGGTTAAGGGAATTTTCGTTTCCAAACTACCTCATCAGTTAGCAGATATCTCCTTATAACACTAGGGGTCACTATTAAAGCAATATTTCAAAAGCATTAGCCTTCAACCTGCAATAAAATTGAGAAAATCCTTCAGAACACTGCGAGAGAAAAGATATTATACAGGTAGTTTGAGGGCAACAGCTGGGATTTTATCAGGTTCCTAAATTGAAATTCACTTATTTTTATTTTATTTTTTGAGAGGGAGTCTTGCTCTGTTGCCCAGGCTGGAATGTAGTGGTGAGATCTCAGCTCACTGCAACCTCTGCCTCCTGGGTTCAAGCAATTCTCCTGCCTCAGCCTCCCAAGTAGCTGAAATTACAGATGCCCACAACCACACCTGGCTAATTTTTGTATTTTAGTAGAAACGGGGTTTCACCATGTTGGTCAGGCTGGTCTCGAACTCCTGACCTCTAATGATCTGCCTGCCTTGGCCTACCAAAGTGCTGGAATTACAGGCATGAGCCACTGCACCCGGCCTTGAAATTTATTTCTAATCCCTTCTTGTTTCTCACCCCTAGAAAACAATTCCATTTTCCCTGAGGTGGTAAGACCTGGGAAGATCTGGGGGTGAAAAATCTGCTCTGGCTTGGACTGCTGACTTTAAATCCACTTCTCCAGCTCTGACACCTATGCCGAGCCAACTTCCATAGTTCCAAGCACCTTCAACTCATTTCCACGTGGCAGTCCCCGCTGCCTGCAACTTCAACTCCAGACATGTTAAACCAGAATCCACCTCCCAGTCCTTTATTCCCCTCCACTTTCACACCCAAATAGACTCCCTTTCTCAACTTCCTCATTGGTGATTAAGATTCAACCTGCAATTTAAAGGCCCTCATTCACCAAGTCCTTGCTTTTTAAATATATCTGCTTCTGTAAAATTGGAATAACAATAGTGTGCACTTTATAGAGTTGTGGGGATCAAGTAAGGCCTCCATTAGGCAGCCACCAAGAAAGGGCATGGCTCAGTGTAAGATGCCCCTTCAGCCAGACTCCACGCCTCTCCTAGCAACCATCAAGGGGGATCCCCAACCCCTCCAGCTCCTGTCAAGACACCCCACCCCACCCCCAATCCTTCACTATGTACCTTGTGACCATCAGGACTAATTTCATCATGTCCCTTATCCCCACTGATGTCTGTCCCACAAGAAACCCAAGACTCCCAGGTCACCTCTCATCCCTGGGCATCTAATCCCCATCTGACTCTGCCCATCCCCTTTTCTAGCCTCACTCGCCATCCTCCTCATCTCCCGAAACCCTTTCACTTGCAATCGTCAGCAGAATCCTTTCCTTCGTGCTCTCCTCTGAGTGTGTCCTTCCCCTCCCCCTGGAGGAGTAACTGAAACTTGGCTCTGTCCCCTGGTGACACTGCTTCCCTGAAGCCCTCTGCAGTGGTAGCTGGCTTCCCTTCCACAGGACCTGAAGGTTGGGGTAGGGTTCTTCTTGCTTCTCATTGCTGCTTCTAGACCATGCCCCCTGCCTCCTCCATAATTATCTTATCATCAGACCATATCACTTAGTCTCCAGTCATTTATTAATCACTTTTTTATAATTTTAATAACTGACCCACTTTCACTCACCTCAATATTACCTCTGTCTTGGGTCTTAGCAATTTCAAGTTACACACAGATGATCTTTCTAACACCCTGGCCTCTCTAGTGATCTTGTCCTCCATCCAACTCAGCCACTTATACCCATGGTCACACCCTAGGCCAGTGCTGTCCAAAAGAACTTTCTGCAATGATGGATATATTTTACAGCCACTCTGTCCAATAAAATAGCCTCAGTCACACGTTACATAGGGCTACTGAGTGCTTGAAATGTGACTTCTGCAAGTGAGGAACTGAATTTCAAATTTTATTTAATATTTAATGTAAATGTGAAGCATCTATCTGTGTTTGTATTCTTTGTTCACTCCTGTTCCTGTAGAGGAACTTAGCTCCTAGCTTAGGTCAACTCATCACTAGTACCTTAGAGGTCATTCCCTCCTAAAAAAATTCTCCTTCCTTTCTTCATCAGTTTCCCCCTCTCTACCAGGTTATTCCCATCAACCTCCAAGCATGGTGCTATTTCTCCCATCTTAAAAAAATATTTCTTGGCCCCAGCTTCCCATCTGGCTATTGCTATATTCCCCCAATTCCTTCTAGAGCAAAACTCCTTAAAAGAATTGTAGAGGTCAGGCGCAGTGCTGACACCTGTAATCCCAGCACTTTGGGAGGCCTAGATGGGAGGATCACCTGAGCTCAGAAGTTCAGGAACAGCCTGGGCAACACATTGATACCCCTGTATCTACAAAAATAAAAAATAAAAATGAAAATTAGCTAGGCGTGGTGGCACATGCCTGTAATCCCAGCTACTCAGGAGGCTGAGGCAGGAGGATCATTTGAACCCAGGAGTTTCGGCTGCCCTGAGCTATGATTGCACCACTGCACTCCAGCCTGGGCAACAGCGTGAGACCCTACCTCTAAAAAACAATAACAAACACACACAAATAATTGTCTATACTCACTGTACATTCTCACATTGCTACAAAGAAATACCTGAGACTGCGTAATTTATAAAGAAAAGAGGTTTGGCTGGGTATGGTGGCTCATGCCTGTAATCCCAGCACTTTGGGAGGCCAAGGCAGGTGAATCACTTGAGGTCAAGAGTTGGAAACTAGCCTGGCCAACATGGCAAAACCCTGTCTCTACTAAAAATACAAACACTAGCTTGGTGTGGTGGTGCGTGCCTGTAATCCTGGCTACTCAGGAGGCTGAGGCAGGAGAATTGCTTGAACCCAGGAGGCGGAGGTTGCAGTGAGCTGAGATCGCACCACTGCACTCCAGCCCGGCTTCAGAGGCGACAGAGCAAGACTCCGTCTCAAAAAAAAAGAAATAAAAGAGGTTTAATTGGCTCACAGTTCTCCAGGCTGTACAGGAAGCATGATCTTGACATCTGCTCAGTTTCTGGGAGGCCTCAGGAAACTTACAATTAAGGTGGGGGGTGAGGCATCTCACATGGTGGGAGCAGGAGCAAGAGAGAGCAAGGGGGGATATGCTGCACACTTTTAGACAACCAGATCTCTCGAGAACTGACTGTCAGAAGAAAAGCACCAAGGGGCTGGTGTCAAACCATTTATGAGAAATCCACCCCCAGGATCCAAGCACTTCCCACCAGGCCCTACCTCTAATACTGGGGACTACAGTTCAACATGAGATTTGGAGGGATGCAGATCCAAACCATATGATTCACAGACATCAATGTCTTTTCTCCCATTATTTCTTGAATCTCTACTCTGAAACTGCTCTGAACAGGGTACCAGTGACCTCCATATTGCTAAATCCTGTGATTCTTTCCCAATCCTCATCTGAGTTGACCTGTTGCAGCATTTTACACAGTTGTTTGATCATGCTGTCCTCCTTGAAACGCTTTTTTCACTTGGCTTCCGGAATAGCACACTTGCCTAGTTTTCCTCCAACTTTTCTGATGGTTCCATTTTCTCTCCCTCTCTCCCCACCTTTTTTTTTTTTTTTTTTTTTTTGGTTGGACACAGGGTCTTGATCTGTCATCCAGGCTGTAGCACAATGGTGCAGTCTCGGCTCACTGCAGCCTCCATCTCCCAGGCTCAATCAATCCTCCCACATCAGCCTCCTAAGTAGCTGGGACTACAGGCATGTACCACCACACCTGGCTAACTTTTTTGGTATTTTTTTGTAGAGACAGGGTTTTGCCATGTTGCCCAGGCTTGTCTCAAACTCCTGGACTCAAGCAATCCACCCACCTCAGCCTCCCAAAGTACTGGGATTACAGGCGTGAGCCACTGTGCCCAGCCCATTTTCATCTCCTATAATAGTTTCTTATTCCTCAACTCCTCAACTTCTGAACGTTGGAATGTCCAGGGGCCTAGTCCTCAGATCCCTTCTTTTTGTCTATATGCTCACTCCCTATTTGATCTCATCTAGTCTTATAGCTTTAAATATCACCTATCTGCGGATCATTCTCACATTGTTATCTCTAACACAGACCACTCCCCTGAAGTCCAGGCCAGTGTATCCAATTGGCATCTGGACATCTAAAATCTGACAGGTCCTAAACTGAACTCCTGGTATCTCCCTCCCCTCACACATAACTTGCTCTCTCCAGTCTTCCCTACCTCAGTTAAAGGCAACTCCATTTTTCCAGCTGCTCAGCCTAATCCCTTAGACTTATCCCTGTTTCCTCTCTCTCTCTCTTTGATCCATCAGAGATCCCTCAAGTTTTATTGACTCTATATTCAAGTTATAATCAGAAATTGATTGTTTGTCTATTTGTCACCCGCTCCACTGCAGCCATCTTGTTCTGAGCTACCATCATTTTTCTCCAGGAATATAGCACTAGTGGTTTCTCTGATTCTGCTCTTGTCCCTTGCAATCTATCCTCAAAAATCTGCCAGAGTGATCTTGTTAACATGTATGTTCCATCATATTGCTATCCTGCTCAGAATGCTCCAGTGGCTCCCAGCTCACTTGGAGTAAAAGCCAAAGCCTCATTAGGGCCCCCAAGGTTCAAGAAGATTGGGACTCCACTATGTCTTTACCTAATCTCCAACTTCTCCCCTCATTCACTGAAGTCTAGACAAACTGGCCTTCCCACTGTTACTGGAACTTAGCAGGTGTGTTCATGCCTCTAGGCCTTTGCACATGCTGTTCCCTCTGCATGGACTGCTCTTTGCCCAGATATTTTTGTGGCTAGTTCCCTCATTTCCTTCAGGTTTATTCAAATGTCGCCTTTTATTGAGGTCTTGCCTGGCTCTGCTATTTAAAATTTTACACTCCTCCCCAGCACTTTATTTCCCCTTTCCTGTGTTGTTTTTTCTCCTTAGCACTCAATATTATCTAACATGCTACTAAATTTTATTTATTTATCTTGCTTATGGTCTGTTTCCTCAGTGGAATGTAAGCTCCATCATAGTAAGGATTTTTGTTAGTTTTATTTGCTGCTGTATCTTATTGCCTGGATCAGTGTTTGATTTATTCACCTGTTTGTTTTTGGTTTATTTGTTTTGTTTTGTCTTTTAGAGACAGGGTCCCACTCTGTCGCCCAGGCTGGAATGCAGTGGCACGATCTCAGCTCATTGCAGCCTCGACCTCCTGAGCTCAAGTGATCTTCCCATCTCACTCAGTCTTCTGAGTAGCTGGGACCACAAGTGCATGCCACCACACCCAGCTAATTTTTCTATTTTGTGTAGAGATGGGGTTTCGCCATGTTGTCCAGGCTAGTCTCAAACTCCTGGGCTCAAGTGGTTCTCCCACTTAGGCCTCCCAAAGTGCTGGGATTACAGGCATGAGCCACTGCACCTGACCCACCTATTTGTTAAATGAATTAATAAAGGAAAATAATTCATTTAATGTCCTTAGAACAGTGCCTAGCAAGAATAGTAATGGTTTTATTAATCTTACCTGATTTTTAAAAATTGTTATAATTACCATCATCTTCCTCATTGCTACTGGGTTCTCCCCTCTTCCTGTCCCTACAGTAGTTTCCTCACTTGAGGCTCCCATGATCTCTTGCTAGACTATCTCAGTAGTCTCAGAAGTTGTCTTCCAGCCACCGATTTTGCCTCGTTTAGACACACCCACTGCTTCCTGACTTACATTTCTTGAAAACAAATTTGATCCTTTGACATCCCTATCAAAAAGCCTTTCAGTGACTCCCCACTGCTTTTAGGTGAAAGTCCCAGCACTCACATGGCAGGCAGACAAAGCCTTCCACAACCCGGCCCCTGCTCATCTCTCCATTCTTCTCTTCATTCCTTCCTTACACTTAAGACATCCCAACACGCCATGCCCTTTCACAACACTGCATCTTTCTCTGCCAAGAATGCCCTGCCCTCCTTGTCTGCCTCATCAGCTCCTAGTCATCTCTTAAAACCTTCTTTCAGCAAGCACATCCTCCCCTGCAGAACTCATTCCTGCCTCCTTTGTGCTGTCCCTTATGCCTGTGTCTGTTAGGTGCCACATCACAAGTATCATATGTGTTATGTATTTTTTGCCCACTTTCTGAGTCTGATTTTTTTCCTTTTCCTATCTGCCTCTCATACTTGGTGTAAAGTCTTTTTTCAAGACCTAGTATTTCTTTTCTCTTCTTTTTTTTTTTTTTTTTTTTTTTTGAGACAGAGTCTGGCTCTGTTGCCCAGGCTGGAGTGCAGTGGCGCAACCTTGGTTCACCACAACCTCCGCCTCCTAAGTTCAAGCGATTTCAGCGATTCTCCTGCCTCAGCCTCCCGAGTAGTATCTGTGATTCAGGTGCCCACCAACACAGCCGGCTAATTTTTATATTTTTAGTAGAGATGGGGTTTCACCATGTTGGCCAGGCTGGTCTCAAACTCCTAACCTCAAGTGATCTACCTGCCTTGGCCCCACAAAGTGCTAGAATTACAGGTGTGAGCCACTGTGCCCAGCCAAGACCTAGTATTTCTTGAGCTGAGACTGACTCTATGATCTGCCCCAACCATATTTCTTCAATCACATTTGCTCACAGTTTTCTAGGATTTATGCTCCTTAGACTGGAGTGCAGAATAGACCATCGTTTGGTGAGGGAAGGCACCACATTGGTTAGGACTTGCTTCTGTATACCTAGCCTCTAGCTCACAGTAGGAGCTTAGTCGATGTTTGTTGAATGGATGCTTGATAGTTTGCATATGCCCCTGCAGAGTACAAGGCCAATTTGGGTGGAGATACGCGAAGTCACGTGAATAAAGTATATTTTCCTGCAGCATCTGTTATACTTGAAGACTTGAGGGGAAAATATTAAAGAATTTAATATGTAACTCCAATTACATTGTATATCAAAACAAACATCTGTTATGAAGAAGAGTATCAAATTCACAAGCACTTTTAAGACTAAATAGGGCATTTCAAAGAAATTTTGAATTTGTGGCAGGTCCCTCTGGGCTGCTCCTTCCGGTCCCTCAGAGGCATGAGTTCCTTCTCAGGTCCCTCTGGGCTGCTCCTTCAGGTCCCTCAGAAGCATGAGTTCCTTTTCCTCAGGTCCCTCTGGGCTGCTCTGTTGGGTCCCTCAGAGGCATAAGTTCCCTCTCCTCAGGTCCCTCTGGGCTGCTCCTTCAGGTCCCTAAAGGGCATGAGTTCCCTCTCCTCAGGTCCCTCTGGGCTGCTCCTTCAGGTCCCTCAAGGGCATGAGTTCCTTCTTCTCAGGTCCCTCTGGGCTGCTCCTTTGGTCTTTCCAAGTCATTAATTCCTTCTCCTCAGGTCCCTCTGGGCTGCTCCTTCGGGTCCCTCAAGGGCATGAGTTCCTTCTCCTCTACCTGCGGTTAAGCTGCCTCAGTGGGAAGACTTAGAAGTGTTGCCTTCCACTACAGCCACTTTTCCGTTTCCTTGCTGTCCTTGGCACTGTCAGGGCTCCATCTGCACCCCCAGACCCTGCACCCCCTCATGGTTTCCTCCTCCTATCCCTCACCATCAAACCCTAGAATCTACTCTTATTCCCCCAAACATAATATCTACCTTAGTAGCTATTTGCTAATCTAGGAGCTACCCAATATCTTAATCCTCTCCTACTTCAGGGACTTCCCCATTGTGTGGTCTCCATGGGAGATGGGACCCTGCTTGTCACCACATGATGTGGCTGCCGTTTCTTCCACCCAGCTGCCCTTGGTTCCTCCTTGGTTTCTTGATCTAGGTTATCCTGCCTTCTGTCAATTCTATGAGCTCCCTTGTAGCCTTCTAATAATTTTCCCCTTAAACTAACTAAATTTTTGTTGCTTTCAAATAAGAACTTTTACACACACACACACCCCTCCTGTCTTTTTAAGCTGACATTCAATGAGCATTTACTATAGGGCAAACACCACCATGCTAAGGCTTTACATGCATTATCTTATTTAATTCTCATAGCAACCCAGTGTAAAATGTACTATTATCTGCATTCTGCAGGTGACAAAACAAATGCAAAAGGGTTCATTGCTTTGCCAAAAGTCACATGGCTTGCTAAGTGCCAGAAATAGGATTTAAACCTAGGGAAGAGAGGCACAGCAGCTCCCACCTGTAATCTCAGCCCTTTGGGAGGTGGAGGTGGGAGGATCACTTGCGCCCAGGATTTTGACATTAGCTAGGGAAACACAGGGAGACCCTGTCTCTATAAAGCAAATAAAAAAACCCAGCCAGACATGGTGGCACAGGCCTGTAGTCCAAGCTACTTAGGAGACTGAGGCAGGAGGATCACTCGAGCCTGGGAAGTTGAGGCTGCAGTGAGCTGTGATCACACTATTACACTCCAGCTTGGGTAACAGAGTGAGACACTGTTTGGGAAAAAAGAAAAAGATTTAAACCTAGGGAATCTGATTCAAGAGATCACAATAATATACTCATACTCATCGCAATAATATATTGCTTTAGGCCGGGCTTGGTGGCTCACGCCTGTAATCCTAGCACTTTGGGAGGCTGAGGCCAGCGGATCACCTGAAGTCAGGAGTTCGAGACCAGCCTGACCAACATGGAGATACCCCGTCTCTATTAAAAATACAAAAAAAAATTCGCCAGGTGTGGTGGCGCATCCCCCCTACTCAGGAGGCTGAGTCAGGAGAATCGCTTGAACCCGGGAGGCAGAGGTTATAGTGAGCCGAGATTGCACCACTGCACTCCAGCCTGGGCAACAGAAGTGAAACTCCATCTCAAATATATATATATATATGTGTGTGTGTGTGTGTGTGTGTGTATAGCTTTAGCCTCCTGAACTTAACTCTGCCTTCAAATGCTATGCTCGCTGAGAGCCCAATTCTTACTCCCTCCATGGAACTGTCCAGTCTACTCTAGTGCACACTGAAGGGTTCCCTCCCAAACTCACACAGCAGCACTCACTGTCCATGCCACGCAATTCAACACTTACCAATATATTGTGCTATTATTCCAATGCCAACATACTGCGCCACAATATACTTTGTTATTTTTAATAGTTTCATACAGTTTCACTTTTTTTCTCAATTCATTTCTTCTCCCTCAGAGCAATCTCATAGTTCTTTTGTATGCCACTTAGCAACAAAGAGTTAGGCTAGATGGGGTGTTGTATAAGACCCTAGGTCTCTGTCCCTGGCATGAGAGGACTTAGTGAAGACTGGGACTCCTATTTGGGCGAGTCCATTCTATGACACCCTAGCTGAACTTTTACTGCTTACAGCACAGATTATGGACAGGGCATAGACTTTAGGGTCAAACTGACCCATGCTTAATATGCTTCCAATACTCTGTGACCCAGACAAGTGATTTAAGTTCAGGGAGCCTGTTTCTTTACTTGTGCAAATGGAGAAAATACCTAAAACACATGGTTGTGGTGAGCATTACAGGTATTAATAAGCAAAGCCTAAAGTACTCAATTTGATTTTATGTATTTTATGTTCCCCTTTCCTCACCCAAGATGGCTCTCAAGAGGCATCTGGGAATCATTTTCTTTTTAACAAAATCAGATAAAGCAGGGTTTCTCAATCTCTATATTATTGACACTTTGGGATGGATAAATTCTTGTCATGGGGGTTGTCCCATGCATGGTTGGAGGTTTAGCAGCATCCTCGGCCCTGGCCTTTATCTGCTAGAGGCCAGTAGCACCACCCCCAATACTTCTCCACCTCACATCTAGTCATGGCTA
This sequence comes from Homo sapiens, assembly GCF_000001405.40. Classification (NCBI taxonomy): domain Eukaryota; kingdom Metazoa; phylum Chordata; class Mammalia; order Primates; family Hominidae; genus Homo; species Homo sapiens. Next base: position 152,725,927 of record NC_000004.12, on the reverse strand, counting down.
TTAAAAAATGTCTCCAGATATTGCCAAGCCTACCCTGGGGGACAAAATCACCCTGGTTCAGAACCACTGAAGTAAGGGATATGAAAGCATTTTCAGCCAGATGTGGTGGCTCACGCCTGTAATCCCAGTACTTTGGGAAGCCAAGGTGGGTGGATCACCTGAAGTCAGGAGTTCAAGACCAGCCTGGCTAACATGGTGAAACCCCGTTTCTACTAAAAATACAAAAAAAAAAAAAAAAAAGGCCGGGTGTGGTGGCGTGCGCCTGTAATCCCAGCTATTCTGGAGGCTGAGGCAGGAGAATTGCTTGAACCTAGGAGGCGAAGATTGCAATGAGCCAAGATTGCACCATTGCACTAAGCTTGGGCAACAACAGCAAAACTCTGTCTCAAAAAAAAAAAAAAAAAAAAAAAAAGAAGAAGAAAGCATTCCGTTAGACATACAGACTATAACAATGACATATTATTTAGCAGTTTATATAAAAGTTATTTACAACTTGATATAGGTTGGATATTTGTCCTCTCCAAATCTCATGGTGAAATGTAACCCTCAGTGTTGGAGGTGGGGCCTGGTGGGAGGTATTTGGATCATGGTGGTAGATCCCTCATGAATGGAATGGTTTAGTGCCATCCCCTTAGTGATGAGTGAGTTCTCGCTCTAGTTCACAAAAGATCTGGTTGTTTAAAAGAGCCTGGAACCTCCCCTACCCTTGCTTTCGCTTTCGCCATATGACATGCTGGCTCCCCCCTTTGCCTTCCACCATGATGAAAGCTTCCTGAGGCCTCCCCAGAAGCCAAGCAGATGCCAGCACCATGCTTGTACAGCCTGCAGAACCGTGAGCCAATTAAACCTCTTTTCTTTATAAATTAGCCAGCCTCAGAAATTCCTTTATAGCAACCCAAGAATGGACTAACATGCAACTGAAAACGACCTATTTACAGCTTAGATAATTAGATAAAACTCTGGAGATTATTTAGGGGAAACAGAATTGATCAAGAAGACTTTACCTCTCCCTGAGAAAGGAAATTATTTTTACTTTTGCTTAAACTGCCCGGGGCCTCCTATGGCAGGGCCAACTGGGGCAAGCAGTGGGAGGCTCAGTTCCTACCCAGTGGCGTCAGAGCAGAGAAACTGCCTTAAAAATCTAAGATATTTTCTTCTTCCCGTTTGAATTTAAGTAAAGATATTTTTTAAAAAGTGGAGGGAGATCTTTCTACTTTTTTCCTATTGCGAAACGATGTCAAAGTCTTTGTTCTTAACCTGCTAGAATATTTTGATAAATGTTGAAAAAAATTGGATTTAATTGGTTATAATCAACAATTGAAATCATCCATAGAGTCCTTGACCAGACTCTCATGGTAAATATTTTGAAGAAAAGGACAGCAGAGAACTTATAAAACTATTGTTTTTTTCTTAGGATTTAAAGAGCATTTTCAGCCTGGGAAACATGGTGAAATCCCATCTCTACAAAAAATATAAAAATTAGCCGGGCATGGTGACATGTGCCTATAGTACCAGCTACTCAGGAGGCTGAGGTGGGAGGATCACTTGATCCCAGGAGGTCAAGGCTACAGTGAGCTGTGATCATGCCACTTCACTCCAGCCTGGGTGGCAGAGCAAGCCCCTGTCTCAAAAAAATAAAAAAAAAAAGAAAAAGAAAAAAGAACATTTTCAATATTTCTGCATTCAGTTTAAAATTGTTAAAAGGAAAAAAGGATTTGAATTTATTATTGAAGGTTTAAATATTCCTACATATAGGAATGCATTCATCCATTTTATAAAACATCTATTTTTCTCTTGCTTCCTTTTCCATTTCAGAGAATTATAGAATTTCAGAACTGAAAACACCTTTGAGTTTTAGGGGTCTTTTGGTTTATTTTAAGACAGGGTCTCACTCTGTTGCCCAGGCTGGAGTGCAGTGATGTGATCACAGCTCACTGCAGCCTCAACCTCCTGGACTCAAGCAATTCTCCCACCTCAGCCTCCTAAGTAGCTGGTACCACAGGTGCACATCACCACTGTGCTGGCTAATTTTTAAAATTTTTTGTAGAGATAGGGTTTCATCATGCTGCCCAGGCTGGTCACAAACTCCTGAGCTTAAGCAGTCCTCCTGCCTCAGCCTCCCAAAATGTTGGGATTACGGAGTGAGCCACCATGCCCAGCGACTTTTGAGATTTTTAAGCAGTTTCTTTTTGTGTCATAGACCCCTCTGGCATTCTGGTGAAGCCTACTGACCCCCTCCAGAATAATTTTTCAATGCATAAAATAAAATGCACAAAATCCTAAAAATGTAAGTGATGCTGAAATAGTCATCAATATATATTTTTGATTATTATTTTTAATTGTGGCAAAATACACATAGTATAAAATTGACCTACTTAACCATTTTTAAGTGCACTGTTCAGTGGCATTAAGTACACTCCCATTGTTGTGCAAATGTCACCACCATCTATCTCCAGATCTCTTACTGTATTGCAAAACTGAAACCCATTCCCATTAAACAATAACTCCCCATTCTTCTCTCCCTGCTAGCCCTTGGCAACCACCTTTCTACTTTCTGTCTCTACGAATTTGACTATTCTAATTACCTCATATAAACGAAATCATAAAGTCTTTGTCCTATTGTGACTGGCTTATTTCACTTAGCATAATGTCCTCAAGGCTCATCCATGTTGCAACGTGTCAGAATTTCCTTCCCTTTTTAAGGCTGAATAATATTCCAATGTATGTATCTACAATATATTGTTTACCCATTCATCTGTCAATGGACAGCTGGGTTGTTTCCATTTTTTGGCTATTGTGAATAATGTTGCTATGAACATTAGCAGACAAATACCTGTTCAAGTCCCTGTTTACAATGCTTTTGGGTATATATCCAGGAATGGAATTGGTGGATCATACATAAATTCTAACTTTAATTTTTTGAAGAACTATCATCTGTTTTCCATAGTGGCTGCACCATTTTACATTCCCACCAACAGTGTACAAGCTTTCCAATTTTTCCACATCCTCATCAATATCTGCTATTTTCTGTTTTTTGGTAGTAGCTATCCTAATAGATATGAGGTGGAGTTTTCAATATATTTTTAAAAACCAATTTGTTATATAGTAATTTATAAGCTTTTACTAGCATATGAGTTAAAAAAAACTCTAGCAGCTGGTCTAATAGCTACCATAATATCAAAGTAATGATAAGCCTTAACAATATTTTGAGATATCTGCAACAACTGCCATATAATATGAATGTATCTGTGATTTCTGTTTGCCAAAACACAGCTAATACATTGCTAATTCTACTCTGGTTTGTTACTTACAGCACAACTGAAGGAAATGCCTATTTGCAATGAGAAATTAGTGAAAATAAAAATCAATTTTCCCAGCACTTTGGGAGGCCGAGGCAGGAGCATTGCTTGAGGCCAGGAGTTAGAGATCAGCCAGGGCAACGTGGCGAGACCTTATCTCTACAAAAAATTTAAAAAATTAGCTGGGCGTGATGGCATATGCCTGTAGTCCCAGCCACTTGGGAGGCTGAGGTGGGAGGATTGCTTGAGCCTGGGAGGTCGAGGTCACAGTGAACTGTGACTGTGCCATTGCACTCCAGCCTGGGTGACAGAGGAAGACCCCCCTGTGTCAAGAAAAAAAATAACAAACACAATTTTTTCTCCATACAAGTTTATGGACCCCACATACTATCCTTGAACACCTTGTGGGTCATGAACCCCAGGTTAAGAAATACTGATCTAGTTTCTCCCTTGTTTTATAGGTGAGGGAAGCAAAGCCTCCAGGGGTTAAGTGATCTGCCAAGAGCCACCTAGTTGGTGGGAGAGCCAGGACTAGAACTCAACCACCCAATTCCTAATCCTGTGTGCTCCTTGTCCTAGACATCCCATGCAAAATGATCCATATCTGAACCATCTCTATATGCACCAAAGCCCTTAGCTCATTTTCCTGAACGTTGTAGTTCTCAGTAAATATAGAGGATGAATGCTGTAGATTATGGACAAGAGAGACCAAAGCTGTCCACATAATCAGCCTCCTTTGCTGAGCATCTTCGTGTGGGGGCATATTTTTCTATCCAGCAGCAAGATGGAAATTATTATTTTGCTTGTATGAATGAAGAAAAGGGGATTAAAAAATTAAAGATGTTTTGGTTCCAACATGCATAATGAACATTTTTTTCAAGTAAATTCATGAAAGCCTGGTGTTTTATTTATTTATTTTTCTCTGTAGTCTAATCTTGGGAAAAGCCTGGTGTTTTAAAAAGTTGTTTGACATTAATATTTAGACGTAAGTCTTAGAAAATAGTCTCAGGCCAGGCACGGTGGCTCATGTCTGTAATCCCAGCACTCTGGGAGGCTGAGAAGGGCAGATCACCTGAGCTCAGGAGTTCAAGACGAGCCTGGCCAACATGGTGAAATGCCGTCTCTACTAAAAATACAAAAATTAGCCAGGTGTGGTGGTGCACACCTATAATCCCAGCTAGAGGCTGAGGCAGGAGAATTCCTTGAACCTGGGAGGTGAAGGTTACAGTGAGCCGAGATCAGGCCGCCACGCACTCCAGCCTGGGCAACAGAGTAAGACTCTATCTCAAAAAAAAAAAAAAAAAGAAAAGAAAATAGCTTCAGATTTCAAACTATTTTTTAAAATATTCTTTGTCATTTAAGTCATGTGTTTTAGAAGATATCTCAACATTTTATGTATGTCCCTATATCTGCTCTTACCCATTCTTCAGTTTCTAAGACATTAAGAAAGGACTTGCTACAGCCTGGAAGCAAAATAAACAGAAGTAAAGGTGCAAAGAAAAATAAGACAATGGACTCAGCCTTTCTTTACATTTCCTTATGTCATCTTTAGACACCTATTTACCAACTGAAGTAATTTGATTTAACTTGCTAGTAGTTTTAAGTTTGTTCTTAAAACCTATGATGACATGATAAAACTTAAAGGATGACAATTCTTCTAAAGTAGATACCTACTGACTGGTATATGTATTTACAGTAGTTAGATTTATCATTCATATGATACAAGTTCTGCTGCAGTTGAATATTTGATACCAGTTTTTCTAGTCCATATTGGGCTGACTGATATAAACAACTTTCTGTGTCTTTGATTGTGAGAGAAGCTACAGAAACTTCTAAGCTTTCTGCTTCAGTTTTTATCTGTCTGCCAACAGGGTGCTTACCTGTTCATTTGCCAAATGGCTAGACTGATGTTTGTTTTTGGAGGGAATCGCCTCCATATTTGACATATCTGTAGGCTTGGTGTGCCTAGTCTGAGGCACAGGGCCACATCTCTTAAGATTGCTTACCTGTGTCATGGCCAAGGGACTGGTGTTCTTTTGTCTAAACAAGTGGACTTTTCCCTAGAAAGATTTTAAACTCTCTGGCAGAAACAGTAATTTGGCATCACTTTTATTTTGCTTCCTTGGCTTTGGGGAGTAATATAAAATCCCTCCCGGCACCCTGATCCCGCTTTTTTTCCGAGACACAGTCTCGCTCTGTCGCCCAGGATGGAGTGCAGTGGCACGATCTCGGCTCACTGCAACTTCCGCCTTCCGGGTTCAAGCTATTCTCCTGCCTCAGCCTCTTGACTAGCTCGGATTACAGGCAAGCACCACCACACCGGCTAATTTTTTGTATTTTTAGGAGAGACAGGGTTTTGCCAGGTTGTCCCGGCTTGTCTTGAGCTCCTGGCCTCTGCCCACCTCGGCCTCCGAAAGTGCAAGGATTACAGACGTGACCCACCGCACCGGACCTCAAAAACCCTTTAGATTTTTAAGCTTCCAGCTTCTTAGACGCTTCTAGTGTTTGCTCTCTGGCAGGCAAGTCCTATCTGGTTCATGAATCCTATTGACATGACAGCACGAGTCATATTTTTACGTTTTAATATTTGACAATCTCGAGGTATTTTAAGATGAATAAATGCACAGATTTTCACAAGGCGGGGAAGCGACCGCACAAGCTTGCCAATACCACATGTGGTGATGTACTTAAGAAACCTGCTGTTCTTGAAACATGTTTGACAAGAGTGCTGAGCCCTGTGGCATATATTCAACTCTGATTTTTAAGGTCCAGAATTACCATTTTATTTGATCTACAGCCCAGCTGTTTTCTTTTTCTTTTGTTCTTGGCACCTGAATAGGCTTGTCTTCTAAAAATTATGAAAAAAAATATATTGCCCTGGATTCCACTGTGTTCTGGCAGATCATCAGCATTCTAAGCAGGTCAATGTACATCTCCCTTTAAATCAGGCCTGCTACTGTATATTTCCAGATTGAAAAATAATAATCATAAAATCAGTAGGTGGGTTATACCCCAACATTAAGCGGTTAATTCTAACAGGCTGTGAAGTCCATGCTGGAACCTGTGAGGGCATTTTAACCTTTGCACCTTTGAATTCCTGTTTCTGATAAAAGAGGGCTGCTGACCAAAGATCAAATACCCAGCAGCAATCCCCACAACCTCCACACATGAAGATTTAGAAGCTGAAAGGGAAGATGGGACCTAAACTCTGTTTATGCAAAATGATTCAAAAGACAGACAAGTTCCCTTTTTTATCCTCCTCTTCTGCCCACCCCAATCATCTCTTCCACAGATGTTTGCCTTTCCAGCAATAGCACTGTCCTCTCCCTTTGTTTTAATTGAAATGTCTCACACTCCTGAGAAGCTGCAGCGGGAGATGGGACCAGCCAGTGTGATTGACATCATCGGCCCCTTTCCTTTCCCTGGGTCAGCAGTGTGCAGAAGAGCAAGGGCAATGGGGCCCTGGAGATGGTCTTGGGTTAAGCTATCATTCATGCATTGCCAGTCAGTCATTCAACACATATTTAGTGAGCACCTACTACTGTAGCATTGTTCTAGATGCTGGAGTACAGTGGTACGGAGTGAATAAGAAAAACAAAATGTTCCTTCTCTAATGGAGCTCACATTCTAGTGGAGAGAAAAACAAATTACAGAACAAGGTAAGTTCATATAGTGAGAAACACTGTGATGAGGTAACATGGAATCTGTAAGGGATACCTGTCTGGTTTTGAAACCCAAAATATAGGTTTAGGCTCTGCCACACTGGCTGCCTGGCTGTAGCTTGGCTTTGTTCCTGTGGTTCCCTGATGTGGAACACTCTTCCCCCAGATTTCCAGTGTGACTCATTCTTAGACAGGGCTTCCTTTAACCCCCTATTTAAGAATGCAACCCCCGACCCACTACCTTGCTGTGTATCTATCCTCAGCATTTGTCACCTTCTAAGACGCTGCTATGGTCTAAATGCTTATGTCCCCTCCCAAATTCATATGCTGAAACCGAACTCGGAAGGCGATGGGATTAAGAGGTGGGCACTTTGGGGAGTGATTAGATCACGACAGAGGAGACTTCATGGAGTGGATTTGTGCCCTGATAAAAGAGGCCTGAGGAAACTTCTTTTTCTTTTTTTGTTTTTTTTTGAGATGGAATCTCACTCTGTCACCCAGGCTGGAGTGCAGTGGCACAATCTTGCCTCCCTGCAACCTCCGCCTCCCGGGTTCAAGCCATTCTCCTGCCTCAGCCTCCCAAGTAGCTGGGACTACAGTCATGTGCCACCATGCCCAGCTAATTTTTGTATTTTTAGTAGAAACGGGGTTTTGCCATGTTGGCCAGGCTGGTCTCGAACTCCTGACCTCAAGTAATCCACCCACCTCAGCCTCCCAAAGTGCTGGGGTTACAGGTGTGAGCCACTGCACCTGGCCAGCCTGAGGAATCTTGATTGCCCCTTCCACCAAGTGAGGATGCAGCCAGAAGCCGGCAGCCCACAACCCAGAGAGAGCCCTTGCCAGAACCTGACCATGCTGGCGCCCTGAGGTCAGACTTCCCAGCCTGCAGAAATGTGAGAAATATTTTTCTATTGTTTATAAGCCACCCAGCCTATGGTATTTTGTTATAGCAGCCCAAAAGGATGAAGATACATACTATATAATTTATTTTCATCAATTTATTTAACATAGTTGATTTATGGGAATGGAAGTTTCATCATGATGTGAATTTATGTCTGTTTTGTTCATTGCTGTATCCCTGGCATCTAGAACTCAATGCTTGATAAGAAATTGTGTAATGAATTAATAAAATAAAATTTCTGAGAAGTTGCGATTTTTAAAAATAAATTTAATTATGTAAGCATTTTAAACAAACAAGAAGAATTTCCTTTTAAAGTAAATTACCTTTATTAAATATTCAAACAGAGTGGTATGATCATTGTCGGAAGTGTTATAGAGGAATTCCTGCGCTGGGCAGTTTAAAATGTGAATATTTAAATCACGTGTTAATGTATATGTTTCTCATGCTGGCATGTTCATACATGTACAGACCACTGAGGGTGGGGGAAGCTGTGTGCGTAGCCCAGATCCTAAACCCCTTTGGGGTTTCCCTTCTTGCTCTTTTATTTTCTCATTGTAATTGCTGTCATTTTGGGTTCCTAAAACCATGCTTCTTCCAACAAGGGGTCCCATTGTTTAAAAAGAACTAATTTTTAGAAAACAACAATTTGAAATGTGAACATTGACTGAATATTTGCTCTTAAAGATCCATTGTTAGTTGTGTAAGCTGTAGTCATTGTATTATGGTATTTGAAAAAATCATTATCTTTCAGAGATACATACAGAGATATTTAGGGATGAAATGATATGATGTTTGGAAAGCAGAACTGCCCATGGCTTAATGGTTATTGGGGCTGGGTAATTGGTACATAAAGCTCATTACACTGTCTACTTTTGTATCTGTTAAAAATTCTTCATAATAATTTTTTTAAACTACTGGGTAAAGTAGTATTGGATTATAGCCTAAATTGTAAAATAAATATCCATGAGTCAATAGTGATATAAATAAATGTGGGAGAAGCAACAAATCTCCCATTCAGAGCTCCAGATAACTAATGTAGATACCCCATCGTTAAGGAGGTAAAGTCTTCACTTCCTAGTGTGGGCTGCACATAGTGACTTCCTTCCAAAGAGCATAATGGAAAGGGGGAGAAAAAAGAGCATCTTTACAGTGGAGAAACCTGACAAACACTACCTCAAGCCAGTGATCAAGGTCAACATCAACAGTGGTGAAGTTATATTGATAATAAGTGCCCTTGATATGATATGATGAAAATGATACTTTACCTCTTTGATCTTCCTCCTAAAAACATATTAACCCAGTCTAATCTTGAGAAAGATATCAGATACACTCAAATTGAAGAATGCTCTACAAAACGCCTGACTCCTTGAAATTGTCAAGATCATCACAAATGAGTAAAGTCTGAGAAACTGTCATAGCCAAAGGATTCTATGGAGATATTAACAAACAAATGTGATGTGTGCTGGATGGAATCCTGGAACAGAAAAAGGACATTAGGTAAAAACTAAGAAAACGTGAATAATGTGTGGAGTTCAGTTAATAATGACATATCAATATTTGTTATTTATTTATTTATTTATTTTTACTTTTTGGAGACAGAGTCTCGCTCTGTCGCCCAGGCTGGAGTGCAGTGATGCAATCTCAGCTCACTGCAACCTCTGCCTCCCAGGTTTAAGTGATTCTCCTGCCTCAGCCTCTCAAGTAGCTGAGATTACAGGCACCTGCCACCACACCTGGATAATTTTTGTATATTTAGTAGAGACGGGGTTTCACCATATCTGCCAGCCTGGTCTCAAACTCCTGACCTTAGGTGATCCACCCACTTTGGCCTCCCAAAGTGCTGGGATTACAAGTGTGAGCCACCACACCCAGCCAATATTTGTTAATTGTGCAAAATGTACCACACTAATGAAATATATTAATAATAGGAGAAACTGGGTATATGGACATTCTCTATACAATCTTCACAATAAATTTCTCAGGCTAAAATAGAAAGTATATATATTTTTAAAACCTATTGGTTACAGTATGTTGTATTGAAGTTCTTAGAATTTGTCATTTCTGGCCGGGCGCGGTGGCTCACGCCTGTAATCCCAGAACTTTGGGAGGCCGAGGCGGGCGGATCACGAGGTCAGGAGATCGAGACCATCCTGGCTAACACGGTGAAACCCCGTCTCTACTAAAAAACACAAAAAATTAGCCGGGCGTGGTGGCGGGCGCCTGTAGTCCCAGCTACGCGGGAGGCTGAGGCAGGAGAATGGCGTGAACCCGGGAGGCGGAGCTTGCAGTGAGCCGAGATCGCGCCACTGCACTCCAGCCTGGGCGACAGAGCGAGACTCCGTCTCAAAAAAAAAAAAAAAAAAAAAAAGAATTTGTCATTTCTACTTTGAATGTTTTCCCCCAGCAATCCCTCAATCCTTATCTAAAACTGTTTTAAGTACGTTTGTGTGAGAAAGATTATAAAGGGCGTGTATTAGTCCGTTCTCAGGCTGCTATAAAGAACTACCTGAGACTGGGTAATTTATGAAGAAAAGAGGTTTAATTGGCTCACAGTTCTTTAGGCTTAAAAGGAAGCATACTGGGAGGCCTCAGGAAACTTACGATCATGGCGGAAGGTGAAGGGGAAGCAAGCACCTTCCTCACATGGCAGCAGGAGAGAGAGAGAACAAAGGAGGAAGTGCTATACAATTTTAAACCATCAGATCTGGTGAGAACTCACCCATTATCAGAACAGCGAGGGGGAAATCTGCCACCATGATCCAGTCACCTCCCACCAGGCCCGTCCAATTTGACATGAGAGTTGGACAGGGACACAAATGCAAACCATATCAGGGGGAGAAATGGAAAGTGAGTGGAAGTTGACATTTTATAGTCATTCTGTCTTTGTAAGTTTGAGTCCTCTTTGCTTCGGGAGAAGGAACAGGTAGGTGGCTGCTAACCTAAGATTCACTGCTGGCCCTTGCCTCAGGGTTGCAGCCGCTTTGGCAGGCCTGCATCTTCCTGATGGTGGGAGTTGGGGGGTATTATAGGGAGAAAATTGTGCTATTAACACAGTAATGTTGTTTTCTAGCAATTCAAGCAGATTGAGCCTAATCCCTTTCCCCCATCTCTTGCAACAGCTCCTTTCACTTATAGCTTTGTCATGGTAAACAGCAAACACCTCTTAGAGAACTCTCTTGAAAAACCTTGGTAGCAATTTTACTAGAGGAATAAAAAAGATGGTAAAGTTAGGGGATAAAGATAAATTATGCAAAGAAAGTATTTTTTTTAACTTTTCCTCAAAAGGAGGAGGGAGATATATTAAAAGAACAGTGAATTCATAGGCTTTTCGTCACAAGTGGCTCCATTTGCCTGAATGCTAGCTTCTTGCTCAGGCATTTATGCTGTATCTCCTTCATCCCCACCTGGTAAAGCCTGTTTAGAGAGAAACACTAGGCTAGCAGTGAATGATGCTCATGCACTTAGATGATCTTTTTTGTATTTCTTGGCTGCAGAGAGAATGCAGCTCAATATTCTGTCTTCCTGTCACTCAGCAAGGGCCTGGGTGGGGCTTGAAAAACAACCAGACTGCATCAGGATCATGGCCTGAGAGAGAGGTTGGTCCCCTGGGTGGGGTTGTTCCTGCATGGACAAGGTTGAACAAACTTACATAAAGACCATTGTCTTTTTTTTTTTTTTAAGAAAGGAAATGGGTGAGTCCTTGAACCAATTTTTCAATGTCTTTGGAAGCTCTAGGTATTTGTTTTTTCTAAACATATTCTTTGGAGAAGCCTGGAGAGACAGGGAAAGTGGTCCAAGTGCACACAGATTGTAAACCCACAACTCCCATCAACAGCAGCAAAGAAGTCATCTTGACTCAAGCAGGCCACGTCTGAGATAGGAAATGAAGCCTCAGGGGGACATAGGGAATGAAAGTCCCTGAGTCAGAATGACACGCTGCTCCCAGGAGACACACAAAATGGCACTGAGTCCTGTCTTCCCCCAAGGGGGACATTTTCTAAATGGCAGAAAAGTAGATATTGTGCTGGACAATCACTCAAGTCATTGGATAAGTTCTGATTATCTGTAGTTTTCCTCATTTGATCAGAAAGTCATTAAATGATGTTGCCTAAAAAGAACGCTAGGACAGTGAATTTTTCTTGAAATAGAGAAAGGCTTTCCAAGCATGGCATTAAAAACAGAACGTAAGGGAAAAGGTCAATTAATTTGTCCAAGTAAAAACTAAAACTATTTTTTTTTTAGAAAACATTATAAACAATACTAAAGGAAAGGCAAATGACAATCTCTTTTATTCTAATTTTTCATTGACACATAATAATTGTACATATTTATGGGATATAGTGGATTTCAATGCATGTATACAGTGTGTAATGATTCAATTAGGGTAATTTGCATACCCATCACCTCAGACATTGATCATTTCTCATTTTAATTCTCAAAATTAAAATTTTGGTGAGCACATCCAAAATTTTCTCTTCTAGCTGTTTTGAAATATACATTATTCTTAACCATAGTAACCCTACTGTGCAATGGAATACTAGAATTTATTCCTCCTATCTGTACTTTGAATCCATTGACCAACTTCTCTTCATCCTCTCTCCCCTCTTCCCTTCCCAGCCTCTGGTAATCACTGTTCTACTCTCTACTTCTCTGAGATCAACTTTTTTAGATTTCACATGTGAGTGAGATCATGCAGTATTTGCCCTTCTGCACCTGCTTATTTTACTTCACATAATATTCTCCAGTCTTATCCATGTTGCTGCAAATGACAGGATTTCATTCTTTTTTTAAGTCTGAATAGTATTCCCTTGTATAAATATAACACATTTTCTTTATGCATTCATCCACTGATGGACACATCGGTTGATTCCATGTCTTGGCTATTGTGAATAGCGCTACAGTAAACATGGGAGTGCAGGTATCTCTTTGACATATTGATTTCATTTTCTTGGGATGTGTACCCAGTAGTGGGATTGCTAGATCATGTGGTAGTTCTATTTTTAATTTTCTGAGGAATCACTCTACTGTTTTTTATAGTGGTGGTACTAATTTTCCTTCCCACCAGCAGTGTATAAGAGTTTCTTTCTCCGCATCCTCACCAGCATTTATTTTTTGTCTTTTTAATAATAGCCATTCTAACTGGAGTGAAATGATATTTTTCGTGGTTTCAATTTGCATTTCCCTGATGTTTATGACGTTGAAGGATTTTTTCATATACCTCAGGTATTTTTATTTCTTCTTTTGAGAAACATCTATTCAGATCTTTTGCCCATTGTAAAAATTGGATTTTTTTTGCTATTGAGTTGTTTGAATTCCTTATGTATTCTGAATATTAACACCTTCTCATATATATAGTTTGCAAATATTTTCTCCCATTCTGTAGGTTATCTCTTAATTCTGTTGATAGTTTCATTTGCTGTGCAGAAGCTTTTTAGTTTTAAGTAATTCCATTTGTCTATCAAATGACAACCTTGAGTAATGTTTCCCACATACATAGCAGACAAAAGATTTAAAATCTTAATACAAGGAACTCTTACAAATAAAAGAGTATAATAGAAAAATATGTAAGTATGGGCTGGGTGCGGTGGCTCATGCCTGTAATCCCAGCACTTTGGGAGGCCAAGGCAGGTGGCTCACTAGAGGTCAGGAGGTCGAGACCAGCCTGGTCAACATGATGAAACCCTGTCTCTACTGAAAATAAAAAAATTAGCTGGGCATGGTGGCACATGCCTGTAATCCCAGCTACTTGGGAAATTGAGGCAGGAGAATTGCTTGAACCTGGGAGGCAGAGGTTGCTGTGAGCCAAGATCACACCACTGCACTCCATCCTGGGTGACAGAGTGAGACTTTGTCTCAAAAATAAAAATAAAAGAAATAAAAATATGTAAGCAAATGAATTATTTTTAAAACAAAAATGCTCACACTTTGGGAGGCTGAGGCAGGTGTATCACTTGAGCTCAGGAGTTCGAGACCAGCCTGGGAAACATGGTGAAAGCCTGTCTCTACCAAAAATACACGTGCGCGCACACACACACACACACACACACACACACACACTAGCCGGTGGCAGTGTGCCTGTGGTCCCAGCTATTTGGGAGGCTGAGGTGGGACAATCGCTTGAGCCCAGGAGGCAGAGGTTGCAGTGAGCCGAGATCGCGCCACTGCACTCCAGCCTAGGTGACAGAGTGAGACCCTGTCTCTAAATAAATAAATAAATAAGACAAAAATGCAAATTACCAATAATTTTATTTTTAAATTCCATAAAACTAGTAAGCAAGAAAATGCATATTGAAACAATCATAAGGAAACATTTTCACCAAATAAATTACAAAGAAAAATATAACCAACATTAGTAAAAGTTCATTAAGAAGTAGTACTGCTATATATGCAGAACATAATTTGGTATGTTTCTAAAATTTGGCAATATGTATCAAAAGCCTTAAAAGTAAGTTTTCCATTTGGCCTAGGAAGTATCATAAGGAAATAATTTAACATGTGTACAAAAGTGTGTATTTAAGAATGTTCAGGCCAGGTGCAGTGGCTCACACCTGTAATCCCAGCAGTTTGGGAGGCCAAGGCGGGTGGATCCCTTGAATCAAGGAGTTTGAGACGAGCCTGGGCAACAAGGCAAAACTCTCTCTACAAAAGTACAAAAATTAGCCAGGCATGGTGGCAGGTACCTGTAGTTCCAGTTACCTGGGTGGCTGAGGTGGGAGAATCACTGGAGTCCCGGAGGTCGAGGCTGCAATGAGCCATGATCACACCACTACACTCCAGCCTGGGCAATAGATAAAAAAAAACAAAGAATGTTCAAGTCAGCATTGTTTATGACAGCAAAAAAGAGCCCCTGAGTCAGAATAACACCCAACAATCAGGAATAGGTGAGGTAAATTGCATTGCAATGTGGGTTAGTGGTTCAGAGCCTGGACCCTGAGACTGCCTGGGTTCAAATTCTGGCTCTCTGCCTAATAACTGTGTGGAATCTCTGTGCCTCCGTTTCCTCTTTTGTAAAATGAGGATAATTTTATAGTATCTGACTCAATAAATTATTGTGAGAATGAGTTACTCCATGTAAAGTGTCTGCTACTTTCTAAGTGTTAGCTACTATCATTTTTTCTGTGCATACAACATGGCCATTAGATATGCTGTAAAAGAACATCTGAAAACATGGGGAAATGGACACAATATATTAAGTGAAATAAAAAGCAGATCACAAAAGTGATCTGTAGGTGGCTCATGCCTGTAATCCCAGATTACACAGATCACAAAAGAGTATTCATAACACAGATAACAATGTTATAAATACATTATGTATATATAGGCAAAGAAAAAAGACTGGCAACAGACTAAATGTTAACAGTGTTTATTTCTGAGTGATAAGGGCTTGGGATGATTTTATTTCTTCTCAGTCCTTTTCAGTATTTTACAAATTTTCAGTATAACAATATTTTTGATTGTTTTCTTAATTTTTAAATGTCTCATTTATTCTATATATTTTTTGCCTATTATTTTTTCTGCTTCAGATGATCTACAGGAATATTTTTGCTTTTAGTTGGAAATTTAAAAAATAAGAATCCAGTTTTAAATGAGCGTGACTTAGATGTGGGTCTGTTTCATGTTCAGTGTCTGACAGTGGTAGAATGAGGTGGAACATTCTTCCTGCTTTTCATTGATACCCCTGCCTCTTCCTTTCCCTGGCCCAAGGCTGGGCTCCACTCTAGTCCTGGAGGAGCAGTTGAAGCTGGTGGGAATCTGGGTCTTGTGATAATCCCAGGCAAGGAAGTGGAGCCAGGGGCAGCATCTCCAGAGTGAAACTGTGATGAGTGGGGGCCCCTGCTGGGTCGCTAACTGCTAAGCAGTGGGAGGTTGCAAAACCTCTGGTACCTAAAGGAGCTCCTGCTGGGGCAGGACCTGGTGTTAAATTTGTTATAAAATGCTTATTTTCCTGTTGCTGTAATGAATAGCAAGAAATATTATGCAAGTAGCATTCCTCCCCACCTCTAGATTTGGCAAGGTCTTTAAGTGACTTGATACCCTGCACTTGCCTTATTGCCCAGAATTGCTAAATGATAGCTTTACTCATGCCTCCTTGGGGGAGAACTGGACAGGAGAGAGAAGACTGAGATCCTAATTGGTCGAAGCCCCAGCATCGACGTATGTGAATAAAACAGGTTTTTCCCTTTCTCTTTAGCTGAAAGCAAAAGATAATTTAGGCGTGTCTAGGCCTCTGAGTCACTGATGGGCTAGTTTCAGTCTTTCCTGCGGCTTTCTCAGTGTTTTTGTCTCTTATTTCTGGAGGCTCATATTGTGAGTGATCCACAAATTTTGTTGACTGGATGAACAGATAAATGAAAAATTAAGAGGATGAGTAAATGAATATTTAGATGGATGGATGACTGGCTGGGGAATGAGGATCTCTAGGTTGACTTGCTTCTTGAATTTCCTAATCTTTCCTCTTTTTTTTTTTTTGAGACGGAATCTTGCTCTGTTCCCCAGGCTGGAGTGCAGTGGTGCGATCTCGGCTCACTGCAACCTCCGCCTCCCAGGTTCAAGCCATTTTCTTGCCTCAGCCTCCTGAGTAGCTGGGACTACAGTTGTGCACCATCACACCCAGCTAATTTTTGTATTTTTAGTGGAGATGGGGTTTCACTATGTTGGCCAGGCTGGTTTCAAACTCCTGACCTCAGGTGATCTGCCCACCTTGGCCTCCTAAAGTCCTGGGATAACAGGCGTGAGCCACCATACCTGGCTTTTTTTTTTTTTTTACAGGGTCTTGCCTCTGTCACTGAGGCTGGAGTGCAGGGGCACAATCACAGCTCACTGTGGCCTCGACCTCCTGGGCTCAAGCAATCCTCCCACTTCAGCCTCTTGAGTAGCTGGGACCACAGGTGTACACCACCATGCCTGGCTAATTTATTACAGTTTTTTGTAGAGACAGGGTCTCACCATGTTGCCCATGCTGGTCTCAAATTCCTGGGCTCGAGCAATCCTCATGCCTCGGCCCCTCAAAGTGTTGGGATTACAGGCATTAGCCACTATGCCCCGCCCTTTCTTCTCCTTTCAACTTTCCAGAAGGAAGGGCTGCACCCCACCTACCTCTGCTCTTTATCACAGTCTCTCCTGCTGTCAACACTGAAGCCAAGGCAATGCATACTAAACTAACCCAGAGAGAGCCTAAAGCTAGCTATTTAGTGCAAATAAAATAGTTGTTTGCTAGCTGTGGGTTTAAAAGGTGATTTCCACGTAAAGTCTCTTGAAATTAGGACAATCAGCAAAATTTTCAAACCAAATGCCAAATCTACAGAAGCAAAGCTGGGGTTCAGTAGAAATCTGGGTTGACAAATGCTCAGTACTTGGAGGAGCTGTCATTGGAGCATTCTAGTGTTCAGGACTAGGAAAACCAGTTTCCTGAAATCTCTAGATCTGGTCAACAGTTTGTTTACAAGCCAGAACACAGACATTCACCGAGAAAACTGGGCTTTAGACCACTAATTCACTCCCAGGGAAATGCAGCACAAAGGAGAAACCACTGATTAGGGCCTGGTGGCTCCAGGAGGACTAGGGTCCAACCAGAGTGTTCTGAAGGCTATAGTGCCAACCCCTCAAGGGCAGTGACCACAAGCCAGGGCTAAGTGGTGCTGTATGAAGAGCAGGTGAGCAGCCAAGCAGAGTTGACACACTCTCCATGGAAGCTATTCCTTTCATTTTCTCCTCAATCTGTGAACATTTCCAATGTTTCCTTCATCCTCTGGTTACTAACATGCCTCAGACTCTCTTATAATCCCACCCCCCAAAATTCCTAAATTTCTCTCACCTTGAACTGCTGGCACTCATTTTTCCTTTTACTACCAAAATTCTCAAAAAAAGAGATATCTACACTCCATGTTTCTCCACTTCCTCATAACTCTCTCATTCTGTGACTTTCTCTGATGCTTCTTAACTGAAATTGCTGCCAAAGATGACCGTGACTTCACCAAGTTCCCAAATCAACCATCTCCAATTCATTCTTATCCTTCTTGACATTTTGTTAGCGTTTGACACCGATGACCACTGTTATCACTTCCTTTTTGACCTCAGGGATTTCTCAGTAACTTGATTTCCTATCCCTGGGGCCTTTCTCTATTTCCTTCTCCGAGTAATTTCTCTCCCACTGCTTGCCGACCTCACTGAGTGGGACAGTATACTCCAGTGGTCACAAGTCTGCACTTGGCAGTGCTCAAACCAGTGCCTGGCACATTGTGAGCAATAGAAAGATGTAAACTTACAAGGAAAGAATCTACCCCCTCTGGGCCCTCCCTCCTCAGTGCTCTCATCTACCTAAGGGTTTCCCCCACCTCGCTCGGCAACCCCTTCCACTGCAGTGCTGGAATCTGTTAATGCAGGAGAGGCATGTTTCCTCCATGGATCTGACAACTCCAAGGGGAGGAAACCCATCTTTCTCACTTTTGTAGCCCCAGTGAGTAGCACAGTGTAGACTACCAGAGAGTCTCATGTTTTTGCTTGCTTGTTTGTAGGAAAAATGAAATAACTCAGTGTGGGTAACCTAAATGTCTGTCTCCAGGAGGTCTTTGCTTTTTTTTTTTTTTTTTTTTTGAGACAGAGCTTTGCTCTTGTTGCCCAGACTGGAGTGCAATGGCGTGATCTCAGCTCACTGCAACCTCTGCACCCAGGTTCAAGTGATTCTCCTGCCTCAGCCTCCCAAGTAGCTGGGATTACAGGCACCCGCCACTACGCCTGCCCAACTTTCATATTTTTGGTAGAGATGGGGTTCCACCATATTGCCAAGGCTGGTCTCAAACTCCTGACCTCAGGTGATCCACCCCGCTTGGCATCCCAAAGTGCTGGGATTACAGGCGTGAGCCACCATGTCCAGCTGAGCCCTTTGGTTTTAAAGCTGCAGATTAATGTCTCTGCTGGCCTGCTGGACATTTTCACATAAGTGTTTCAGTTTAACTAAAACCAAACTCATGGTTCAGAACTGCCATTCTCTCAGAAAGACTCAAAATTGCAGCATGATCATTGTCCTCTCTCCATCACCCCTGCCATACAGCTACCCAGTCCTGGGGTGTCTTCTTCCCCTGTTCCTTCATCTAACCTACATTTTCTATCGCTGGAACTCCTATCTGGCTGAGGTTTGCACACCTCAATCGATACAGTGGCCTCCTACCTGTTCTCTTTACCTCCTGACTCACTCCACTGTTCCATCAAAGCGTATTGCCACCAAATCAATCATAAAACACCATCTTGGTTCTGATGTCTGTATCCCTAATTAGCTACCAAATTTCATTCGGGTGGTAATGAGTCAAGACAGGCCTCTGGCCTCCCTTCACATCCTCCAATTCCATTCCTCCTGACATGAAGACTGAAACTTCCTTTCTCCAAAGACACACTGGACATTCCTACCCTGTGGCTTTACTCCAGTCATTCCTTCTTTTTGGAATATCTCCCTTGCTTTTGTCCTAGCCAGCTCCCAGCTGTCATTCAGGTAACCACCACCTGCTTTCCTGTATAGTTTGTACCTCTGGGTATAAATGAGTGCTATATCAGTTTGTGTCTTGCTCTCCCTTGAGGGAAGGGACTGTATTCACAGTGCCTTGCATGTTTCAGGACATAAACATTCATTTGCATGATTGAATGGATCACTTTATCACAACTTTGCATCCAGAGATCTGTGGTTTCCACAGCTACCAGTACCAGCTCATTTCCACCCTAGATGGGTCTGTGATAGTTGGGCCCCACAGAAAAAAGATCTTATTCAAGTTATCCCATAACCTATTTTTTTCATTTTTTCCTGCATCCTTGTAGTCCATCTGTTTTCACCATAACCCATTTTTGCAGTATAAGTTCCAAACTTCCCAGGAACCAAGATCAGTATAAGGCAGCAAACAAGAGAAACAGTAGATATTTTGCCAACAGGAGGAGCTGTTCTTGGCAGGCTAAAATCTGACACCACCTAGCTTTAACACCAATCCTAGTTTCAAGGGAACACTTGGGGTATTCAGTAGGAGGCCCTGGTTAATTCAGAATAGCTGCAGGGGATCTCCAGGAGAGAAGACAACTTGCATTAGCCTGTACTTATTAGAGTTTTATAGATAGTGATTAAACACTTGTTAAAAAGCAATTATTAAACAACTAAACACCTGCGAATGACCCCTTGAAGCATGCAGCCTGAAGACAGCAGGATCCAGTCATCTGCGAGCTTGCTGGAAATGCAGTCTCAAGTCCCATCCCCAGCCTACTGAATCAGAATCTGCATTTTACATGACCCTCTAATGATTTGTGTCCACATCAAAGGTTAAGAAGCACTGCCATAAACATTCTTTATTAATCTCTTAAAAGACATATTCTAAGAGTCAGTGTTATAAAAGTTGTCAGCAAACTACCGCTCCACAGGGACTTGCTTTGTCCTCAAAGGGCAAACAGTGGGAAATACTCATGAAATGAAAGGTGTCACTATTGACCTGTCCCATTCCTCCCAGTTGCTATCTGGTCCCTTCTCTTCCTGGCTCAAGTCAAGGGGCAGTTGTGATCTGAGAGGCTGTTGAAATAGAGGTAGTGGGGAGGAGCAGGGAGAAGTGGAGGGGTTGTATGGAGATGCGACCACCTCTCCTCGCAAATCTTCCTGCACTCTGTGGAGTGACTCTCCTGCTCCCACTGCAGCAAGTCAGAAGTGGTCAGAGCAAGAAGCCTTGGCAGCAAGGAGTGCTGGGTGTTTTCTGAAGGACCGCCAGCCCAGCTGGTTGAAGAGAAAGGCTTCCCCAAACCTGGAAACAATGTAAACATCCACCAACAGATGAACAGGTAAAGAAATTATGGCATAGCCATATGATGGAATACTACTCAGCAAGAAAACAGAATAAATTATTGATACATGCAGCAATATAGATAAATCTCAAGATAATTTTTCTAAGTGAAAGCAGACAGACCAGAGAGAGAAAGAGAGAGAGAGAGAGGGAGAAAGAGAGAGAACACATACTGTGTGATTGTATTTATGTAAAACTCTAGAAAATGCAGACTAATCCTTAGTGACAGGCAGCAGATTGGTGCTTCTTGGGAATGGGGGACAGGCAAGGGCAGGAGGGAGGGATGACCGAGGGGGCACAAGGAGACTTTTGGGGGTGATGGATGTGTTCTCTATCTTGATTTGGTGGTGATGGTTACCTGGGTATATATGAATGTCAAAATTTATCAAATTGTACAGTTAAATGCTCAGCTTATTTCATGTCAATTATACCTTAATAATGCCATTTAATAGACAGAGAGAGAGAGAAAGCTGCTGGTCAGAGTAGCCAAGATCTAGGAACAAACGACAAGAGAAAAATAATGGAGAGAAGCCTGGAAGCCCAGAGCTGGGGCAAGGTGGAAGCAGGAAGTCAGGTGCACATCCTGGCCCCCATTGGCCTCCGCGCGGTAGGGAAGTGGTCTGCCTTGGTAGGGCTCCACCCTGGGCATGGCTGACCGGACAGGAACTCATCTGGCAGAGCAATCCAGGCCCCACTTCATCTCTGGTCCAAAGGATTCTTTCCAGAACCAGTGGAAGGCTGGCTTCCAGAAACATATGCTTCCTGTGATGGAGAGAAGCCACCTTCCCAAACTGGCTCTGAAATGGACCTTGCCCATCATGGAAACAAGGGACATTTGGGGTCTATCCATTTGGAGTGATGCCTGGCTCTGCCTTTTCTAAGTCAAAGTCAGATGGCTGTTTGGCTGAAGAGTGCGGCATTGCTCACAAGGACAGTGGCCCCATGACATGCAGTACTTTTTTGGGATGAGGGAAGAATGGAGTTAGCTGGATTTGGGGGCCTACTTAAGCTTGTCAGGTGCTGACCACCTGGTAGGCAGGGCTGCTTCCAATCCCTTTCACCCTGGAGCCTAGGTGAGAAACGGCTTATGGTGGCCATGCTCAACCTCAGTGACTTCCACTCTCTGTGTGATCACTGAGGATATGTTACCGTGTATAAAGGGCAGCTCTGACAGAGCCCCTTCCCTGTCTATTTAGCCAGCATCCCAAGCTGGCTTTCTTTACTAGTGTCACTTCTGCTAACTAAGCAGCCATAGCAATTTCCTCCAGGGCTGGAAGCCTGTGGGAAACCTGCATTTGTTTCAGTGACTCTGAGAGGGGAGAGAGAAGCATGGACAAGCCCCACTGAAGAAGACTGAACATAGATACGGCATCACAGGAATTTACACCGAAGACAAATGCCAATGCTGGCTTCATATTTTGAAGATTAAAGTGTAATTTCCATATGGCAAAATTCATCCTAAGTGAATAGGTCAGTGAGTTTTGATGAATGTGTACCGTAGTGTAACCATCAGTAAAATTAAGATATAGATCCACTCCATTACTCCCAGGATTTTCTCAGATTCCTCTAGTCAACCCCTCTCCCCTACCCCCAGTCCCTGGCAACTACTGGTCTGTTTTCTGTCCCTAAATATTTGCTTTTGCATAAATAAAACTCTAGAAGATGCAGACTAAACCATAAATCTGTAATCAAATAGTATGCAGACTTTTGAGTCTGGCTTCTTTCATTTAGCATGTTTTTGAGGTTTATCCATGTTGCAGCATGAATCACTAATTCATTCCTTTGTATTACTAAGTAATATTTCATTGTACAGATGTACCATAGTTTGTTCATCCATTTCAGTTGAAGGACATTTGGGTTTCCAGACCTTGAAAATTTTAAATAAAGCCACCATTAACATTCATGCAAAGTTTGTTATGTGAACAAAGGATTTTATTTCAGTTAGGAGTGAGATTGTTGGGTCACATGGTAAGTGCATGTTTAACTGTAAAAAGAAACTGTCAAACTGTTTTCCAAAGTGGTTGTACCATTTTATATCCGATTAGCAGTAGAAGAGAGTTCCAACTGCTTCACAACATCCTGACCAGCACTTAGCATTTATTGTTAGTTAGTTTTTATTTATTTATTCATTTATTTAAATATTTTTTTGAGACAAGGTCTTGTTCTGTCGCCCAGGCTGGAGTGCAGTGGCAGAATCATGGCTCGCTGTAGTCTCCACCTCCCAGGCTCAAGCAATCCTCCTGCCTCAGCCTCCTGAGAGGCTGGAACTACAGGCCTGTGCCACTCACCATGTGTGGCTAATTTTAAAATATTTTGTAGAGTCAGTGATCTCTCTATGTTACCCAGGCTGGTCTTGAACTTCTGACTCAAGAGACCTCACTGGTATGAGCCATTGTGCTCAGCCAGTTTTTAAGCCATTTGGATGGTTGTGATGGCTCATGCCTATAATCCCAGCACTTTGGGAAGCCAAGGAAGGCAGATCACTTGAGTCCAGGAGTTCGAGACCAGCCTGGGCAATATGTCAAAACCCCATCTCTAAAAAAATACAAAAAAATGGGTGTGGTGGTTGGTGCACGCACATAGTCCCAGCTATTTGGGAGGCTGAGGTGAGAGAATCACCTGAGCCTGAGCCCAGGAGGCAGAGGTTGCAGCGAGCCGAGATTGCACCACTGCACTCCAGCCTGGGTGACAGAATTAGAGCCATCCTAGTAGCTGTGTGGTGGTATCCTGTTGTGTTTTTTGTTTGTTTGTTTGTTTGTTTGAGACAGAGTCTTGCTGTGTCACCCAGGCTGGACTGTAGTAGCTCGATCTCAGGTCACTGCAACCTCTGTCTTCCGGGGTTGAGTGATCCTCTTTCCTCAGCCTCTCAAGTAGCTGGGACTAAAGGCACACACCTTCATGTCTGGCTAATTTTTTTGTACCTTTTGGTAGAGACAGGGTTTCTCCATGTTGGTCAGGCTGGTCTCGAACTCCTGACCTCAGGTGGTCTACCTGCCTGGGCCTCCCAAAGTGCTGGGATTACAGGCGTTAGCCACCGCGCCTGGCCTTGTTGTAGTTTTAACTTGCATTTTGCCAATGGTAAATGACGTCGAACATCTTTTCATGTGCTAGTTTGCCATCCATTAAGTATTTACACATTAGGCCAGTGGCTTGATTGGGGTTTCTGAGGGAATGTCGAGGCAGAGCAGGGTGGACAGTGTGGTATTGGCTGGTTTAGATATAATTTTGGTGGGCTCCGAGCTGTAGTGGTGGTCCTAGGTTCCTGATACCAGGCCCGGGGATGATTAAATCATGGAATATTGCCTCCTGAGGGCCAGGTAGAGGAGATATGGCTCTGGACTGGTTAGTCTGCTTATCAAAGGCATGTTCCCCTCTGGGTCCTTTGCTACCTCTAAGAATTGGCTAGCTCCTGGAGGGGTAATCTCTCCCCAGCCAGAAAGGTTAAGATGTCAAAACATCACAATATACAGAAAATCTTAAACATATTTACAATATGTTGCAGGAAGTCAGGGATCCCAAATGGAGGAACCGGCTGAAGCCATGACAGAAGAACGTGGATTGTGAAGATTTTATGGACATTTATTAGTTCCCCAAATTAATACTTTTGTAATTTCTTATGCCTGTCTTTACTGCAATCTCTAAACATAAATTGTAAAGATTTCATGGACACTTATCACTTCCCCAATCAATACCCTTGTGATTTCCTATGCCTGTCTTTACTTTAATCTCTTAATCCTGTCAGCCGAGAAGGATGTATATCGTCTCAGGACCTTGTAATAATTGCGTTAAGTACACAAATTGTACAGCATGTGTGTTTGACCGATATGAAATGTGGGCACCCTGAAAAAAGAACAGGATAACAGCAATTGTTCAGGGAATAAGAGAGATAACCTTAAATTCTGACTGCCGGTGAGCCAGGCAGAACAGAGCCATATTTCTCTTCTTTCAAAAGTAAATGAGAGAAATATCTCTGAATTCCTTTTCTCAGCATGGAACGTCCCTGAGAAAGAGAATGCGCACCTAGGGGTAGGTCTCTGAACTGGCCCCCCGGGGCGTACCTGTCTCTTATGGTCGAGATTACAGAGGTGCAATAAACTCCAGTCTCCCATACCGCTCCCAGGCTTATTAGGAAGAGGAAATTCCCGCCTAATAAATTTTCGTCATACCGGTTGATCTCAAAACCCTGTCTCCTGATAAGATGTTATCAATGACAATGGTGCCCAAAACTTCATTAGCAATTTTAATTTCGTTTCAGTCCTGTGGTCCTGTGATCTCGCCCTGCCTCCACTTGCCTTTTGATATTCTATTACCCTTTTAAGTACTTGATGTCTGTCACCCACACCTATTCGCACACTCCCTCCCCTTTTGAAAATCCCTAATAAAAACTTGCTGGTTTTGTGGCTTGTGGGGCATCACGGATCCTACCAATGTGTGATGTCTCCCACGGACGCCCAGCTTTAAAATTTCTCTCTTTTGTACTCTGTCCTTTTATTTCTCAAGCCAGTCGACGCTTAGGAAAATAGAAAAGAACCTACGTGATTATCGGGGCAGGTCCCCCGATAACAATACACCATGGGAAATCTGCTACAGTGTTGAATTTGCGGTAGGAAGAAAAGCTACAGTGGAGAGTGGAAGATCACCAAAAGATCATCTCAGAGAGGATGTGAGTCTGGGATGGAGTTGGTTCAACATTAGGGCCAAGATATTATTCAGGAGAAATATTTTCAGCAAGGACCCAGTGGAAATGTAGCAATGTGGTGCCTGGCTCTCAGCCATCAGATGCCCAGCTGCCAATAGATGTCATGCTCCCTAACCTGCGAGGGAGGGGCTGTGAAGTCATTTTTAATCTGCATGCCCCACTCCCACAAGACAGTCTGACAGTGATAGATACAGCTCAAGAGAAGTGCTGAGAATGCCACAGGCTGACTCTCCCAGATAAAGAACATGAAATGATTTCATTACTTTTGCTCTCCCTGACAGCTCTCTAGAAAACAATCATTGGTTTAAGCAACCAGCCTCCAGGCCAGAACCAGCAGGCCTAGGGAAGGAGTGACTTTTTTGTTTTTCTCAGGAGGATTGTCTAGGTGAAGTGCTTAGGGCATGAGACCTGGGCCAGAAATTGCTTTTACTCTCATGGTCTTATTCTGAAGATTTATTTGCAGGCTTAGGGATGTTCTAGTTGCAAATAATTATCTTTGCTCAGTGAATGATTCCCCATCCTCATCCCTTACATGAATTCACATGAAAGAAGGCATATTTCTTCCCTTTCTAGCCCCAATAGCATTAGAGGTCACAGTTGGTTTTATTCTTGGGGATACAGAAATAGCCACCCATTCCCTTTAACTGGGTGCATGGTTTGGCCCAAGGCATGGGGTGTGACCGAATGAATTTACCCCAACCCAGGTCATTCACCTGATGGTTTGTGTTCTGCTGGAGAAAGATCTCCACTGGAAAAGGCCTGGACCTGAGGCTCATTCCAAAGGGCCCTGGCTTAACACTGCAGAATCCTCCTTCCAACCTGCACAGCTTTGAGCCTTCACTGTACCAGGGTCTCTAGAAGACTTACACGGATAGAGAATTTACTACTCTATCTAGGGCTTCGAACTGTAGCTATTAATTTTTGAATGTTTTTAAAGCACTACTGCAAAGTCTAAGTTTTGTTCATTTATTTCTTTAAGTATTTATTGTGGTATATATAATGTTGTTATAAATCATTTAGATTTATGAGTTGGTGTATTCCACTCTTATGCATGCCCTGCAGAGCCTAAGAACCCTAAAGAGATAATTATTATATATGCTCAGTTCTTAGACGTCCTTGAATAGTGTTCTCACCATGCATAGAAAACACGAGCCCCAGGGGAGTTTTGGTAGCCAGCTTGTTTTCTCCTTGAATTGGACATAGGTGGGAGGATGTTTTTTTCCTTCCTGCTCCCAAAGAACTCTTCTTTTCTTGCATAGAGAAGAATATAGAACTAAATATTTAATTAGGAGAATAAACACCAGGAGCTTGTAAAGAACTCAGTGTGAAGAGAGAAGGATAAGAAGTTTAAGGCAGGTGAAGAAGCTTCTTACACATATCTATCAAGAAAAATCATAACATTTTGTCCAGTCATGGTGGCTCACACCTGTAATCCCAGCAGTGTGGAAGTTTGAGGTGGATGGATGGCCTGAGCTCAGGAGTTTGAGACCAGCCTGGGCAACATGGTGAAACTCTGTCTCTAATAAAGAGACAGAAAAAAAAGAAAAGAAAAATCATAACATTTAGAAAAACAAAATAAAGAAAATGTAAAAGTCACCCATAATTTCACCACTCTGAGTTCATCATTGCTCACATTTTGGTGTATACTCTTCTAGGCTGTGTAGGTTGCAATGTGTGAATGTGCATTTTTGCATGCATGTGGTTTTTTTTTTTTTTTAACAAAAAGTAGTACACTGTGCATGATTGTAACTTGCTTTTTAAAATTCAAATATATTGCCTGACAAAGACAAGTAAAAATAAAATAAAATAAAATTCAAATATATCACAACCATTTTTTATGTCCATGTACAACAGCATAAGGATGTGCCACAATTTACCCAACTAATTCCCTCTAGGTTAGGTCTTTGCATCAAGCTAAATAGACAACCAATAAGTCCTAAATGATTCTGGCACCAAAGTTCAGAAAAGAGCTTTATGAATTAGAAAGAAATTAAGTGCAATGCCCATAGGCTGAAGACGGGAGGCTCACTAACCCTGAAGAATGGGGGAGAGAAATGTGCTAAGGGGCTAAAAATTAGGGTGGATAGAATACAAGTTAGGGAATGGATCTAAAATAGTTGAATCTGTGATGTCAAAAAAATATATAGTTTGGAAGCTGAATATTCTAGTTGTTTTCCTAGGAAAGTTGTGTAACCCTTTTGAGCCTCAATTTCTTCCTCTGTAAAATGGGAATAATTGTTTCTCTATCAGAGTGACTGTAAACATAAAATAAGGAGTTATACAAGACTCTGAACACTGCCTGTCATAGAATAAGTGCTCAATATTTCTTAGTTCCCCTGCTCCACTTCTACCTCTTTGGGTTGTATTGCTCTGGGAAAGTGTGTGGAAGCGAGGCTTGGACTCTGCACTGTGAGTGGACTTGTGTGCTAATGTGTTCTGATAACACAGGGGCCAGTTGCTTGGAAGGTGGTCAGAAATTAGTGAGTTTCATGCAGATGATTTTTCAAGTTAAATAAAACTTCTCTGAGTCTGAGGTCTGAATGAAAATTCTCTGGGTTTGAGGTCTTACTGAAGTGTTTTCCTTTCACAGCTCTAGTTGGCTGGCAGGTGTGGTATAACACAGTCATTCTCAGAGTGTGGTTCCCAGACAGCAGCAGCATTACCTGGAGCTTGTTGGAAATGCAAATTCTCAGGCCCCACCCAAGACCTACAGAATCAGAAACTCTGGGGCTGGATCCAGCAATCCGTGTTTCAACAAGCCCTGCAGGTGATTCTGATCTCAGAGATTGACTAGTGTGGCAAGAGTCCTGGAAACCCAGAATCCCTAGATCTGGAATATACTCTAGCTTACCATTCACTGTGGGGCCTTGGGCAGGTCACTTCCTTCCTCTAAACCTTCATTTTCTCACCTGGACAATGGGAAGATAATATCTTCCTCGTGACCTCAAATGATTGTTTCACAGGCCCAATGAGTTTAGAAAGGAGAAAGACATTCAATTAATGTATTCTAGAAATGGAATGTATACTTACTATTCTTGGTTCTTAGGCAGGGCAATGTAGAAAGCATCCCTATGTGATGAAGAATGGTTCTATTTTGATCATTGAAAGAAGAGTCTGTGCCCTCCTTGGAAAATCTCACTGGATGCTTTAACAGCCACCGTGGTAGTTTCTCCTATGCAAACCTAAATCCCTGTGCAAGGACAGTCAGTATCTCAAAATGTAAGGATGATATCAGTCACTGGGAAAAAAAAAAATTCTGGCAAAGTAAAAAACCCTTAGACATACAGAGTAATGTTTATTATTTGTTCTCCTTTTTCAGTCCTCAGTGAAAATAGAGAACAGCAAGTCACCCCTTAGAGGTGCACACCCCTCATCTACATGAATGGTATTACGTTGTCTCAGCCCTCCTTTCTTTCCGGCCGCACAGTTGTGCTTTCTTTCACCTCTGCTCAAAGGCTTCATTGTGCTCCCCTTTATTAGTCATCTTGGTTTCTCTTCTCTGAACCATTTCCAGTTTCTTTAGCCACAGCCTCCTATGACGTTCAGTCCTCTTCAGTTCTGGAGCCCAGCATATACTTATTAGGCTGGTGCAAAAGCAATTGCTGTTTTTGCAATTAAAAGTAATAGAACCATCAGAGAGGGTGACCACCATCAGAGAGGATGACCTCATGGTTCTAGCACACTCCACGGACAAAGCACTGCCCTGATGCCTCAGATCAAGGCTATGGCTCCTGGAGAAGCACTGGTGTGGATCAGTTTTACCCTAACTTCTCTTGTCATTCATGTTTTATTTTCATTTCCCTTTGTGTACCATCTTTTGTTTGTGTCTAATGATCTTTTCTATTCTCCCAACTTCTTTGATTTCCTAAATAGAAAGTAAATTTAATATATTTATATTTGCACAGATATTTAGAATAAATGCTCATAAAAAGATTGGAAGGAGAAACACCAGTATCTTAAAAGTAATTTTCCTTGGAAAGTGAGATTACAAGTGATTTCATTTGTTTTTTTCTTGCTTCTCTGAATATTTAAGTTTTTCGATGGTTGACACATCTATTGTTTAATTAAAAAAAAGAAAAAAGAAAATTGGAAAATTAACTCTTAGCATGCTCACAAAACAAATAAAATATAAAATGCTTGTGTTCAATGAGGTCTCATAGACCCACATGAAAGTGTCGTCTCCTGCAAGACACAAAGCTGTGCTTGGTCATAGGACTGTTCAGGACTGTCTCAGTTTTAGCCCTTGGAACTAGGCAAACCAGGACAGGTGGTCGCCCTCTCTCCCAGCCCCCTCCATCCTCTTTTTGTCTGTTAAACCGCCATGGCTGCTCACTGGTCTGTTAGGGCCCATCTCTCTTGTATCTTGCTTTGTCATTTCTAGGGAAGTTCAGCTCAATTGAGCCTTGAGGTAGGAAGACACCTCAGGAACAATATTTGTGTCTGCTGGTTCAGGTGAGGCTTAGCGGGAGTCAGAAGGCAAATATGAAGAAGCAATGGAACCAAGCTCCCTACCAGGGAGAGAGGGAGAGCAAAGCCTTTGGGCCACCATGAAAAGATGAAGGTCCAGTGGAAGAATCAATGTTGCTACGGGAGCTATTGAGAGTGCTTTGTGGACACACCTCTTGAGAGCGTGAAGAGAGAGTAAGCAAAGTCCAGGCTTTCTTCCCACTGACATTATTTGGGAACTTTTGTTACCTGTATTTCTCTCTTCTATTTTAAATATGTTATATTTTCTTATCCAGAGATCTGAGTTTATGAATGTTTCACTCTAAATCAGTGGTTCTCAATGCTGGCTGCCCAGGAAAATCACCTGAGAACCTTCTAAAATGCTCAGGCCCCCTCCTAGGCCACTAAAATATATATTATTTTCATTTTTCATATGTGTATATATGTGTATATACACACACATATCTAATAATTACATATAACATATAATTATGCGTAAAAGAATTTACGTATAATATTATAATTACATAGTATGTAGAGATGCTCCTTGACTTATGATGGGTATATGTCCCAATAAGCCCATCATAAGTTGAAAATATCATAAGCCGAAAATCCATCTAATAATAAACCAAGTGTAAAGTCAAAAAAATCATATGTTGAACCATTATAAGTTGGGGACCATCTGTATAATATTTTATACATATGTAAAATTAGGGTTGCTCCCTATGAGGTGGACTGGCCCAGGCTGGAAATGAGGACATTATGTTCCCATCAGTGTTTATTTATTTATTTATTTATTTATTTTTAAGAGACAGAGTCTCACTGTTACCCAGGCTGGAGTGCAGTGGCGAGATCATGGCTCACTGCAGTCTCAACCTCCTGTGCTCAAGCGATCCCCCTACTCAGTCTCCCAAAGTGTTGGGATTATAATCATAAGCCACCATGCCCAGCCCCATCAGTGTTTAGAAAGCACAAGAGACATCAGTCAAGAATTTCAACATTGGCCTATGCTTTTCCATACTGAGAGCCCACAATCTGGGATCCAGATGGAGTAATTTGAGGGTCAGATGTTGGTATGCAGGGCAGGTATACGTAGACCTGCTGGAGAAAAGATGTGAGCTGCGTGCATACTTGTTTTATGTTTTCTCCAAAGCTTATAGCCAGGCTGTTGAGGAACATGGGCAGCAAGTGTGAGGTCAAGGAAGCTATCAAGAGCCAAGAGGCCTCTTCAACCCTCACCTCTCAACCTAGAAGCTCTAAGCCAATGGTTCAAAACCATGGCTGTACAATAGGAGCACTTAAGAGATTTCCTAAAAATACAGAGGCCAGGTCCTCACCCTCAAGGTTCTGACTTGCTTGGTTTGAGGAAGGGGCTGGTTTATCCACATTATTTAAATATTCTCCAGGTGATTCTAAAGTGTAGCCAGAATGAGAACCGCTCATTTTAACTTTGGTAGGGCAACCAACTAGGTGGTCAGTCAGGACATGGGGCCAGGGGAGTGGGAAGGGGTAAAGTGGCTCAGAGAACCGTGTTTGCCCAGCAAAAAGATGTTAACCCTGGAATCGGTCTAGATGCTGATTTTTATTTGGCCCTTTTGCCTACTGATTTTTTTTCATTTTACAATTTTTTTTTTTTTGACACAGAGTCTCGCTCTGTTGCTCAGGCTGGAGTGCAGTGGCACAATCTCGGCTCACTGCAACCTCCGCCTCCTGGGTTCAAGCGATTCTCCTGCCTCAGCCTGCCAAGTAGTAGCTGGGATTACAGGCATGTACCACCAACCTGGCTAATTTTTGTATTTTTAACAGAGACAGGGTTTCACCATGTTGGCCAGGCTGGTCTCGAACTCCTGACCTCAGGTGATCTGCCCGCCTGGGCCTCTCAAAGTGCTGGGATTACAGGCATGAGCCACCGCGCTGGCCTCATTTTACAATTTTTAATGTTTTAAAGTGTCTATTTTTCTTTGGATTCAGAAGTGTTAGCTACATCAACTCCTGGGGATCCTGTTGGTTCTGGAGGACTTGTTAAAACAGATTGCTGGGCCCCACCCGCAAGGTTTCTGATTCAGTAGCCCTGGGGTGGAGCCCAGTATTTGCATTTCTAGCAAGTTCCCAGTTTATGCTGGTGCTTCTGGCCAAAGAACCATCCTTTGAGAACTGCTGGGCTTAATTTATTTTATCGTTTCATCTTTTTGATATCTTAGTTTTCTGGATTTAATATTTCAGTTAGATCTCAATTTTCCTCAGCTTTTTTTCTTCTTTTCATTAAACTATGTGATATTTAAATTTTTTCTTAATCTGTATTTTAATCTAGATTCTTATACTAATTTTAACTCTAATTTTTACTCCATTTTTGTTTTACTAGTCATTTCCCCCACTTTTTGAAGTAGTTTTTGAGAATTCAATACATTGTTATTAACTATTCTCACCCTGTTCTAAAATAAGTTCATGATAGCTCTCTTGAACTTATTGTCTATCTAACTGAAATTTTGTATCCTTTGACCAACATCTCCCCAACCCCCATCAGTAGTTTTTAAATTTGCCCTTTTAAACCATATATGACAGACACCCTTAGTTGCCCACTCAAGAATCATTTTGTGCCGCCCCCCTCTTTCTGTTAACCAAACCCCTATTTTGTTGAGGTATTGGGTAACCATGTGTTTCACGCACCCCTCTCCAGTCTCAGGGGTGATTCTTGATTAGGCTAAACCAATTAGATAATTCCATTTCCGTTGCCAGTGACAATGGTGATGGAGTGCGAAGGGAAGCCGGCTAGTGGGCTCTGAGAGTTTTTCTTATAACTCAGAAACATCATCTTTTCCAAACTTCAGACACTGTTGTGTAAGGGTTTGATCCTTGGAAGAGAAATAGTCACCTGGCATCTATGAGGAAACAAACCTTAGGACCAAAAGTCAATAAAATTTTGAAGATGGCAGAGCAGAAAGACAGAAGGAACCCATGTCCTTGATGATGGTGTTTAGGCATTCATTGGACCAGTAAGCCCTGGAACTGCTTTATCTGCAGACTTTTTTTTTTTTTTAAAGAGATGGAGTCTCGTTATGTTGCCCAGGCTGGACCTGAAATACTGGGCTCAAGCAATCCTCCTGCCTCAGACTCACTAGCAGCTGGGACTACAGGTGTGCCACCATGCCTGACTAGGACTTTTTTTAATGTGAGATTCCGTTTTTTAAGCATTTTAAGTGAGGTTTTCTGTTGCTTGAAGCCAAAAGCATCCTCAATGAAGTATGTCATTTTACCCTTCTTAAAATAACTATATTTTTATTTGTCTGTAGATATTTATAGTTATATCTCATAATAAGTTCCTTGAGGTTGGGAATCATGACATTTTACCTGGAGTTTCCCAAGATCTTGAATACAGTATAATTTTGTTTGAGAGAACAGGTGAATTATTTCATTTGCATAAACATTAAGATTTACTTCATGTCCATTTCCTGCTAATGACTGGGAACCCTAAAATAAAATTGAGCATATTGCACTTTTTTTTCTTTTTTGAGACAGGGTCTGTCTGTTGCCCAGACTGGAATGCAATGATGCTATCTTGGCTCAGTGCAACCTCTGCCTCTCAGGCTCAAGAGATCCTCCCACCTCAGCCTCCGCAGTAGCTGGGACCACAGGTGTGTGCCTCCAAGCCTGGCTAATTTTTGTATTTTTTTGTAGAGCAGGGTTTCACCACATTCAGGCTGGTCTTGAACTCCTGGGCTCAAGCGATCTTTCGACCTCAGCCTCCCAAAATGCTGGGATTACAGGTGTGAGCCACCGTGCGTGGCCCATGTAGCACTTTTGATTATACAAAACAAAAACAGTGTCTAACTGCCTTAAGGGGAAAGGAAAGAGGGGCTTTATTATAAGGCTATCTGTGGATGGACCTAGCACACTCTCAGCCCTACCGCTGATTCTCTCTGTGTCGCCCTCTCATCTGACCCAGGTGTTCTCTCTCGTTGACCTGTCCTTCTAGCTCCATGTTTGTGAGTTTCACCCTTTTCACTGCCAATTGGCCAATGGGCCACAAATCCTTCAGTCCAGATTTCAGAAGGACAAGTTAGATTTGCTCATTATCACTCCTCTAGGGCAGATGACCTCAGGCCCGCTACCTTGTGGATCACTGGATGGCTTTGGGTCAAGTGCCACCTTTGATCTAAGCAGTGTTTACTTTAGAACAATAAAGTATCCTGATGCATCTTCTCTGAAACTGTAAGAGGAAGTTAGGAATAAAAGGCACCATGATTAATGTGTTTAGAAGGGCAATTTAGATAATAACTCTGGAAAGAAATGTATTGTGGTGAATAGTGGGTGACTCTTTTATTTTCTGCCTTTTACTTATCTGCATTTTTCCAGTTTATCTACAGTGAGCATGTATTACCCAAAAAAATATTAAAATGTTTATTAAAATATGAGTTGTAAGTAATTAAAAGGTAAAGACAGTCACTATTGGGTTTGGTGCACAGCATGATACCATGAGCAATTAAGTGCTTTCCTTTCTTACACTTTTTAGGGTGATGAACTCCATTTCAGAGACAGCAAATGTAAATGACACTAGATACCCTGTGTACACACTGTAGGCTATTTTGGTTCATTTGAATGTAGCATTGTAGTAATAAACCTATTTGGGTTAGTGTCAGGTGATGGCTGCTCGTAAGAGTGTTTGTGCTATGACTTCACTTACTATGTATTTAAATAGGCACCCAAAAGGACAGCCTGTGCAGGATGCTATTTTCATCTGCTTCCAATTTCTCTGTAAGTTCTGTCATCCAAATTGTAGCAGAGTACTCAGCCCTCAGTGAAAACCCACCGACATCAAATGCAATGCTTTTAAAAGCAATCAGTTTTATAATATGGGCAAGAGGAATAAATGTGATTTCAAAGAAAATGTCCTTCATGTAGTGGAGACTTTCTAAAACACTGGTCAACTCATGTCACTACTGCCCTTCAAAATGTCCAGGGCTCGTGGTTGCTGACTGTGATCTGCAATACCAAAATAGATGCTCCTTCACCAGTTATGATTGACCCCAAGGTTAAGGAAACAAAAGTTTCCTACAGGTTGAGGGTTCAGGACCTGGCTGGCGTGTAGAAATTTCTAAATTTCTATAGCTACAAACACACACACACACACACACACACACACTCTTATTAAACACACTAACAATACCCCTCCTAACTCTGATTTACAACCCAGGCCACTATGACTCTGACTGGACAGAGGACTGGCCTTACAAACATTCTTTTCTGATAAGCAATTGCAGACCTTAAGCCAGTTTCAGGCAGCTTATAAAGGCTGCATACAAACAGTTTTTGTGTCCTATAGTTCACTTTTTGATGTAAACAGCCAAATTCCACCTCATTTTAATGCTAAAACCCCACCCCAAAGTGAACACAGGATATATATTACATATGTTTACCCATTGTGCATGCACTTTGCTCCCCTTATAAATACAACTTTTGCCCCCAAACCTGCTGAATATGTGTGATACAGGCTGTGCAAGGCATAAAACCCAACCTGTCCTTCCCCTCTTCAAAGAGATAGCACCTTCAATCCACATTTTATCTTCTCAGCTTGTAAACCAGTTATCTCCAATAAAGCTCTCCTTTCTACAGTTTGGCCAATTAGGTGGTTTTTTTTGGACGACACCTAATCTAGTTCTATTTTTCACTTGATCTCCAGGATCGTGTCTCTGCTTTCCAACCTCACTGTCCGCCACATCTCTTTCATCACCTCCACTTTCTAACTGCATGTAATTGTCCTTCCTTGAACAAGCCAAGCGCTTTCAGGTCTCTGTGTATCAAAAACTCCTGTGGGTGTATGACAAAATGTGACCAAGAGCCACCACCAAAGGGGAAACCATTGTAGCTGTTTCACTGGCACTTGAGCAATTTTCCATCAGTCCCTTTCAGTAATGTCACCCCTGGCACTGTGAGTTTTCTACTTTTGCTTCATTGGCAGCCCCTCTCCCTGTCACCTTCTGGGGCATGGCACATATTCACCCAAGCATCTCGTTCAAAGATGACTTTGGTATGCCACATGGGACAGGAGAGTCAGCAGAGTGTGGAGACAGGGCCAAACACCTGGACTCCAGGCTGTGTGCCCTTGGATCAGTCTCTGAACTTCTACTTCCTCAGCAGCCACAGGGAAATAGAGAAGTCTGCCCTGCCAACCCACTAGGTTTGTGATGAGGAGCAAATGGATGTGGAAACACCTAGTAAACTGTAAAGCACACACAATGTGAGGCATTAACTGCTCAGCAATCTCATTATTCACTTTTTAGTACAGGGTTTCTCACGCTGCATACTTCTGACATTTGGGGTGAAAGAATTCTTTGTGGTTGGGGGCTGGCCTCTGTGTTACAGGATGTCTACCCACTAGATGCCAGTAGCACCACCAAGTTGTGACAACTGAAAATGTCTCCAGACATTAACAAATACCCCAGTCGAGAACCCCTGGGGTTTGGAATGAGCTTTTAGAGTTGCATTCTGGTCACCCTTCCATCTTTCCCCTCCAACTGTGCCTCCAGCCTCACCCACAGTCTTTTCTGGTCATCAAATAAGGCTTTAAAAAAATTCCATGTTGGGATGCCTTCCCCTATCCCACACCGATATTTCATAAAGATATGCTTCCAGTTATCTATGTATGGACTCAGTAGCTTCTCTGGATTCTGTCCACAGAATCTTTTGCAACAAAACTTCATGGCCAGGTGCAGTGGCTTACGCCTGTAATCCAAACACTTTGGGAGGCTGAGGGGGGTGGATCACCTGAGGTCAGGAGTTCAAGACCAGCCTGGCCAACATGGTAAAACCCTGTCTCTACTAAAAATACACACACACACACACACACACAATTAGTCGGGCGTGGTGATGGGAGCCTGTAATCCCAGCTACTCAGGAGCCTAAGACAGGAGAATCGCTTGAACCTGGGAAGCAGAGGTTGCAGTGAGCCGAGATCGCGCCATCGCACTGCAGCCTGGGCGACAGAGCGAGACTCCATCTCAAAACAAAACACAACAAAAAAAACTTCACGTCCTGACTTAAAGATGCTTTCTCTTTTCTTTCTCATCCCTTTGGTTTTTGTTTACTAGGCAATCCTACTGTTGACTTATAATTTCTGACTTTGATACATAGTGTCTCTTAAAAATCTAAGTTTTTTTAATTGAGTCATCTGTCTTCTTTTCCACTGGCATCACCAACTACCTATGGGCCCAAAAGTCATTCCATAATTGTACATCTCTTTTTTTCTCCTTACACATCTTTTCTTATTTTGTTTTTAATATTAAGAAGGTAATACACAGTATTAATCTTTTTTCAAATAGTACAGAAGCGTATTAAGGGAAACCTGCCTCCTTTATTTTCCCTCCTCCTCCTCCGTGCCCTGTCTCCCCTCAGCTTTCAATCTCCTTCTCCAGAGGTGCACTCTTAATTCCTGGAGGATCCCATCCTTCCAGTTTTCTCTGCATATGCAAGCATATTTTGTCTCCTTGTTTTTTCAACACGCTAATGTTTTTATGTGAAGACAATGCTTTTTCTCTTATTTTGTCCTCAGCCAGAAAAAATCCTCAATCCCTAAAGATGATCAAAGAAGGAGGTTTTATGAGTGCTCTGCAAGCATCTAAAATAAGCTTCCTCTCCTGCCAAAGCCCCACAGGAGCCTGGCATGCACTGTAATTGATGACAGCCTGAACAACCTCCAGACATCACCAAGCGAACACCTTTAGGTATTCACAGACAAAAGCCAGGCATTCAAACTTCCATCCTATTGGGTCTGATTTTTTTTTTTTTTTTTAAGAGGCAATGTGGCAATGTGTTTTGCAAAGGACCCTGAGGAGAAAGGACAGACAGGTTTGTGCAATGGAGAAAAACAACTCAACACCAGAGGAGGAGAATGTAGGCAGGGTGTGTGTACCGGGCTCATTCCAATGAAAGGCCACCCTTGCAAAGGTTCAGGAGTTAATCTCCTGGCAGGGAGACAGTAAGAATTATTTTATTTGTCTCTGATTCAGTAACTTGTGACCATCTACAAACATAGGTGCCCATATGCAAGAAGAGATTTTTTTATCTCATTTGAATAAGGGCCATTTTAAGATTCTTTAATTCTTGTATTCATTTAACATGTATTACTTGGCTCTAGGCTCTCCTGGAGGGCAGAGCTTTGAGTAAAAGGGAGTCATAAAGTTAACTCAGGTATGGATCCTGCTTCCCAGAAGCATTCCCAGAAGCGTATAATCAATTAGTGCAGAAAGAGATCATCTAAATTATATCATCTGAATATAATGTGATAAAGATCACGAGTACAGCTTAAATGCTGCACGTGCTATTAATATCCTTTCAGTCCAATAAACACTTCTGTGAACACGGGTTCTAACACAACTGTCCAGTGACTCAGGAATCCAGGAGTGCCATGGGTGAAAACATAGCATGACCCAGCTGTATATAATTGCTGGCTCTAGACTGAGCAGTGGTTCCTGCAGGAGAAGGGAAAAAGATGAGCATGACAAGTTAAGTGTGAACAGTCCTATCTTCCAAAGGCTTTACAGTATAACCTGACAGCCAATTTCTCAAAGTTTTTCTCTGCTTACCAAAAGCAGTTCTTATTTTCTTATCTGACTTTCTTCACTCAGGTTTGCAACTCCTGAATGAAGAATCCTAAGAGATAAATCAATTTGCTATTGCTGCACTAATGCTACGGAACAATCTTATATCCCTCCATAGCTCATAATCATAACCATTTAGTTTCATGCTCATGGGTCTGCAGCTGCGGTTTGGTTGACATAGGCTATACTAGGCTG
Organism: Homo sapiens; assembly: GCF_000001405.40. NCBI lineage: Eukaryota > Metazoa > Chordata > Mammalia > Primates > Hominidae > Homo > Homo sapiens. The sequence goes on along the minus strand of NC_000004.12, from coordinate 152,687,328 downwards.
GAGTCTGGGTTTCTGATTTTGTGTTCTGCTTCACATTATGGGGCTCATCTTCGAAGATCATATAAATGCAAGATCACAGAAAGACAAGAAGGCAAGTCAAAGTCTGTGATGGCTCTTAGAGACCTTTGACCACACCCAGCACACTGTCTCTCCCATCCATATATCTTTGATCAGAGCAAGTCATACATGGCCTGGCCCAGCATCAGAAAGGCAGGGACATAAACTACCAAGTTGCAAGGACATAGATGAAGAACTGTAATTCAGAAAAGGCATGAAGAACCGGGAACAATGATCTAGTCTACTCCAACGGATTGCCAGTTTTCACGAAGAGAGAATGTAACAATGAGATATGTAAGCAAGTGACCTCTTGCTGCATAGCAAAGTTGTTGTGGACCTTTGGGTGCTAAAGCATGGTTACCAACACCAGTGCTTATTGTTATGTGTTCGTAGCTGAGACGATCATCACTGTAGACATGACGACTTTTGTTCCTGGCCTCAGATAAGCTTTGCATTTGCTGCTTCACAGATAGCGAAGCAACCACATCATGTTTCTTTCCGGTGTATTTGCCTGTTTATTTCCTTCCTCCTGCCCTGATTTCACAACTGTCATGCTTCTCCAACCCACCCTGTTTATGGCTGTCTATTTCAATTCAGTGATGCCCAGCTGTTTGGCAGTTCTGGAAGGCACCACCCTCTATTCTTATCCTGGCAGGACTGTGATGTTGCTGTAAATACAGGCCTTCGTTTCTGGATCTCAGTGATGATGGAAAGGCTTGAGGACCTGGCTGGGTTGTTTGTAGCAGGTCCATGTCTTTAGAAGCTTAGGTCTACCTTTGCCTCTGAAAATCTTTGTATGCGCCTCCCCACCAGGAATCTGATAGACTCATGGAATGTGAGTGCCGGGTCTTAGAGATCATCTACTCAGCCCTACTGTTTTACATATAAGGCAAATGGAGGCAAGAGAATCTCATTAGTGAAAGAACTAAGACTGGGACCTTGGGCTTCTGGTGCTCAATCCAGCGGACCCACCATGTCTCATCACATCCATCCTTCCCTGGAGAGAGTGCATTGCATTGTTACTGAAATTATCATGAATATAAGTGGCAGGATAGTAAATGAAATTCTATAAACATAATATGCATTTGGGAGTCCTGGACACTCTCTGTTTATACACCTACCTGAACCCATCCAAACTAGGAAATTAGACCATTTGATCTACAAAAAGGAGGCCATTCTAAAATATAAACATAAGGAGTTAATTCTTAGCTCTTGGTCCTCTAAGGACTGAAGAACCAATGTTGTATTTTAGAGACAACTTTCCCTATCAACTCTTTGGCATTCTGGAGGCAATTCTAGAAAAAAACGGAAGTGGGGGTAAAGGGTGGAGCAAGGGAGGGACCCAGAAATAACTGAAGTTACTCCCAAATACCTGGGAAATCACTAAACTGATCATATTAGTAAGTGACTGCATTTGGTTTACCACTAGCAGAAGAATTGGAATTCAAAGTTGATGCTGTAATAGAAAACTAGAGCAAGTTACCATTTTCCCATATCTGAATTTGTTACCTGGGAATTCTATACCTCCGGCCAGTTAGCAGGATTGTCATACCAACTGCTAGTACAGGAAACAAAGTGGAATAACACTGCTAGTTAATATGTATAGAAAAAGATCTGGAAGAACTTAAAAACAGAATAATTTTGATTCTGCTTTTTATGTATTTTTAGTTTTTCCACAACAAACATGTATTGTCTCTGTAATATGAAAAATAAGTTATTTAAATTGAAAACTAGTCACCTGTTACCTTCTCTCACCTGATACAATATCCTCTCAAATTTTGCTTATTTCTGGCACTACCCACATATATACCCTGGCACTGGATATACCCTAGCATCTTTCCTAATTATTTTATTTTATTTTATTTTATTATTTTTTGAGATAGGGGCTCCCTCAGTTGCCCAGGCTGGAGTGCAATGACGCAATTATAGCTCACAGCAGCCTTGAACTCCCAGGCTCCAGTGATCCTCCTGCCTCAGCCTCTTGAGTAGCTGGGACTACAGGTAGGTGCCACCATGCACGGCTAATTTTTTTATTTTTTGTAGAGACGGGATCTCACTGTATTGCCCAGGCTTTCTTTTATAATTTGCTACATCCTCCAAATCTTTTGTTCCTTTGTTTTTTCTAGTTCCATTGGTGTTGAAGATTTAGTTCGCAAGGGCACTATCAACTGTGAATCGGGAAAGTCAAATTCAACAGAAAAGCAAAAGAAGAATCATTGAGGCCATCAATCTGCATGTATCATTCTGGAGTGGACTTTGGTATAAATACTATATATTTATTAATGAGGTATGTCCTACTTGCAAAATATTTGGAGAGACTTGGGTGGAAAAGGCCTTAAGATATGATTTGATCAAAAACAAAACAGCAATAGAAGAAGAAGTCTAGTTCCTTTTAACAGATGCAGGAGACCACAGATGAGTGAGACGAGGGTAATCAAGGCGGGGAGACAGAGACACAGCCAGGTCTTCTGGTTGTATTCTGATGGGTGTTATGTGGGTGGCAGTAAAGGATGAGCATTTTGTTCAGCTTGGGTTAGGGGGAGGAGGAAGGCTTCTAAGATAGCTCCCTGGTGGAGATGTCTTCTAAATTAGGGCTAGACAGATGAGTTACAGTTAGCCAGGAAAAGAAATATTCCTAGAAATGGTAAAGACACCTGGGCTAATAAAAGTTACACAACCAAGCTTCAACTTTTAGTTCCAGGCCTCCTGGCAGTCAAGGCAAAACAGGAAAATACAACGTGCTTTTTATTTCTTACCTTTGGAGAAAAGGGACCTTTCTAGGAACTAGCAATAATTTCCAGGAACTAACTAACACATGATTCTCGAGTTTTATCTATCATGCATAAAAATCCCCTCAAACATTACAAATACAGAGTTATGGACCTCAGCTCTAGGGATTCTGACTCAATAGTTCTGGCATAGGGTCCAGGACTCTGAATTTTAACAAGCTCCCCTGAATAATTCTAACATAGGTGGCCCCCTCCAGTGCACTTAAAAAAATACTGCTGTAAAGGGATTTTCCCCCCATTTACTCACTTCTCTGTTCTCTGTCCTAAATGCTGAGGATAGACTGGAGAGCAAGACAGAGAATGCCATTGCTCTCAGAGGGCAATTAGAGGAGGACTGTGGATGTTCAGCAGTGAGCTGCTGCTCTGTCTCTTAGATACGCCCCAGCACCCTCTAGCCCAGAGCGCTGCACTGTGTCCCACGTGTCAACTGCCACTTTAGCTCCTAATCACAATCCTTTACAGTTTCATGTTGTGGTGACCAGGCCATCTACCTAGGCCCTGGAAGACCCTGTCATGGAAGCCCCTAGGATTATCCAAACCTTGCAACAGTTTCTCTGAAGAGTATTGGCAGCCAGGATGCAGAGACAGAGACCCCCAAGGGTGGAGATAGGCTGGTCAAGATGAGCCCGGCTGTGCAGGCTCCAGCTGCCCCCACTTCACGCGCAGTGAGATGGCTGTCAGCCCCTCTCCTGGCTGTGGCTTCTCTGCACACGCTAAATGTCAGCCTAATCCTTCTGCCCCAGCCTCTGCCCTGCCCGGCTACCTCTCTGGGCATTCCTTCAGAACCTGGGACTTCAATCTGCCTCCTCCCTGCACCTTCCTAGCTGGCTTCAGAGTGATACACAGGCCCCACCTGATGTTACTATTATCTTGTTTGAGGGCCAGCCCACAGCCAACCAAACACCCAGGAACCATCCACTGTCACTAGCAGGCATTTAGACAGAGAAAGAAGCTCCAGAACATTTGTATGTGAGTGTCGATGTGAGAGCGTGTGTGTGTGAGCACGTGTGCACATTTCTGAGTATGTGAGTGTGCCTGTGGGTGTGTGTTGGGAGACTGGATGTACAAATGGACAGTGGCCAAATAATATATGCAAAAACAGAACACTGGCTCCCAGCTTGCAGCAACCAACCCCCAGAAACCAATTCACTATCTTCAGTAGCAAGTCTAGGAAGCCAGCCTGCTAGAAATCAAACTTGTAGGAGGTCAGAGCACCTTCTGACAGATTCCCTCATTTTTATCTCCTCTTCTGATCTAGCAGCAGCAAAATATGCACCTCCTCACCAATCACTAGAACTTGCTGCTGGTTCCCCATGCCAGCAGCCTCCCTTCAGGCCATACCTGAGCCTTCCTTTTGTTTTTTTTCTGAAACGACTCTTGCTCTGTCGCCCAGGCTGGACTGCAATGGTGGGATCTCGGCTCACTGCAACCTCCACCTCTCAGGTACAAGTGATTCTTCTGCCTCAGCCTTCCGAGTAGCTGGGATTACAGGTACCCCGCATCATGCCCGGCTAATTTTTGTATTTTTGTAGAGATGGGGTTTTACTATATTGGCCAGGCTGGTCTTGAACTCCTGACCTCAGGTGATCCGCCCACCTTGTCCTCCCAAAGTGCTGGGATTACAGGTATGAGCCACTGCACCCGGCCCTGAGCCTTCCTTTTATCGACTGTAAAGTTATCTCATTCCTTGGCCTGCCTTTGGGTCTGTGCCAAAATGCAGCGATGGTGGCTGACTCTCTTGCTATGGCAAGCTCTGAATTAATATCCATTGCTTGGTTTCATTTGCTTGTGCTCATTTAGTCTTCATTTATTTCCACCATGTGCATGAATGTGTGTGTGAGAGACAGCTGTGTGTGTATCTGAGTGCATGTGCACATCTGTGTGTATTGGGAATGGCAGGATCGGAGTGTGAAGAGGAACGCGGAGAAGGCTGTCTGCACCCACTGGAAGATCCTATCATTTATCTGGATTTGTTCCCTTGGAGTCCCTCTTCTTTTATGGCCCATGGAGTGGTGGTGGGGAGGGGGCGGGGGGAAGGGAGGGAGGATAGGATGAGAGTCACTTCTGTAGCACAGACAGTTGATTGTAAAAGTCACACTCCTTTGTGTAAAGTAATAAAGAGTCCCTAGACATGGTTCCCAGTGTCCCTTCCTGCCCTTCTGAACATGATGAAGCACCATACTTCTTTCCTGCTTTCAGACAGCCAATGGCAGGCTCCAAAGTGGCATTACCCCTGCCTGTGTGCCACTCACTCTGAGGTTCCCCTGTGCCCCACATCTGGGACTGAGGCCCTGACTTCCTGCCACCAGTGCATCGGGATTTAATCTGAGGCTGGGTGGCTATTTGCCTAAATTAATGGTTGCTAAAATTAAAACAGAGGTAAATAGCCCTTTACCTACCACACAGCCTCCCTGGGATTTTAACTGCAGCAAAGAGATCATTGAGGTGCTACCATTTTCTGATCAATCATGGTAATTTTCTTCCCCCTAAGATCAGCTTAATCATGCTAAGGGTCTTAGAGAGCACAGGGGTCAAAAGAAAATTACATGGTTGGGCAGGATTTCTCTGCAGCTCCAGTTTATTTTGTACCTCACTCTGATTTAGTGTTGCACTGCTCAGAAGCAATGCATAGTGCACTTGTTGAAACAGTAATGAACTGTTTGGCCATGTCATGGGGCTCAGCAGAGGTCCACAGAATAAGACAGTCTGTGGTCCAATCCACAGACACCTGACTGCAAAAGCTTCCACAGGGAGCTGAAGTTTAAGATGAAAGAAACGAAGGCTGACAACCTTGCCCTTGACAAACATTTGCCTCCAGCCTGGGATTCAACAATGTTTTAATAACATTTAATAATATTTTAATAGGGCATAAATGGTAAAATGGAGAGAACTCCCAAGCCCTGGGCCTGCTTTCTTGCACGTGTGTGTCACAGCTGCAGAAACACGTGCTTGTACAGGAATAATTGCCACCCCAACTCAGTACCAGCAGGTCTTGGAGCCCGTGATCTATTCACATGCTCAGCAAGTGTTTAATTAATAGTTCTTTCTCTGTTGTTTTCAAATCAATCACCCAGTTTTGAGCACGTCTATTTTCTCCTGCTGTTTGTTCTGTATTGTCACCTGTGGTGCAAAAAGCATATTTTATCAAGAATTGACTTAATTGCCAGTTTAAAACATTAAAGTGCATACTGTAAATCCATTAACAAACTGATCCTTACATGAATCACCAACCTATTTCTTGTGAATAATAACTGAGATAAACAGTGACTAATGACATTGAAAAGCAGCAATGCATTAAAGAAAAATTAACAGCTATGTCAGGGGCTAAGGAATTCCAGTCACCTCATACGTTTGCACCAACCAGATCACTGAAGACAAACGACGGGAAGTCATGACTCAGATGGTGATCTGCAGGGAAAGGTTTAGAGATGAGATGTGTCTGATGCCTCAACACTACCCCTCTCTCCATCTGTCTGTCTCTCTTGGCACCACGATTATGAAACTGCATTCTGAATGCTTAGGCCCTAAACCTAAACCAAGGGAAGGACCTCCAATAGAACACCCAACACACACTAATCTCCACTGTATACTAGACACAACCTTTCTGTATTGTTTCGATTGGATAGGATTTCTACCATTATTCTATTTCGTTTCTGTCCTGTTTTGTTTGTTGTCTGAGAACTTGATTGTCAAGTAAGAAGGAAGGAAGGTGAGATGCAGATTCACCCCTACCTCCACCCTCAGAGCATATTCTCCTTTGGAAATGGACCTTGAAAAGATCATTTCTCTCTGGGGAAGCAGAACATAACCTTAAGGTGTGGGTGTGGCATCCACCTCCATCTGGCGTGGGCCTTGGTGGGAGGAGGGCATTCCAGAGTGGAGAAAGGAGAATGGACCTGGCGGAGAGAAGTGGTCTGGCAGTTTTCTGATGATGCAGTTGTCCCTGCTGTCTGGGCCTGCGCTATCCAACACAGCAGCCACTAGCCACTTGGAGTTATTAAAATTTTATAAAAATTCAATAAAATTTAAATTCCATCAGCACTAGCCTCAGTTCAAATGCTCAGTGGCCAATGTGGCTGATACTGTATCAGACGGCGCAGACTTGGAACATTTCCATCAGGGCAGAAAGTTCTACAGGACAGCTTCTTCCTAGGGTCTAGGCAGCCCCGGAGCCTCACCTGGGGGATAAGCAAAATCACAGAGTGAGAATGCGTGTGGTCCAGGACCCCTCCCAGTCCCAGATACCGAACGACATCTGAGCAAGGGACTCTGTTGCCCCGGGGACGGTTTCAAAAGCTGGAGGCCGGGACTCCAAAGGGCTGGAGAGGCGTGATAATAGAACCAGTGCTTCAACAGCAACTTCTCTTTTGCAATCCTTGCTGGTCTGACAGGCTCCTGCAGAATTACATCACTTCCTAAAAAACAGGCACACACCTCTCCTTCAAGTCAGCACCGACCCAAACAAGCAGGAAACAGGAAATGTTCACGTTTCAGAGAGGCTGCAGCCCGGCGCAGCATCCTGAGCGCGCCTCTGCCGAGGCGAGCGGACATGCAGGCTCCCCGCGCAGCCCTAGTCTTCGCCCTGGTGATCGCGCTCGTTCCCGTCGGCCGGGGTAAGCCGCCTCCACTTCCTACTCCTGGGAAGGAGGATCGCAAAAGCTGGTAGGGTGCCCGAGGCTACAGAACTCTGCCGGGGAGGGTGACACCCAGAAAATCTAATCCTTTCTGTGAAAGAAGTGGAGAAAATTAGAACTCCTTTTTTTGGGGGGTGGGATGGAGAGGGGACTTCGCTTTCGCTGCAGCTGTCTAAACTGGCTACAGCTCTCACTTCATTTAACCCTCTTTCAGTCTTTGTCTTCCAGGAAGTGTGCGTCCCTGTAATTTACCAGCTTTAATGGGCATATTAAGAAAACCATAAACTTTTTGGCAGTTTATGTAAAAAAAAACAAAAGCTTCAATTGGCTGAAACAGAGACATGATTAATTTGCTTTTTATGGTGTGGGCTGAGAAGTCTGCTGATTCCAAAATCTCCTGGAAAAACTGGGGTGTGAAAATTTACTACTAGAAAGCATACTAAAGAAACGACATAAACTTAAAAAAAAAAAAAGGAAACGGGAAATTATCCGAAGAGCTACCAAAGAGCTATGTGTTAGAGGGTAGCCCTCTAACACATCAAGTAAGGTCTTTCATCTACTTTTATTGCACCTTGTTACTTTTACAGATTTTTTTTTTGCATTGATTGTTACTAATGAAGATTTGTTTGAAAAAGTAATATGATTGGAACCAATCAAAGGTATTGGAAAAAACAATATTGAATCTCATTATTATGGGCTAAAAGCAACAACTGATTTACACCCTTGCCAGTTGCTACAACAAGCACAAGCACCTTCAGCTGCCTCTCTTGTTGACTTGCCTTTGGGCAAATACACTGGCTGCCCATTGTTTCTGTCAATGAACACCGACTGCTTCTAGTGTAGGGCAGTATTTACCAAGCAAAAGGAAAGTTCTCAAGCTACAGTTCTTTAGATAGAATGAGGGACATCAGCCCCAACCTAACAGATGTGACAACTTCCTGGAGGTCAGCAGCCAGCACCCAGCCACCCCACTCCATCAATTTCTCTTCCCCTGGGTGTTCTCCATGTGGTCCCCCAGGCATCTGAGGTAGAAAACAAAGTGGAAGGCAAATCATTCCAGCTGAAAAGATGTCTGGTTAAATTGAGTTTAGTGTTCAGAGTGGGTTTGGAAGTTGATGTGTTGTTTTATGCCCAGTGTTTTGGAGCTGGAAGGGAACTTGAAGATGATGCAGCTCAAACCATATTGGGCACACAGGTGAAGAAACAGAGGTGGAAGAAGGGAGATGTCTGGGTCTTGCTGCTAGTCAGCTCTTCTGGCTTCTACTCCAGAGTTCTTTGAGCTCCTCCACCCCCCACCACCACTGCCCCCCTCCCCCCACCGCCGCCCCGGAACCAATCACTGTCTCTGCCAAGAGCTCTGGAACCTTTCGTAGTAGGACATCAGGGAAGAAAAGCCTAGCCATCCTCCTTCCACCTCTTCTATTGCACAACACTGCCACAGGTGCCTCAAACACTCCCTTAATACTAATTCATCTTGCCTGAACTTTTTTTTTAGCTTCTAAAAAATGATTGAGTCCTAGTGTCTGCAATTCAGGAGATGCAAAAAGAGAATCTGAAGAGACTTGGTTAAAGTTGCCTTTCTGACACCTGAATCTGATCGTGCACATCTTCCCCCTTAAGGACCCCTCATTTATGCCCCTTCACTTGTTCCTCATTTTTGCCCCTTAGACTCTCACTGCAACCTCCTTCCCAGTGGCACCTCCTTCCAGTTGTCGTCCCCCTCCGTGGCTCTTGCCTATAATGAATACATTCTTTTTCCTACCTAGCAAATTCTTGTATCACCTTAAAAGTATCAAACTAAATGTGATCTCCTCCTTGATGTCTCCTTTCTCTGCCCCTTCCCTGGAGCTCTACTCGTACCTGCTGCTGTGCCCCGATAGACCTAAACTTCTGCTAATCACTTTGAACCATAATTGTGTCCATGCCTCCCAACTGGCTGTGAACAGCTCCAGGGAAAATCCTCTGTAGTTCACCTTTGACTTTCCAAAATCCTGTAAGGGCTCAGCATAAATGAGAAAATAATTGTTGATAAATATGAAAATCATCCCTAGAATGGATATGAGGCTGATTACAAAAAAAACTGATAGCTCCTGAAAACAGGTAGTGTTGGAATGTAAAGAGAAGTCAAAGATGAAAAGTTGCATTTCAGTAGAGTGCAGGGATTACCTAAATAATCCAACATGCTAATTGGGCCCTGCTGGGATTCCCAATGTCTGAAAAATGCCCACTTGCAAAAAGCTGTTGAATAAAAGCTATGACTTTGAGATGATTCATCATGGAAAAGGTGATTTTAAATTAAAGATTTTTAAAATTAATTAATGTACACTACTTTTAGCTAATAGTGCCTAAGGCTTCAGGATATGAGTTACTTTCTAGGTGTCACAGGTATATTTCCTTGAATTCTTCAAAAAATACCTGGGGATGTTTGTTAGATGAATCCAACCTACTGAAGGGCCTGACACTGTTTGTGAGTATACTCTGAGATGTATCTCAAATTAAGCCTTTATTAACAACGAGCAGGCAACATGAGATAATATCTGCAGTTGCATGAGACCAGCACTGTTACCTCTGAGTCAGCGACCTCTTCTCTTTTTAGAGATAGATAGCCTGACATAGAATTGAGTTCTACCCCAAGAGAAATAATTCACTTGGAAGTCACCAGGAGAGAAATAAGAAAGCAGCTTTTCTGGGACTATAATGGAATGGGTGAGCATAGTTAAAGGAAAGCTTGGGCCTAGGTGCCTTGGCCAGTGTAGGATCCTAAGAAAGTTCAAACTCAAGGAGATGTTCTGCTCATGGAGTAAAGTGGGGCAGGGGTGTCCCCGTCTCTGTTCTTTATGCCCTGTCAGTGTCAGCTTAATACTATCAGAAAACCAAAAGCAATTTCCTAAATACCAAAAGCATGGGATTTGTTAGTTGCTAAAAGCAGAATTGTTGCAGAAGGGAGAGCTGAAGGCCATGAGGCAGAAACAAGGATGCTGTGACTGTTTTGGTGGCCAAACAGAGAGGAATGGGAGATTTTCTGGGCTGGTTCAGAAGAATAAGAATTATATAAGTATTGGATGAATCTTGACAAGGAGAGAAAGAATAGTAGAAAATACTAGCTATGTAAGTAAGGCTACACATTCTGACACTGTGGTATCTCATATCTTATTTTAATGAACACGGCTGACATCTGCTGTTTCCTGGGACAGTCCCAATTTCAAGTATTAATAACAATAGTAGCTAACATATATAGAACTCATTATAGGTCAGGCACTATTCTAAATGCTACATTCACTAACTCATTTAATTCTCAGAACAACCTTATAAGGTGGGCACTATTATCCCTGTTTTTACATTTGAGAAAACTGAGGCACAGAGAGGCTAAGTGACTTGCCCAAGGTCACACAGCTAATTAGTGAATCTAAGTAAGATTCTGCCTCAGGAGTCCATTCTCTAACCATACTCCATACTACCTCTGGGTTTCCAAGCTCTGCCAGGCTACTCGTTTAGTTTTGGGTTTAGAAAACTGTGGTTGTTGAACCTTTCCAGCTGTAGGTGCAGCACAGAACTCTTGGCTAGGCTTTGCGGTGGCTGCATGTCAATTATAGAGCTGCATTTGTTTGCACTGGGTCAGAGACTGGCTGAGAGGAAGAGGAATGATGAGAGTTGGGTTAAAACTCAGACTGCTGAGGAGGAAGGGAGGGGCTGAAAGAGGTGCAGAGTGAGCACAAGAGAATCTGGGGATTTAAGACTAGAAGCAGGAAAAACAGAATGTTGAAGTCACTGGGTAAGAGGCTTCAGGGTGTGGGAACCAGCGAGGAGAAGAACAGCCTTATGTCAGGCAGTCACTGTGGGAGAGCCCTACTGAGAACTGGCCATTACGACCAAATACTCTAAGGGACTCCCCCAAAAAACAGACAGAGAGGATGAGCTTTAAAGTCCTTCTGTGTCTGAAATTTGGAATCCCAGGAAACCATAAGAGGGAAGATATTGACTGGGATGGGCTCAATTCTGTAATGAAGCAATGCAAACTGCAGCTTGCCTATTCGTATGTAGTTTGTACCACTCTCAAATGTTGGCAAAGATATGGAGAGACAGGAACTCTGCACTACTGGTCCGAGGGTAGATTAGTGCAATCACCTTGTCTATCTTGACGGTCAAGCCATCCATTGGGCTTTTAATTTTAGTCATCATTATTTGGCATTTCTAGAAAATTTGTTTTTTTTTTTTCTTTTTGAGACAGAGTTTCACTCTCGTTGCCCAGGCTGGAGTGCAATGGCACGATCTTGGCTCACCGCAACCTCTGCCTTGTGGGTTCAAGCGATTCTCCTGCCTCAGCCTCCCGAGTAGCTGGGATTACAGGCATGTGCCAGCACACCCGGCTAATTTTGTATTTTTAGTAGAGATGGGGTTTCTCCATGTTGGTCAGGCTGGTCTCAAACTCGCGACCGCAGGAGATCCACCCTCCTCGGCCTCCCAAAGTGCTAAGATTACAGGCATGAGCCACCTCACCTGGCCTATGTGTTCTTTTTTTATACACATTGTGCTTTGGGTTTTTTTCCCTTGTGTTATTTATTCCTTCTTTTATGTCATTATTTTAAACATCTTATTATCTATTTGGTAACTTTTAGCTAAAGTTTGTGTAGACATAATCTTGCCGCTTGTCATATCTGTTGCCTCACATTCTTTTTTTTTTTTTTTTTTTTTGAGATGGAGCCTCGCTCTGCTGCCCAGGCTGGAGCACAGTGGTGTGATCTCGGCTCACTGCAACCTCCACTTCCTGGGTTCAAGCCGATTCTCCTGCCTCACCCTCCCCAGTAGCTGGGATTATAGGCGCATGCCACCACACCTGGCTGATTTTTGTATTTTTAGTACAGACAGGGTTTCACTATGTTGGCCAGGCTGGTCTTGAACTCCTGACTTCAGGTGATCCACTCACCTCGGCTTCCCAGTGTGTTGGGATTACAGGCATGAGCCACCGCACCTGGCCTTGCCTCCCATTCTTGATGGAAATCGTGGGGGCCCTGAGAGCAGAACCTGGTACACCGAGGATGGCTCACCCTACTTAACAGAACCCCAAATTATCTGATCCTGTCACCAAGCTACTATAAAGTGCTCTAAGCCCCAATTCTTTTCGAATATACCCCCAGCCTTGTTATCACAAACTAGGATTTGGAAGAAACTGAGACAGGGGTGTGCTTAAGGGAGCCCATGATTGGACCTCAGGCTTAATCCCCAGCCTTGAATGGGAAGTGGCAAGCATCAGAGGTCAGCTTCCAAGAGCTGCAGGAGGAAGCAACAAAGCCTCCATGAGGGGGTAAGCTGGCAGACCAGAGCCGGCAGTGGAGCAAGCCAGGCGCCAGAAGTAGGTAACCAAGGAGACTGAACTGATTGCCCTCAAGAAAGAAGAAAGGAATAGAGCAATCCAAATTGAAAATCAGAGGAGGGCCCAGGTTCCACAGGTGTCAGGATGATGGCAAGATCAGCCTGGGGTAGCTGACCTGACTCTGAACTTTGCCAAAGTCATTTCAGTGACTTTTTTTTCTTATACCATGGTCTGAAATTTTAGCTTTAACTGTTGACCCAGTGAATGGACAGGAGCTCCCTGAAAACATTATATAGCCTGTTATCTCCCTGGGCCCACACCTTTGTTGAGGAAATGCGCATTGGTAGATATAACTCCGAATTTCAACTTCCTCTAAGCATTTAAAAATATATATCTCTCCTAAGCCTTAGGTATTTTCTTGCTTTCTTGAGATTTCTTTATGCATTTAAAAGATTGCCTTTTATGTTTTATTCAACATTTCTAGGTGTTGCACATTGGGAGAATTTTCAGGTTACCGCATTTATCAGATTATATGAAAAAGGAAATTTTTCTATACAACCATTCTGGAGAATAATTTGGAAATATTACACAAGCAGAAGATGTTCATGCTCCACAATCCCAAGAATTGACTCCTAGCTCACTCACAAATGTGCAGTCAAAAGATATGGCTGAGGTTGTTGATGATAGCATTGTTTGTAAAAATGAAAAACAAAACAAAACAAAATGAAAGCAACCTAAATGTCTATCAACAAAAGGAAAAATAATATTTAGTATAGTCACAGAATGAGTACAACATAACAAGTAAAATTAATGAATTCCAGCCAAATGTATCAAGGTGAATCAGTCTCAAAAGTCATGTTGATACACGTATCAAATGTATCAAGCCAAATGTATCAAAAGTCATGTTGATGAAAAAGTCAGTTAAAGATTATTATGCCACCAGGCATGGTGGCTCAGGACTGTAATCCCAGCACTTTGGGAGGCAGAGGCAGGCGGATCACTTGAGGTCAGGAGTTCGAGACTAGCTTGACCAATGTGGTGAAATTCCGTCTCTACTAAAAATACAAAAATTAGCTGGGCATGGTGGCGCATGCCTGTAGTCCCAGCTACTCGGGAGGCTAAGGCAGGAGAACTGCTTGAACCTGGAAGGCAATGGTTGCAGTGAGCTGAGATTGTGCCACTTCACTCCAGACTGGGCAACAGAGTGAGATTCTGTCTCAAAACAAATAAAGAAGTAAATAAAATTATTATGCAGAAGCGGGGTGGGAAAAAAAAAAGAAAAAAAGGATTACTATGCATAGAATAATTATACTTATTTAAACATGTTTAAACAACCAAAATTACGCTATATATTGCTTAGGGACATAGACATGTTTGAAAAGTGGGAATGATACACAGTAACTTTAGGACAATAATTACCTTTGACGAGTGAGGAAGAGAAATGAGATCAGGGAGGGGTGTAATGAGGGCTTCAATTATATCCAAAATATTGTTTCTGTCAGCAAAAAGATGGTAGTCCAGGGCTCAGCAAACTAAGACCCATGGGCCAAACCCAGCCAGCTTCCTTTATTTCCAAGCTAAGATTGATTTTTACATTTGTAAATGGTTTTACCTTTAATGTTTATATAAATAAGTGCTTTCATAATAGCTGGTATTTGCCTCTTGGCCCACAAAATCTAAAATGTTTACTCTCTAGCCTTTTAGGAGAAAGTTTGCCAACCTCTGCTCTTGTCAATATGGAAAAATTTAAGATAATTAGGGGATGAGTGCCTTGTTACTTGTTAAATCATCCTCTATTCTTTTCAGTAGGTATACTTTCATAATGGAAAATAATGAGAGAGCCTGTGAGTTCTTCTTGCTCTCCTCCATCTTTCTTTTTCACGTCTCCCAGTCTCTTTGAAGATGGTCAATACACTCTCAGTTTCTCACATTCCATTCATTTCTCAATCCTCTGCCATGTGGCTACTGTGTCAGGTACAGATTTCAGATCGCTCTGTCTCCATCACCAGTGATTCCTAAAAGCTAAACCCAAAAGACCCATTTCTGTGCTTATTTTATGTTTTTCTCCATAGCACTTGTCCTAATTAATCAGTGATTGCAGCTCTCTTATCCTTGATCTTCACGATGCTCTTTTCTTCTGGGTCCCCTACTGTGACTCTGATTGCTTCTTTCCAGTGTTTGGTTATGAATCTTTCTCTACCACCTGCTCATTTCATGTCAGTGTTCTTTTCTTTTCTCACTCCTTACACCAGTCCTGGGTCATGACAACCCTTTTTTTTTCTTAAGGGTTTCACTTTGTCACCCAGGCTGTATAGTACAGTGGCACGATCTTGGATTCAAGCCTCTGGGTTCAAGCAATCCTCCCACCTCAGCCTCCTGAGTAGCTGGGACTACAGGCGCATGCCACTACACCCGGCTAATTTTTGCTTTTTTTTTTTTTTTTTTTTATAGAGATAGGGTCTCTGTATGTTGCTCAGCTGGCCTTGAACTTTTGGGCTCAAGCCGTCCTCCCACTTAGACCTCCCAAAGTCCTGGGATTATAGGCGTGAGACATTGAGCCCAGCCACACCCACTTTCATCTCACCCCTGGGTTGGGGATTCCCAAATAACCACCTCCAGCCAGACCTATCTGCCCAACCTGGTATTTTCATCACCGGTTTTCCCTGGACATGTCACAGGGGCCTTAAACTCAGTTCCAAAACAATACTCATTCTTTGCTCCCTGCCAGTTCAGACTCCTGTGGGCTCTCACCTAGGCTATTTTCTTTTCTTTTTTTTTTTTTTTTTTTTTTGAGACGGAGTCTCGCTCTGTCGCCCAGGCTGGAGTGCAGTGGCGGGATCTCGGCTCACTGCAAGCTCCGCCTCCCGGGTTCACGCCATTCTCCTGCCTCAGCCTCCCAAGTAGCTGGGACTACAGGCGCCCGCCACTACGCCCGGCTAATTTTTTGTATTTTTAGTAGAGACGGGGTTTCACCGTTTTAGCCGGGATGGTCTCGATCTCCTGACCTCGTGATCTGCCCGCCTCGGCCTCCCAAAGTGCTGGGATTACAGGCGTGAGCCACCGCGCCCGGCCTAGGCTATTTTCTTAACTTCTTAACCAGTCTTCTTGCCTCTAGTCTCATCTCCAACCCATTTTCACATAACCTCCAGAGTGATGGTTCTGCAATAAAAATGGAATCATTTCCTCCTGTACTCATCCCTCAGTGGTTCTTCATCTCCTTGAGATAGAGTCCAATCCCCTTGGCATCATTACAAGCTAATGATGAGCTGGTCTTGAGTTCCTTTCCTGCTTTACATTTGCTACTTCCTGCTTCCCACCGTGAGCCCTATAATACAGCCACTTGAGTGTGCCAAGCTCTGTTGGGCCACTGAGTCTTTCTGTATGCTGTGCCCTCAACTGTAATGCCTTTCTCTTCCCTCTTTGCTTGAAGAACTCCCAAGGTTCAACTGACTGGTCCATTCCCCTGCATCAAATACCTGAGTACCCCTTAGCCCCGAATGCAATGAATGTCTTCCTCTCCCATGTACTCATGAGACTTTGTATACAAACACATGATGGCTTTTATTAATCTGTATTATAATTACCGATTTGCATGCCATCGTCCCTACTTAACAGCCACTTCCCTGGGAGGCAGAAGCTGGTCTCATTCACCTGCACTTGCCAAATGGCCACTTAGAATGGCCACTTGCACGTTAATAGGCACACAACAAAAGTGTAGTGGCTGACTCAATGAATGCATAAACATGAAATTTATCAAATGCCCCAAGATTTACTTGTATATATGAGGAGATTGTAATCATTTAAATAATAAAATCAAAATATATCAATACTTGGATAAATGTTATTTTTAGTTAACCCAGTTTTATAATTTTATTCCAGAATATTAGCTAACTATCCCAAATCTTTTATTTATTTAGTTATTTTATTTTATTTTTATTTTTTTGAGATGGAGTCTTACTCTGTTGCCCAGGCTGGAGTGTAGTGGTGCAATCTCTGCTCCTGCAACCTCCGGCTCCCGGGTTCAAGCGATTCTCCTGCCTCAGCCTCCCGAGTAGCTGGGATTACAGGCACCTGCCACCAAGCCCAGCTAATTTTTTTGTATTTTCAGTAGAGATGGTGTTTTACCATGTTGACCAGGCTGGTCTCAAACTCCTGACCTCAAGTAATCCGCCCACTTTGGCCTCCCAAAGTGCTGGGATTACAGATTACAGGCGTGAGCCACCGCACCCGGCCTCCCAAATCTTTTAATGTATGAACAGTTCACCTCTGTCCCTTCAAACCAAAACAATTATTGCACTCTGCCCCCGCCAGCCTTCCTGGAGAAAATACTATGTAGCTGCGGAGAAAACATTTTTACCCACCTTCTGAAAATATGAACACAAGTTCAGACCCAGAAAAATACACAATAAGTGGCAAAATTATTTACAGAAAGGATACACAGTTACAAGCATTTTGGGGAGACATTTGAAAGGAAAACAAAGGAAATACAAGTTCCATGGATACTTAACTTCAAGCCAGTAAGAGCTGATTTGATAACTTTAAAAATAACTAAACTTTGTGTAACATAAAACTCATGGGAAAATCTACTCCAGTTGTTGAGGAAAACACAGAAATATTTCCTGAGTAATTAAAGAAGGTGGTTAAAAGAAGAGTTACCTAACAGAACAGTATTCTGGTAGTTGTTCTGGCTTCTTTTCCTTAAAACCAATAAATCTAGTTTGTTTCTGAATTTTTTCTATGTTTCATATGAGTTAAAACCATCGTTGTTATTTTCTACTTCACACTACACTGTAATTTTCAGAAACGGGATTCCAATGGTTGCCAAGGTTTGCTGACATATTGTAATTATTCCCTGACAACACTAAATGCATTCATTTAAAAATTGATTTATTCTTTTCTAAGACTTATACTTGTTTGCTTATTTGTTTATGATTAAGATTGCCACATTTAACAAATAAAAATATAGGACAACCAGTTAAATGTGAATTTCAGATAAGCAATGCTTTCCTTTAGTATAAGGATGTCCTTTACAATTTAGTATAAGTATGTCCTTTACAATTTAGTATAAGTATTTAGTACAAATATTACATGGGACATGTAACTAAAAATGTTTCATTGTTTATCTGATACTCAAATTTAACTAGGCATCCTGTATTTTACCTAGTAATTTTATTTCGGATTGTGATTATCTTTTATCAGGCAAAGACCATCTCTGTGTTGGTTCTGGTTCATCACTAACATCATAGACATGTTGGTTATGTACAGCTACGTATTAGAATAATATTTAGGCTGAGTCCTAGATCAACCATTCAAATAAAAAGAGACCATTTCTGAAAAAAAATACTGATAATTACATAGAATAAAACCAGGAATTCAAGAGCAGATCAACTTTTAAAAAATCTGTGAATGTAATCACGTTAAAAACTAAGTTAGGAAAAAATAATAAGTTTGTATTAATAAATGCACAAGAGAGGTTGACAAAGAGAGTGAGACTAGCACCAAATCGATAGCTCCAGCCACGATAGGAAAATTCAGAGTGCTTGAGCCTAGAAGACTGTTCAGGATGGAAGGGTAGGATTGATTCTCTTTGAAGGTGAAATAGGACCAGAAGCCCAGTTGCTTTAGGGATCTGTTCGGGGCTTAGCTGATCCAAGGAAATGCGACCCACGATTCTTCAAAACCTCAGCAACTTGTTTCCTTCTTCAGCCTCTTGTAGGAAAGCATCAAACGCTGTTGCTCCTGTGCTCCTGCTTAGGCTGGCGATGGGGACTCTGGTGCATATCCTCTCCCTGTTGTTCCTCCTTCACTCTTGGTGGCGACCAAGCCCCTGGGGTGGCAGCCCACAGCGTTCCCTGGTTTCCTATCTTTAACTTATCACAAGCACCCACCTACCAGTTGTTGTTTTGTTTGTCTCTGTCTTCCAGTTTTTCTCTCTGGCAATGCTGAGCTTGTGCTGAGCCGAGCAAGGAGTGGGATGCGCATGTACCCCATGAAAGAGCTCTTCACCTATGGAATGGGGTGGCGGTGTCTTCCCACCCTGCCTCAGAGGCCAGGGAGACGGCAGATGTCTTGAGGCAAGGGCATGGCTGGGAGTATCTGTTTTCAAGTTACTCTTTTCAATTATAATTTTGAAATTGGCCCTTGAAAAGAAGAAATATAATAAAATAAGTAGAAATATAGTAAAATTGGGAAAGTATTCAGTTTGGCAATAACGATCATTTAATAATCCTTTTTTTTTTTTCATTTCAAAGCACTTTCATGTTGCTTATCTCATTGATGGTACGAAGAACTTTTTGAAGGTTTTAAAATATATTTGTGTTCTGTCTCCTAAAAATACGCATTCTTTAAAACTGCCAGGTGCTACAGGTTACTGTAGGATTCCAGTGTATAAAAAGGTAGTCAGGCGGTCAAAAATGCAGCTTCCCCAAGTGAGTGACTTCAAACCAGAAACAGCCTTGGGGCCTGAGCAAATCTGATTAAATGTGAGCAAGCTTCCTCTTAAAAAGACATCAAAATAAAAGTTTCAAATGAAAAAGACATTGGAACATTGTGGGTCTCCCCACTGTGAAACATGTTTTAATCTGATAGTAAATTACAGTTGCAGGTGTGCTTCTCAATTCAAGGAGGTAAAAATACAACAAACCCTAACGAGTAATTTCCCAGAGCAGACTACTGGCTGAAAGTGTTTTACCAGACAACCTCCTCAAAACCAGAAAAAAGAATCCTTTCTTTATGTTCTTTCGATGCAAGGCATCATCACCTCTAGTTATCTGGTGGCTGAAGAGAAAAAGTGTACAAAACACAGGCATTGCTTGATGATCTCAAATACCTTTCTGCACTTACAAGCTGCCATTAATCTTCAATGCTTCTGCCTTGTATCTGTTCAACCACCTATTTACTCTGTCCATAACTTCTTCAAGTAAATTAGTCAGAAAAAACATATTAGGTGAAGGCTTTCACTTAATAAAATTGGCAAATATGTAGAACAACTGAGCTTATAAGAAAACAGCAATCCCTCCTCTTCTCGAGTCCTGCTCCCAGAGAGAATCAAGTCACCTGACCTTTACGTGGGGGCAAATGCATGAACCACCCTCATTGCTCCTGACAAAAAAAAAACTATAAACATGAAGTCTCATTATTTAGGATGCATAAGTTGTTATTAAGCAATTCCTCCATTCCCTTGTATGTTCGAAAAATTTAGATAGCTTTTTGAAGGAAAACCACTTTAGATTTGTCTTTCTTTGTGACTAGAGATACACCGTGTATGTATGACAGAAAGGAAGTTGTTAGGGGAAGGAGGAGATCAGACTCTGGAGAAAAAGGTGAGAGCGTGACTGGCAATTTCACCACAGGCCCACCAGGCCTATTGGACATTTCCTTCAGTCATTCCTTCCACACACAGCAGATGGGGTTGCAGGTGCTGGGGATACGTACAAAACAGTGAAGGAGACAGATGGCAGAGAAGTACACAAATGAAGTAATTCCAGATAATAAATAATAAGTTAGTACCGTTTGGAAATGAACTAGAGAAAAGTAAAGTGCAGAGCACTTCAGAGCAGCATCTGTAGTCCATGAGCATCGGTGTCCTCGTAGCACTGTCTGCAGTCCATGAGCAATGGTGTCCCATCACCACCATCTATAGTCTGAGCATTGGTGTCCCAGCGCCACTGTCTGTGGTCCATGAGCAACAGTGTCCCAGTGGTGTCATCCATCCACTTGGAGTTAGTGTCTCCATGCAAACACAATCAGCCTCCCATAGCCAGGTTGTGTCCTGAAGAGTCTGGCATGGTTATTCTCATTTTAGTCCCATTCTGTCCCTGACCACATCACAATCAGATTCCACAGATGCTGAACAATTGATTTTTAAAAAGAGATCAACTGAAGAGTTAAACTGTTTAATGGTGCATACTCCAAAATGCAAATTCTGGTAGGACTTGGTGGCTCATACCTGTAATCCTGGCACTTTGAGAGGCTGAAGCAGGAGGATTGCTTGAGCCCAGTAATTTGAGACCAGCCTGGGTAACAAAGTGAGACTCCCTGTCTCTACAAAATTTAATTTTGTTCCCAAAGGCTTCTGTGGAGGGTTGTCTAATCACATTTAAAACTAATGACTGTCTTCACGAACAATGGCAAATTAAAATAAAGTCCACTCAGTTATTATTTAACTCAGTCATTCTCAACCTAACATACATACTTACTAGAGTTATTTGGGGAGCTTTTAAGAAATACTGTTACCCAGGCCACGCCCCCAGATAGTCTCAAATAACTAATTTGGTTAGGGCTTGAAAACTTCCCAGGTGACGCTGATGCACAGCAAATGTGGAGAACAACAACAGGTGTGACTGATAATTAGCCACAACTAAATGAGATTGTTTGAGCAACTTCAACCAGTATGCCCTGCAGACCAGCAGCATCAGCACAACCTGATTACTTGTTGAAAATGCAAATTCTGGTAGGACTTGGTGGCTCATGCCTGTAATCCTGGCACTTTGGGAGGCTGAAGCAGGATCGCTTGAGCCCAGTAGTTGGAGACCAGCCTGGGTAACAAAGTGAGACTCCCTGTTTCTACAGAAAATGCAAAAATTAGTCAGGCGTGGTGGCGCACGTCTGTAGTCCCACCTACTTGGTGGGCTGAGGTGGGAGGTTTGCTTGAGCCCAGGAGTGCAAGGCTGCAGTGAGCCATGTTCATACCACTGCACTCCAGGCTGGGCAACCAAGTGAGACCCTGTCTCAAAAAAAAAAAAAAAAAGCAAATTCTTGGGCCCCCTCCCAGACCTATTACATCAGAAACTGTAAGACTACGCCCAACAATCTGTGTTTTAAGAAGGGCTGTAGGTGTTTCCAATACACACTAAGGTTTGAGGACCGCTGTCTTAAAGCACCAATTAAAGCTATTGCTGATAGCTCTTCTATTAGCCATAACATTTTCTGGATATGCAGGGTTTAAACCCTGGCATGCATCTCTCTAATTCAGGCTTATTCAGGAAGGTGTGATTGTCACAGCCCTCTCTCATATCCTAGCTAGACTCTTCCAGGTTCTTGAGACTTCAGTGATGATTTTTAAGCTATTGTATTCTGGTGATAGAGTTGGCAGCTGCTAGGCAAGCCTTTGGCATCCAACTCCTTGACCTCTAATTTTTCTCAAATTCACCGAGGACCATAGAGAACAAGACAGGGAATGATCTGGTGTGGCTCAGGGGAGGCCAGAAGTGGGCAGGGTCTAGAGAAGTGAGACACAACTTCAGCTGCGTCCTGGAGCCACAAGGAGAACTGTAAAAATTATTGAGACCTGGGTTCTACCCCTAAATATTTAGATTGATCGATATTTAGAACAGGGTCTTGCTCGATTACCCAGGCTAGAGTGCACTGGTGTGATCATAGCTCATTCAGCCTTGGACTGGACTCAAGTGATCCTCCTGCTTCGTTCTCCCTAGAAGCTGCACCCTCAGGTATTTTGATGTAACTGAGTTTGGGGTATGGTGTGGGCATCAGGTTATTGAAAGATGCCTCAGTGATTCTATGGGCAGACTAGGCTGAGAACCACTGGAAGACTTCCTGGTTTGTTTTTCTCTCCTTCTTCTAATGCTAATCAGGCTCTTCATTATATACAGGAGAATGAAAAGGAGTCAGGCTTTTGGGTGTGATTTCTTGATCATCCTGAAATTCAAACATGTCAGTTACTCCACAACGCAGGGAAGAGTTTGAGGGCTTGACATCTGACATGTTTTCTTTCATTTTACCATCTTAACTATAAAATTGTTTAAATAATTTGCACATGGAGTTCACATAATTGACAAATGAAAGAATGGGGCATCTGACTGTGGTCCAACATACTTCATGACATCCTGAGTTTAGTAGCATTCTCTTGTCATTGTTTTATTTCACATTGTATTACTAATGTGACAGTCTTTCAGTAAGTTTATAATACTTTCTTCTTCTAACTTTAAAAGCTAGAGCTTGGTTGCAGTTTTATAACATATTTTTGTGTTTATTAATTAAGCTTTAAAAAAATTTTACTTTAAATTCCAGTGTGCAGGTTTGTTACATAGGTATATGTGTGCCATGGCGGTTTGCTACACCTATCAACCCATCATATAGGTTTTAAGCCCTGCATGTATTAGGTATTTGTCCTAATGCTCTCCCTCCCCTTGTACCCCCCCGCCACGACAGGCCCCAGTGTGTGTTGTTCCCCTCCCTGTGTCCATGTATTGTCATTGTTCAACTCCCACTTATGAGTGAGAACATGTGGTGTTTGGTTTTCTGTTCCTGTGTTAGTTTGCTGCGAATGATGGCTTCCAGTTTCATCCATGTCCTTGCAAAGGGCCTGATCTCATTCTTTTTTATGGTTGCATAGTATTCCACGGTGTATATGTACCACATTTTCTTTATCCAGTCTATCATTGATGGGCATTTGGGTTGGTTCCATGTCTTTGCTATTGTAAACAGTGCACGTATGTGTTGGTTGCACATTTGTTTCACTTTCAGAAAAAGAGAAGTTAGCTAGTTTGCTTCCTGGAGAAGCAGAGTCATTTCCATTTAGTGATAATGCCCTGAGCAGGGATAATGGGGACACTGTGCTGCCCAGCTGTTGGGGCTGCCAGGCGTTACCTCAAACATTTCTTCCCATTTACAAGGATTTCCCCATACATCCTCACCAGATGTGTGAAAGATGAATCCCAGATGTGTCTGCGTGAATATTGTCAATAAGTATTTGTAAGTGACTCTGTACACTGTGCAGTTTATTATCAAGTGATCTTAAGATTTTTGGATAAACAATAAAGTGAAGTATTGCAGCTTAGTTTCATCATTCACATGACTGACCACTTCCATTATCTCTTTAAAATGCTACATTATCTGACCAGAGAGAAAGAGAACTGGTGAAACGGAGAGAGACTTCCTGGGAGAGTTTGTGTTGCGGTCACTTGAGATGACTGTGACTTGGCCACCTAACAGCAGGGGCTTCTGCCAAATCTGCAGCTTATGAGGCTACCAGCCTCGGCCCTCACACCCAGTGATCTGGGAGTTTGGTCCCATGCAGGGCATGAAGCCACGCAAGACTGACCTTCACACACCTTTCTGCTTCTAACCTGTTGTGTTCCTTATTTCTTCTTTTCTATTCTTTTGCTTGTTAATGCCTCTCTCTTTGCCCTCTAACCCTGTGTCCTATTTCTGTCTTCTGTAGCTTTGCTAGTTTTACCTCTAGCCCCACCTCTTTTACCCTGAAATATGCCCAAATTTAGATAAGGAAGTAAAGTAGCAGTAAAATGAGGAAGTTATACCAGGCAGATTAACCTTCTGGGGAACAGCAGAGAAACAGGCAAGTACAGAGATGGGGGAAAGAGAACAGGTGATGGATGAAGAAAATAACAAAGACACAAATACCTGGCCCGTGTATGGTGCTTTATGGCTCCTAAAGCATTTTAACAGTTCTTATTTCATTTACTTTCATATGAACACTATGGGCTAGACAGAGCAGAAGGCCTACTTTTTTGGCTTTTAGGAAATGGAGAATTAGAGAGGGAGGGAATTCTTCCCAGGCCCCAAGGGTGCAGAGGGCAGCAGCCAGTCTCAAGCCTAGCTCTTCTGAATTCAAATCCTGTCTTCCTTCCACGATGCTATGGTTATGTCCTTGGAGTCCTGGAGCGCAGCACAGGGAAGTACCCCTGTGTGTTCTGGAGGGTTCACCTCCAGACTTATTTCCTGAAAGAGAGTTCTGCCTTCCTCCACAGTGGCTGGACTCCCAAAGTTGTAAAAGGTCACTTTCACCCAAGAAGCCCAGGATGCCGCCCGCAGGAAATCTCCATGGACGATTATGGGCCTTAGTCAGTGTTTCTTTAAACACAGTGGTTTTAGGGGGCCCCATGTCCACTGCATTAAGAGTGGCTGTTAACCCATAGGCCATGGGAGGGACACCTGTCATGTTTTGGGGGAAATCCCTTGAGCTGCCCTCCGCATCCATACTTTTGTGGCCTTTGGCACCTCCTCTGGTTTCCACCTTGTTGGTGTACACTTCTGATTTTCTTCCTAACTCTTACCTTGTCACCTTGGCAATCCACTCCTGGCTGCTGATCTGATTCTATGGCTCATCTTTGTTTGCCAGCTCACCTTTTGATGACATTTGATTCCTCCTTGCACAAACTCTTGGAGCTGATCCCCAGTGTTTTCAACTTTCCTCCCTTTGACATCCCAGACTCCCTGCACACCTGGTTCTTCCCTTAGTTTCTGTCAATTCTCATTATGTGGAAACTGGAGTACTAGGGTTGTCTTAGAGAATTTTTCTGATCAGACCACCAAGAGTAGTTTGATGCTGTCCCCTCTTACCCTGCACCTAACACCCTCTCATGCTCTCCCCATTTTTAGATACACTGTAGAACTTGCTTGCCTGTGTGCAAACTGAAGGATGAGCAGAGAGGTTTATTGCAGTATTGTTGGAAACACAACAGAACCTAAATCTCTGTCAATAGGAAAAGATTATAATACATTCAAACAATGGGGAAAAAAGCTCTCTATACAGTCATGGAATGATCTTCAAGATAAAATTTTAAGTGAAAAAAGCAAGGGGCAGAAAGTATATAAATTGTGCTACCATTTGTGTCAAAAAGAGAAAACAGGAAACAATACTTATACTTGTATATGCATAGAGTTTCTCTCAAAGGAGCAGAAACGGTGGTTACTTCTGGGCAAGGAAACTGAGTAACTTGGGGAAAGGGTGGTAGCGAAACTTCCTTTCTGAACTGAGTACCATGTGCAGATTACCTATTCAAAAACTACTTAAAAACAAGGTAGAACACTTTGGAATCAACAGAGATGTGGAAATAGATGGGACCTTGGGGATCACTCCTTAGTTGTACAGATTAGAGCATTAAGTCATCAAGAGAAAAGTAATTTGTCCAAATTCTATAAGTACAAAGTGGCAGAGCTATGACCAGACCCTCATCTGTTATTTGTCACCTATGCTTGAGGAAATGCACCTTCAAAACTCAGTAGAAATTAACAATATAAATGACAGGATTGCACCCCAGGGCAAGGGCAAGACATTCAAGATTCAGTTTCTTCATCTGTAAAATGTGGGCAATAAAGTTGTGAAGATCGAATTAGATAGCACATGTGTATCCTAGCAGCTAGCACATACTAAGCATTCAATACATCCCAGTTACTGTAATTTATTATTTTGAAGCTATCATAGAGTTGGGGGGAGAGAGAGAGAGAGAGAGAGAGAGAGAGAGAGAGAGAGAGAGAGAGAGAGAGAGAGAAAGAGAACAATCCCTTGATTCTCATTTATTTAAATAGCCACTAGAGAATCTGAGAGAGCAAATGATGCTTAATGCAGAAAACATATGTGAGGGCATGTGGGAGGGGGACATTGCAGAGAGAACTTTCAGCCTCTTTAACTCCACCGTTCCACCAAGGGCCACCTGTGAACAGCGTTGTCTCACGCTGAAAAGTAAATGTACACAGGCCAGGACCATCTGGTATGCTTCTTTCCGTTTCTCTTTTATTCCCGATTGTCTAGATGTCCCCATTATTCTTGTTAGCTTGTTTCCTTTCCTATTTTCTCTTTTCCCGGGGCCACGGGTCAAATGGTGACTAAGATGCAAAGTGTTCTTCTAGGGACTTCATTCACCTTCCTCAGAGAGGTGCTGAAAAGACCCTGTCCTTCTGGGCAGCTTTTCTGGCAACGCATCTGAGCTGAGGAGCCTTAGCAAGAGCCCCAGTAAAGCCGAGGTTTCTGGGAACCCTTTCCTCTGTCCTGCCTTGTGCCAGAAAGCCACCTCCTAGTATAGGCGGAGGAATGGGAGCAGGAGGTTCCCTCTCATTCACCACTTTATGGCCAAACTTTATGATTTGCAAGCATTGCATTCCTCCCTGAGGGAGGGAAAACACTGTGTGGGGTTATAAGCTCTGGTTCTGCCATCGGCCCCCTGGTTTCAAATCGTCACTCCTCCATGTGAGCTCTGTGATCTTGGGCAAGTTGTGTAACCTCTTTGCCCTAATGTCTATCTGAAAAAATGGTGAGGACAAAATGAGATAATCGATAATCCGGGTACAAGGCAGAGCATAGAGATTGGTTCTTAGTAAATTCTCAAAAAAAGATGCTGAAATAGTAACAGCGGCTACAGTATTCATAGAAGTAACCAAAAGAAGTAAAGTGAGGGGGGGGCGGGGTCTGGATACTCAAGGAAGATTCACTGACCTCTAGGTAAAAGGATTATTACCATCAGCCGCACCAACCACCAACCCCATTCCCCACCCCACACCCAACCTCATCATACCCATATGTACCAGTCTTCACTGGCCAAGGTTACCAGTGAAAACGCTATTTGATCTGGCTGCAGTAGTTCTCCAAGCAGAATCATTTTAATGAGGAGGTTTTCTGGAAGACAAATGTCCTTTACTAGTCCAGGGTGATACATGATATATCAAAGGCTTTAACATATATGTGAATACATTATTGACTTACCCAATTTTAAAGACTTATACAGTAGTCCCCCCTTATCCACAGTTTCGTTTTTCGTGGTTTCAGTTACCCGTGGTTTCAGTTACCCATGGTCAACCGTGGCCACAAATAGTACAGTACAATAAGATATTTTGAGAGCCAGAGAGAGATCACATGCACATACTTTTATTATAGTATATTGTTGTAATTGTTCTATTTTATTACTAGTTATTCATTGCTTACTGTGCCTAATTATAAATTAAACTTTATCATAGGTATGTTTAGAAAAAACACAGTGTATGTGGGGTTCAGTACTACCGATAATTTCAGGCATCTTCTAGGGCCTTGAAACATGTTCCGCTTGGATAATGGGGGACTACTGTAAATGTAGGACAAAGCCACTTAACTCAGAAGGCAGAGATCAGTAAGTGGTGGATTTTTATTGACACATAATATTTTACATACTTATAGGGCACATGTGATATTTTTTGTTGCATGGATAGAATCTATAATGATTAAGTCAGTGTATTTGGGGTATCCATCACTTTAAGTATTTATCATTTCTATGTGCTGAGGACATTTCAAGTCCTGTCTTCTAGCTACTTTGAAATATAAAATATATTATTGTTAACTACAGTCGTCCTACTCTACTATTGGACATTATAATTTATACTGTCTAACTGTATGTTTCTACCCATTAACCAACCTCTCTTCTTCCCCTACTCTTACCCACACACCCTTCCCAGCCTCTGATATTTATAATTATACTCTCTACCTTTGTAAGATCAACTTTTTTAGCTCCCACATATGAGCAAGAACATAAGATATTTGTCTTTCTGTGCCTGTCTTATTTTACTTAAAATAATGACCTCCAGCTTTATCTATGTTGCAGCATAAGACATGATTTCATTCTTTTTTATGACTGAATAGTATTCCATTGTGTATATATACCACATTTTATTTATCCATTCAACCATTGATAGATACGTCGGTTGATTTCATATCTTGGCTATTGTGAATAGTGCTGCAATGAACACGCGAGTGCAATTATTCCTTTGATATACTGATTTATTTTCCTTTGGATAAATACCCAGTAGTGAGATTGAGGATTGTATGGTAGTTCTCTTGTTAGTTTTTTGAGAAATTGCCCTACTGTTTTCCATAGTGGCTGTACTAATTTACATTCCCACCAACAGTGTGTAAGAGTTCCCTTATCTCTGCATTCTTGCCAGAGATGAGGCAAGAATGCTTTTTCCTTTTCAACAATAACCTTTTTTTTTTTTCTTTTGAGATGGAATCTTGCTCTGTCACCCAGGCTGGAGTGCAATGGTGTGATCTCAGTTCACTGCAACCTCCAACTCCTGGGTTGAAGTGATCCTCCTGCCTCAGCCTCCCAAGTAGCTGGAACTACAGAAGTGTGCCACCATGCCCAGCTAGTTTTTGTATTTTTAGTAAAGCTAAAAATTTTGTATTTTTAGCTGGCCAGGCTGGTCTCAAACTCCTGACCTCAGGTGATCCTCCTATCTTGACCTCCAAAAATGCTGAGATTATAGGCATTAGCCACTGTGCCCAAAAATAACCATTCAATGAAATGATATTTCATTGTAGTGTTGTTTGTTTTTTGTTTGTTTTTAGTCTCTATTTCATTTAGTTCTGCTCTGATCTTTATTATTTCTTTCCTTCTACTAATTTTGGGTTTGATTTGCTCTTGCTTTTCTAGTTCCTTGAGATGCATCACTAGATTGTCTGTTTAAAATCTTTCTACTTCTTTGATGTAGGTATTTGTTACTATAAACTTCCCTCTTAGCACTGCTTTTGCTGTATCCCATAGGTTTTAGCATGGTGTGTTTCCATTTTTATTTGTTTCAAGCCTTTTTTAAAAAATTTCCTCCTTAATTTCTTTCTTGACTCAATGGTCATTCAGGAGCATGTTATTTAATTTCCATGTATTTGTACAGTCTCCAAAGTTCTTCTTATTATTGACTTGTAGTTTTATTCTGTTGTGGTCTGAGAAGATATTTGATATGATTTCAATTTTTAAAAATGTGTTGAGCTTGTTTTGTGTTCTAACATTGTTTTCATGATGATAAATATTGTTCTTTTGCTTCTCAGTGGACTCCCTTAAGCATTTCTTTTAGGGCCAGTCTAGTGGTAACGAATTCCCTCAGCTTTTGCATGTCTGGGAAAGACTTTGTTTTTCCTTTGTTTTTGAAGGATAACTTTGCTGGGTATAGAATCCTTGGTTGACAGGGTTTTTGTTGTCATTGTTTTGTTTTCTTTCAGCCCTTTGACTTTATTACCCTGTTGTCTCCTGGCCTGTAAGATTTCTGCTGAGAAATTAACTGTTAGTCTGATAGGGGTTCCTTTATAGGTGACTACATGCGTTTCTCTTGCTGATTTTAGATTATTTCTTTGTCTTTGATGTTTGACAGTTTGACTATAATGTGCTGTGGAGAAGTCCTTTGTTGAATTATATCTATTTGGAGAATTCTGAGCTTCCTGTATCTGGATGTCTAAATCTCTTGCGAAACTTGGGAAGTTTTCATCTATTGTTTCATTAAACAGGTCTTCTTTTTCTTTTTCTTTTTAGGCAGGATCTGGCTCTGTTGCTGAGGCTAAAGTACAGTGGCACAATCTCAGCTCACTGCAACCTCTGCCTCCAGGGCTCAGATGGTCCTCCTGCCTAAGCCTCCTGAGTAGCTGGGTTTTCAGGAGCATGCCACCACACCCAGCTAATTTTTGTATTTTTAGTAGAGATGGAGTTTTGCCATGTTGCCCAGTCTGGCCTTGAACTCATGAGCTCAAGCAATCTGCCCTCCTTGTCCTCCCAAAGTGCTGGGATTACAGGCATGAGCCACTGCATCTGGCCTTGTTTCATTAAAAAGGTTTTCTAACACTCATTTTCTCTTTGCCTTCTTGCTTTATGGTATCTCGTATGTCACACAGGCTTTTCTCATTCTTTTTTCTTTATTTTTATCTGACTAGGTTATTTCAAAAGACCTGTCTTCAAATTCTGAGATTCTTCCTTCTGCTTGATTTAGTCTATTGTTGAAGCTTTCAAGTGTATTTGATTTTATTTTATGAATTCTTCAGGTCCAGAATTTGTTTGGTTCTTTTTTATTATCTCTATCTCTTTGGTGAATTTCTCTCATTCATACCCTGAATTGTTTTCTAATTTTGGGTATTGTTTTTCTGTATCCTCTCATGGCTGGAGTGCAATGGCATGATCTTGGCTCACCGCAACCTCCACCTCCCAGGTTCAAACGATTCTCCTGCCTCAGCCTCCTGAGTAACTGGGATTACAGGCATGCACCACCATGCCCGGCTAATTTTGTATTTTTCGTAGAGATGGGGTTTCTCCATGTTGGTCAGGCTGGTCTTGAACTCCCGACCTCAGGTGATCCACCTGCCTCAGCCTCCCAAAATGCTGGGATTACAGGCATGAGCCACTGCGCCCGGCCTCTGAATTTACTTTCATAGGGGAGGAAAAAGTTCTCCCCTATGAAAGTAAGGTGTTTCTTTGGTGTTGGTTAGGTAGAGTGCTTTGGCTTTGATTCTGGGTATGTACATTAGTGTAGTCTCCATATGATTTATTCTGCTGGAACCAGTGCCAGTAGTATCTGTGGCTTCCCCAGCAGCTTAGGATGTGGTTGTTAGTGGAGGCTGTGGTGAAGTATTGCTGGGGACTAGGATACCAGGTGGGCCAGTCTTCAGGCCCCAGTGGTGACAGGGGTGGGTTGAGCATATCTGTCCTTGGATCCCAAGGCAGTATACACTGGCACTGGTGTTAGTGTGTCCAGGCAGGCTGGTTTTTGGGCTTCCAGGTGTCTTGCTTGGGTGCTAGAAATGGTAGTGGTTAGCCAGGCAGGTAGGCAGATTGACGTGGGTGTTGGCAGTATCAGTGGTAGGACAACACGCTGGGTCCCAAGTACCCATGCTAGTGTTGGCAGTGGTTGCAATGGACTGGGCAGGCCAGTCCCCAGGCCTGTAGCTGGTACATGAGGGTGGATGCCAACTATGATGGTGGCAGCAGAGTGGGTAGTCCCAACCTCAGGCATCTGGGAGGAATGCTGTGGTGCCAGTGGTGATGGACTAGACTGGGCTGGGCAATCACCAGGCCCCAAATGGCACACTCAAGTACTGCACTGGGAGAGAGCTGGCCTGTGCAGACCTGTTCTTTGACTCTCTGGTGGGGCATGCAGTAGCTGGCTGTAATAGGTAGGGGTGAAGCAATCCCCAGGCTGCTGATAGAAAGCTCAGGTGAAGGCAGCAGTGACTACACTGCTGCCTGCTACTGCAGAGGATGGGATTGCTTTCAGTGGGAGCAACCATAGGCAGCCAGCTGGGGCTATGCTTTGCTCATGCTTTGGCCCTAGCAGCAGCAGTTTATAGCAGCAATAGCTGAGGACAGTGGAGTTTGTCCTTGAGGCACATAAACATGTGTGAGCGCCCCGCTGCTGGCCAGGGGTGGGGGGAGGGGTGCTGCCAGCGGCTCCTACCTTGGCCCTGGCAGCAGCAGCCAGCAGCGCTGGTGGCTGCAGGCAGGAGCTCCAGAGACATGGAGATTCAGGGGCTGTTGGGCCCTAGGGCAGGATACAGTCTGGTGGGGGCTGGGCCCTCAAAGTGGCACTGTGCTGCAGCCACTAGGGCTCAGGGGTGTGTGGGACTCCGCATAAGGTCCCTCTCTGGAGCAATGCCATTGCACAGTGTACAGGCGCTCTCAGTGTTAGTCTCAGGGCCTGTGAGAGTTGAGGGGCTCTCCCGTGGCTAGGCTGCAGGAGTCTGCAGTGGAAATATGGACCACTACCCTTTCCCCACATTGGGGAGCTTCTCCTGGCTCCCAGCCAGTCTCAGCCAAGAAGGATGCCTTATTTCCCTCTCCTTCCGTGCTTTAAGTGTTGTCTATTACTACTCTGTTGAATTCCTGTGTTCTCCCTTAAATGATCAATTCAAAATGTAGCTTATCTACTCAGTATTTTTGTTATTTTTTGTGAAGAGGTGACTGCCAGATGCATCTAGTCAGCCATTTTGAAGCCCCTCCACTCTTCAAACATTGGTAGTTTTTTTTTTCAATCCTGCCTTTGGCATATACACATGAGAAACACCAGTGAGTTTACTCTGTAGTTTGTAATTGATTCTGATGGTTTGGGGTTGCATTTACTAAAGGGATTATCAAATGAATTCCCTGATGTGGGAGACTGAAAGTATTTATTCATACAATCAACACAATTAGATTCTTACTGTCTTAGCTCAGATACCATAACAAAATACCACAGACTGCAAGACTTAAAACAACAGACATTTATTTCTCACAGTTCTGGAGGCTGGGAAGTTCAAGATCAAAGGTGCTAGAAGATTTAGTATTTGGTGAGAACTCTCTCCCTGGCCTGCAGTCACCACCTTTCCGTATCCACATATGGCAAGGAAAGAGAACTCTGGTTTTCTTATCTTCTCATAGGAGCAATAATCCTGTCATAGGGTCCCCACTCTCATGACCTCATCTAAACCTAATGACCTCTCAAAGGCCTCACCTCTTAGCCCTAATCCATCACATTGAGGATTAGGGCTTCAATATATGAATTTGAGGGGAATGCAAACATTCAATTCATAGCAGTGACCAAACATTTTTATTGTTTCAACCAAAATCAGAGGACTCCATTGTCATGGGATTATGAAGATAGATGAACTATTGAATTGGCTCTGCAATGTCCAGTTTGATCATTCTGTAAAGTAATTGCCTAACCTATACCGCAGAGTGTGGTTTAAAGCAGCTGACTTCTGTATTTGCATAGTTCCTTTCACCTTAGAATAACTTTCTTGTAAATTATCTCATTTGATAAGTTTTCTGTAGCATCAACTTACGAGGTATTTTCCTCAGTTGGCCCCTTCTGAAAGGTAGACAACATTATACGATATTAGGACAAAGACCTTCAGCTTATCTTACCATGACTACTGCTTAGACAGGTAAGGAAAAGTTTTTCAGATAGTCATCAAGTCAGTAGTCCTTTCTCATCCTGATGGTTTTTATTTTCCTTTTCTTTTTTCTTTTTCTTTTTTTTTTGAGATGGAGTGTCGCTCTTGTTGCCTAGGCTGAAGTGCAATGGCGCGATCTTGGCTGACTGCAACCTCTGCTTCCTGGGTTCAAGCAATTCTCTTGCCTCAGCCTCCCAAGTAGCTGGGATTATAGGCATGCACCACCACGCCCAGCTAATTTTTGTATTTTTAGTAAAGACAGGGTTTCACCATGTTGGTCAGGCTGGTCTCGAACTCCTGACCTCAGGTGATCTGCCCACCTCAGCCTCCCATAGTGCTGGGATTACAGGCGTGAACCACCATGCCCGGCACAGTCAATTCATTTTCAAAGAATTATTTTCCATTGATAGGTAACCTTTTATTTAAATATTAGGACACAGACAGGCGCAGTGGCTCACACCTGCAATTCTAGCACTTTGGTAGGCTGAGGCGGGTGGATCACTTGAGGCATGGAGTTCGAGACCAGCCTGGCCAACATGGTGAAACCCTGTCTCTACTAAAAATACAAAAATTAGCTGGGTATGGTGGCACATGCCTGTAATCCCAGCTACTCTGGAGGCTGAGGCACGAGAATTGCTTGAACCCAGGAGGTGGAGGTTGCAGTGAGCTGAGATCATGCCACTACGCTCCAGCCTGGGCAATGGAGCAAGACTCTGCCTCAAAAAAAAAAAAAAAAATTAGGACACAGAGTGCATTTCTTTACATCTAAAAGTGCTGTATGGCATGTACTTAATTTTAGTAAATGTGAATTTAAATTTATTCAGACATTTTGTTAAAATATTATCATACCCTATAGGAGATGTCCTGTAATATCACATTACTTGGCTTGGAAAATCACCCTTAACATGAGGAAGCTTCCGAATCCACTTTGCTTAAGCGTATCTAAAATGTCTGGTCAATGCAAAACTGCCTACCTTTGTGCAAGGTTTTTCTCTGAGCTCTGATTCCATATTCAATACACTCCCAGCTTGAGCTTCATTTATGTTAAATCAATGTTCTGTGTCACACTTAGCTTGGAGGCCAAGTATAGTGGGTCAAATTTATCACAGAATGTATCTAGGAATAATTTAAAAATCATTGACAATATAACATACTAACTTTGTCTCCATGGAAATTTCAATTTTGTATCTATTCCCACAGGTAATTATGAGGAATTAGAAAACTCAGGAGATACAACTGTGGAATCTGAAAGACCAAATAAAGTGACTATTCCAAGCACATTTGCTGCAGTGACCATCAAAGAAACATTAAATGCAAATATAAATTCTACCAACTTTGCTCCGGATGAAAATCAGTTAGAGTTTATACTGATGGTGTTAATCCCATTGATTTTATTGGTCCTCTTACTTTTATCCGTGGTATTCCTTGCAACATACTATAAAAGAAAAAGAACTAAACAAGGTAAATATTTGGTGTATTTCCATTTCCAGAAAATTGCTTCATGTGTTAGTGAACAATCAATAAAACAAAATATTCTTTGCTTTGATACAGAACCTTCTAGCCAAGGATCTCAGAGTGCTTTACAGACATGTGAGTATTATCCTAAAACCTGCCTACAGGTGGGGGTGGGATTGGAGAAGGAGCAGAGATGTTTTAAAATTAAGCAACAAGGACTACATATAATAGTAAGTGATAAATAATACATTTCAATGAAATTTTCCAGAAGTGAATATATGCATATTCCTTTCTTTAAAAAAAAAAAAAGTTTAATTGAATTTCAAAATACAGGCACGCCTTGTTTGGTTGCACTTTGCTTTATTGCACTTTACAGGTATTGCTTTTTTTTTTTTTTTTAACAAATTGAAGTTTTATGGCAACCATTGCCTCAAACCAGTCTATTGGTATCATTTTTTCAACAGCACATGTTTACTTTGTGTCTCTGCATTACATTTTGATAATTCTCACAATATTTCAAATGTTTTCAATACTACTATGCCTGTTATGGTGATCTGTGATCAGTTATCTTTGATATTACTGTTGTAATTGTTTTGGAGTGCCTGAAACCATGCTCACAGAAGACAGTGAACTTAATTGATAAACATTGTGTGTGTTCTGACTGCTTCACCAACAAGCCATTCCCTGTCTCTCTCCCTGTCTTCAGGCCTCTCTATTCCCTGATACAGAACAATATTGAAATTAGGCCAATTCATAACCCTACAATGGCATGTAAGTGTTCAAATGGAAGAAGAGTCACATATCTCTCATTTTAAGTGAAAAGCTAGAAATGATTAAGCCTTGTGAGGAAGGCAAGTTGAAAGCTGAGATAGGCTGAAAACCAGGCCTCTTGTGCCAAACATTTAGCCAAGTTGTAAATGCAAAGAAAAAGTTCTTGAAGGAAACTAAAAGTGCTACTCAGTGAACATACAATGATAGGAAAGCAAAGCAGTATTATTGTTGATATAGAGAAAGTTTCAGTGGTCTGGGTAGAAGATCAAACCAGTCACAGCATTCTCTTAAGCCTAAGCCTAATCCAGAGCAAGGCCTTAATTCTCCTTAATTCTACAAAGGCTGAGAGAGGTGAGGAAGCTGCAGAAGAAAAATTGGAAGCTAGCAGAGGGTGTTTCATGAGGTTTAAGGGAAAAAGCCATTTCTATAACATAACAGTGCAAGATGAAGCAGCAAGGACTGATGTAGGAGCTGCAGCAAGTTATCTAGAAGACCTAGTTCAAATCGTTGATGAAGGTGGCTACACTCAACCATAGATTTTCCATGTAGATGAAACAGTCCTCTGTTGGAAGAAGATGCCATCTGACTGGGCATGGTGGCTCACGCCTGTAATCTCAGCACTATGGGAAGCTGAGGCAGATCATTTGAGGTCAGGAGTTTGAGACCAGCCTGGCTAACATGGTGAAACCCTGTCCCTACTTAAAAAAAAAAAAAAAATGCCATCTAGGACTATTAATAGCTAGAGAGGAGAAATCACTGCCTGGCTTCAAAGCTTCAAAAGATATGCTGACTCTCCTGTTAGAAGCTAATGTAGTTGGTGACTTAAAGTCAATTCTTGTTTACCATTCTGAAAATCTGACAGCTCTTAAGAATTATGCTAAATCTACTCTGCCTGTGCTCTGTAAGTGGAACAACCAAGCCTGGATGTTAGCACATTTGTTTATAGCATGGTTTACTGAATAATTTAAGTCCACTGTTAAGGTCTACTGCTCAAAATACAAGATTCCACTAAAAATATTACTGCTCATTGACAATGCACCTGGTCACCCAAGAGGCCTGGTGGAGATGTACAAGGAGACTAACGTTTTCATGCCTGCTGATACAATATCCATTCTGCAGCCCATGGATTAAGGAGTCATTTTGAATTTCAAGTCTTATTGTTTAAGACATACATTTTGTAAGGCCATAGCTGCCATAGATGGTGAGTCCTCTGATAAATCTGGGAAGGAATCTTCTGGGAAGAATTCACCATTCTAGATGCCATTAAGAACATTTCCGATTCATAGGAGGAGATCAAAATATCAACATCAACAGTATTTTGGAAGACGTTGATTCCAAGACCCATGAATGACTTTGAGGGGTTCAAGACTTGAGTGGAGGGGTCACTGCAGATGTGGTAGAAAGAACAAGAGAACTAGGATAAGAAGTGAAGCCTGAAGATGCCATGGAATTGCTGCAATCTCATGATAAAACGTTAAGTGGCTGAGAAATTGCTTCTTCTGAATGAACAAAGAGTTTTGTTTTTTTTTTTGAGATGGAATCTACTCCTAGTGAAGATGCCATGAACATTGTTGAAATGACAACAGAGGATTTAGAATATTCCATAAACATAGTTGGTAGAGCAGCGGCAGGTTTTGTGAGAATCGTCTCCAATTGTGAAAGAATTCTATTGCAGATAAAATGCTATCAAACAAAGCATTGTATGCTACAGAGAAATCTTTGTGAAAGAGAGTCAATCAATGTGACACATTTCATTGTGATCTTACTTTAAGACATTGCCACAGCCTTCCCAACCATCAGCAACCACCACCCTGATCAGTCAGCAACCATCAACATCAAGGCAAGACCCTCCGCCAGAAAAATAATTACAACTTGCGGAAGGCTCAGATGATCGTTAGCATTTTCTAGCAATGAAGTATTTTAAATTAAGGTATATACATTGTCTCTGTAGACACAATGTTGCACACTTAATAGGTTACATTGTAGGAAAAACATAACTTTTTATGCATTTGGAAACTAAAAAATTAATGTGACTTGCTTTATTGCAATACTCACTTTATTGCAGTGGTCTGGACCTGAACCTGCATATTTCTGGGGGATGCTTTTCTACTGCTGCCATCTTTGACCCTAATCCAGATGAGGATCCTGTATAATTTTAGCCAATAAGCCAGTATAACATTTCCCATCACTGGGGAAAGAGAAAGGCTGATCAAGGAGTGAGTCAGATTAGGGTTAGGGATGGGAAGGCTAGAGGCCTTGGGGTCATCACCACCAGAAGAGCATTCTTTCATCTATATTTCTGTTACAGATTTTATTTTCTCCCCCACCCCACATCCCAATTTGATCTTGAAAAGTCCTGGAGGAAGCATTGTTCTTATTCCCATTGAAGCTATGCTAACTTTTATAATCAAATTCTTCAACTGTCTAAAGATTACTAACATCAATCCGAAAACCAATTATAGAAAATTCCCTCAGTCAGAGACCCACTTTGAGAGTATTCAGTTGTGATTCAAGGAGCATCACGTGCTAGGAGTCAGGGTAGTTCTAGGTCTAAAGCAGACTTGGGTACTTTTGGCTTGTGCCAGTAAAACTCGCTCGGATTCGATTTTTAAGTTAAAGCCTTTATAGTCTTTCCAAAAAGTTACTCAAAGGATAGGAACGTCTCTAATACAATACATAGTCATACATGTATACAAAACTCACTTTATGTCCCTCACACCCATGACAGGGCACCTCTGGCTTTGGGGCCATGCCCTTGTCCCACATGCCCACCTCACTGTCTCTGTGCCAGAGGAATCTTTCACAGTCAGCAGATGAGGCAAATGTGAGCTGGGGAAGAAGCCCCGAAGAGTATTTCCTTTCATGGCAGAGGCCCATATAATAGATTCCAAAGAAGTGGGAAATACATGTTTCTCCACTGCTTGAAATTTCAGGACTTCCTAATAACATGGTCATATGGAGGCTTCTTTCTAAGCTTAAGAAAAAAAAGCAAACAGAGCTTTTTAAATTTTTTAAAATTCAGGAAAAGTCATAATTTCCTTCCCCAAACCATGACTGGTTTTACCTAATGGACTCAAGGGGTGGGGGGATGTTGGAGGTATCCACTCACATGGTGAGGCTCTTAGGCTCCAAATCCAGAAATTGATTTTTCATTGAATTTCATTGTGAAAGTCTCAAGGTTCAAAAGCCATTTACAAGCGAGAGCCAGCCTCAAC
Source organism: Homo sapiens (assembly GCF_000001405.40). Lineage (NCBI taxonomy): Eukaryota > Metazoa > Chordata > Mammalia > Primates > Hominidae > Homo > Homo sapiens. The sequence continues at coordinate 152,648,686 of NC_000004.12, read as the reverse complement.
CTCAGACATGGTCCATGCATCCTCCACTCTAACAACACTTGAAGTATTTGCTATTCCCAGAACTTGACTTGACTTTCAGGATGCCTCCATGCCTGGTTGATACCATTTCTTCTGTCTGGAATTTTCTTCCTGTCTGCTTGGCAAACTGCCATCCCTTTTTCCAGGGCCCAGGTCTGTTTTTGTTTTGTTTAAGAGACAGGGCCTTGCTCTGTTACCCCGGCTGGAATGCGGTGGCACAATCATAGCTCACTGCAGCCTCAAACTCCTGGGCTCAAGTGATCCTCCCACCTCAGCCTACAGAGTAGCTGGTACCACAGGCCTGTGCCACCATGCCTGAGTAGTTTTTGACATTTTTAAAAAACGTTTTGTAGAGATGGAGTCTTGCTATGTTGCTCAGGCAAGTCTCAAACTCCTAGGCTCAAGTGATCCTCCCACCTCAGCCTCCCAAAGCACTGGGATTACAGGTGTGAGCCACCACGCCCCCCTGCTAGGGCCCAGTTTTTAGGAAGCCTTGAATAATCCTCCCCTAGGAAAAATTAATTACCATCTCTTCTGTGCTCTCAGAATACTTTGTTCACACTCTTTGTTCACAGTATTCACATTGTCATAAGTTGGTGACTTGTTTCCCTTCCTTCCTTCCTTCTCTTTTTTCTTCTTTTCTTTCTGGGTGATGTGGTCGTTAAGGTCCAGGAGAACCAAGAGCTAGTCTTATTTGTCTTGTGTGACAGTGTGGCATTGAGGTTGAGAGTCCAGACTCAAACCACACACACTGCTTGGTTGGCTTGCACTTCCTGGCACCGTGACTCTCTGATTAAGTTTCTTCATCTGTAAAATGGGCAAATTCAATACCCACCTCATAGAGTTGTGAGAATTAAATGGTTTATATAGGCAAATCACTTAGAAAAAATCAGTACCTGGCATAAGTGCTAAGTGCTAGCTTATTATCATCCCTTTACCTAACTCAACGCCTAGCCCAACACACACTAGCTGCTTGTATATGTTTGTTGAATAAGTGACTTAATTAAAGAACATTAGAATGTTTATTAAAGAACATCTACGCTCAGAGGGAAAGTCAAATTTGTACATTATCCTTACTAAAAATTGGTACATTATTTTTACCTTAAATATGCCTAACTTTAAAAAAAACAACAGAGAAAACTTAGCATTTCAAAACAATTGGCTTATCACAAAAGTTTTTGATGGAGAGTTTTATTTGAATTTTTTTCTCTTATCAGCCAATGCTTTAACACAGACGTGATCACTAACTGCTTAACAGATGGACAACTTTTCAGAAAAACTGAATGCTAAAAGTTAATAAAAGCAGAATATTTACATGAGCAAAATTTGATTTTTTTTCAGGTAAAATACAACTATCATGGAAGGTCATACCAGCGTTTTGCTTGGAAAGCTCCCACAGAAATGCTTTATAGGAGAGCATGGACACCTGCACACTATGTCCCCTGGGAAGTTAGAAGCAGACATACTGTTTCTTACTGCACTTGGGTAGAGCCTGGTCTGTTATACTATACTAGGAAATAAGTCTTTAAATTTGACAATGGGAGAGGACTTGGCCAAAACTTTTAGAACACTTCATCTGATTGGAAATTACTTTTTCCTTTGGGCTTGTCCATTTCATGTTCAGGGAAAGGGAAACATGATGTAGTAACGTGATGTTCTGCTCTCATTCTTCCTAGACCTCCTGGTATGAAATTTGCAGTGTCTTGATGTGTGAGGTCTCTCTGAAAGAGCTGCAGGGAAAACAGCGGGCGATAAACTACCCCTTTAAACAGGCTGTGGCTACATGATGCCTGGCTTACTCAGTAAATCTTCTGGAAAGAGACTCTTTCTCTTGCTCACTGCTCAGCGTGGAAACAAGAAAAGGAAGCCAGAGGCTCCTGTAGCTCCTGCCCTCCCCTAGCCTCCACCAGACAACCCCACTATCGAATGCACAGAGGAGAGGATCTGAGAGGAGAGTACTGTCAGGCTAAGTGGGGGGGAAGTAGGAACTGAAGGAGGAGGACAAAGTGGGTTGGAGGAGATGAAATGGAAGGATTGTTGGAGGGAAAATGGAATAGGGGTTTGAGATGGAGCTTTGTAAGAGCTGCATTTGCCTCCTGGTTGCAAAGGGAATAGGTGGCTATTCATAAATATATATAGGCCAGGTGGAGTGGAGCGGGCAGGGCCTGATTGCTGAGGACAAGTAATTGGTCTTCCTCCTGGTTTAATGCTCTGCTCTTTGTGTGCCCTCCCAGATGTTTTTCTGTTGCCATGGTGGCTGGAGCAGAGGTAATAGCCATGGAGCAGGGAAGATGAGGCCGTAGAAAGCTTTTTGCTCTGTTTTCAAACTGATTACAGGAGCTTCACATTTGGTGCATCTGGAGCACTTTTGTGATGGCTTTTAAAAGTTTTCCTTCATCTGCTTGCAGGCTAGCTTTTGCTCACCCTGAAGCCTGTGGGGAACCCGGATTATAAAGATATATCCATGCCCACAACGGTGGGGCCATGCAGCCACTTGCTGTCTGGGAAAATAGTCAGGGGTTTATTCAGCAGGGGAAAAGGGAGAGGGAGGAGGAGGGAGTGACAAAACAGGAGGAGCTTTACGGGTCACCTGCAGGGATGTTCAATTGTGTAGGAGCTTTATTTATATTAAAATTCCTTAAGGAAATAGCCTTTATATTTTAGATAGAAAGTGTGGGTTTGTGGTGTCTGTGTGTGTGTGTGTGTGTGTGTGTGTGTGTGTGTGTGTGTGTGTATTCTCCTTTCCCCCATCTAAGTTTCTGAGGAGTCAGGCATCTGCAGGAAGCTTTAGATGCCTACTGGAGGGCAGGAGGACATAGCCTGCAGCTCCTGGAAGGCAAGCGGTGATGGCATGAAACTTACATCTGTGCCCAGCTTTCCTGGATTAGCAATGCCATTCAAGCTTGCCAACCCACAGGAAATTACAGCAGCTCACTGCTGCCAGGAACTCAGTTCCAGGTGTCTGCTGGTTGTGTTCCTTCACTGAGGACCTCCATTTCTCCAGGACAGACAATAGGAGGCCTTTAAGTGCCAAGGATCAGAAACCTCTGACTATTTGGTGGGCCCCTACAAAGTGGTTTGCTTTTCAATAGGTTTCACATGATGAATGGTGCAGCAGGCCTATGCTATCCACTCAACATCATTGCCTCATTTCTCTGGATGTGTTGGTTCTCCTGCCAAATGAAACAGGGCTTCAGCTGGGACATCAGGCTCCAATTCTCACCACTTGTTCATTTGGAGTCTGATGTGCATTACAGCCATTTTGTAAACAGTTACCTGACTCTCACCTCAACCAACAGGAACTAAAAACAGGCTTGTTGGAAGTTTCACTATGCTAAGTCTGAAATATTGGACATGAATTGAACCCCAGTGCTGGACAATTGAGGTTAACACCTAATCATTTATTCCACTGATATTGACTAGGCATTTACAAGGTACTGTGGTAGCTGGCTCAGAGCTGAGGGGATACCACGATAAATAAGACAGACACGATCCCTGCCCCTTTGTACTTTGTCTAGTGAGAGAGACAGACAGAAAAAAAAAAATCAAACAGACGGGTTGACCAATGAGAAATTGTGGCCAATATTATGAAAGATGCAAGCAAGGTGCTGAGCTGGGGAGCAACAGGAAAGATGGGCCCTTCTTTAAATAGAGTAGGTGGGGAAGGCCTCCCCGAGGAAAGAGTATTTAAGCTGGGACCCTGAAGTTGTGAGGGATCCAGCCATGCCAAGAGCAGGGGTAAAAGGAAAATTCCAAGGGGAGCCCTTGATGGAAGATCCCACATCCTCCACCAGGAGTGAGGCACAGTGTCACAGTGTTCAGCATGGTGTATCACAGGAGATGAAGCAGCAGCCTTTAGATCTGGGACATTTTACTGAAGGAGGCCAAGGAGCAAGCCCTCTTGTTTCACCCTCCCTTGCCTTTCCTTACCAATGTTTTCCTCTTCTTGTGGATGTAAAAAATAAAGACGGATGAACATCTGGTCTGAAGTGAGCGTTCTCAGCAGACCATCCACATCTAAAAGAAAGCAGATTTCACACGGATTAGGACCTCGTTTTAATATGGCAATCCACACTTCTTTGACTCTAAGTTAATGATCGCTCCTTTAAAAATGTTACTTAATGTCATTTTGCTCTCTTTGTAAAGGAGACTTCAGCTGTTGTTGAAATTAAAAGTTGTTACAGAAGAACAAAGCTAACATGACCTTTATGTTCATTTCCTTTTAGATGAACTGGGAAGTGAAAACGTGAAAGTGTAAGTTTTCCCTGCTGCTTCTGATCCACCTGGGGTGTGAACAGCAACTGTTAAGGTGGACAGCTGCCTTTTCAGGTGTTTTTGTTCTGACATCTTGCGGGACTCTCCTGCTTCCCAGGCGGGGTTGGAGATCCTTGGCAGCCTGAGGGAGGATGTGCTGGCATCCCCAAACCCTATCCAGCGTGTGAGTGTGATCTGGGCAAAGACAGCTTGGCATCTGTTTTATTTCATTGTCCTACATTCAGAAAAGAATCCTGACTGCTACCAATTTCAAGTGCATAGCAGTTAAATATTCTATCCCTAGCTGTATTTCAAGGACATTGGTTCATTTACTCTGATTAGAAATTTTATCACCAGGAAAGATACTTGAGCTGGTATTTAGCAGGGAGCCCTGGTCGAAGCAGAAGTTCACACAGCAAGAACCCCCAGGGATGGGAGAGAGAGAGGAGGAGAAGGGAAGAGTGGGAGGAGCAGGAGGAAGGGAGAGGAGGGAGGGAAGGAGGGGTGGGAGAGAGAAAAACAAGCCTCCACTCAGAAGCATGTTCTGGGGTGATGCCATATCCTCCCCATCTTCCAAGCAGCCTCCTGGTTTAGAAACTTTATCGCTTCCTCTACGCAGTGTACCGCCTACGCTGCTTTCAGAGCTGGTGGTCCATCCTTCCCCAACCCCATCTCCACTAACCACGGACTCTGTCCCCTGACTGTGCACTTTGAGCTTCTGCAAGTGAGGGCGGTGAATTTCTGAAAGCAACTGCTCCATTTCTCCAAGAGAGAAAGGCCTGGGAATTGAAGGGACAGGTGATAACTGTAGCCTGTTGACAGTGGCCTCTTGACCTGGGGCACTGATCAAAAAACCCCAAGGAACAGGAAGTGAAATTAAGCAAGGCTAAAATGCTTCATATGGCAACTCCCCGGAAGGGCCTCACCCTGGGAGCCTTGCAGACTTGACTTTGCACCTTCAGGGGAGCAGTCAGCCTCCTGGGTTCCCTTTTTTGTCCACTTGTTGGGCCTGTGGGCACCCCACTTTTGGACCTGTGATAAATGTATGTTTGTTTGTGTGGTAGCCTTTCTTCCTATTAAAGTTTGGTAGTTTGGAATAGGGCAAGCCCCCAGGCTTCCCTAGAGCATAAGGCACTGAATCAAGTTCATCTTCCTCAGGATCAGCATTCTAGTCTCTTTCCAAATGAAATTAGGCATCTTTCACATTTCTTTCTAACAAGTCTTTTGCTCTCTATTTCTAGCCCTATTTTTGAGGAAGATACACCCTCTGTTATGGAAATTGAAATGGAAGAGCTTGATAAATGGATGAACAGCATGAATAGAAATGGTATGTGGTAACCTAAAGTTGTTTTTTTTCTTTCCTCTCTAGTAACAGAAGGCTGCAACAGCTTTATAAATATCTCAATAAATCCTGGAGTGAGACAGAAGAACCCAATCCCACATTAGATCTGGTACATGCAGATAATAAACCTGGTCTGACAATACTTAAATATTCAGCTTAATTGTTGCCACTTGTTTTTATTTCTGTACAAGTTGTTGAAATGGTCTTTTTGAAGCAGAAAATGGTATTTTATTCAAGAAAGGAAATCTCTGAGGCCAAATGATCTGGAAAAAGTTAGCATCTGGCATTACCTTATACATTACAGAATTTAAAGATCTACAATTTTAAACTGACTATGGATATAAAACTTTATCAAATGTAGTATCCATAGATCTGTGCTGTTCAACGTAATAGATAATCACCAAATGTGGCTATTTAAATTTAAATTAATTAAAATTAAAATTAAAAAATATTGAGTGTTTAGTAGCCAATGGCTACTAAGTGGACAGTGTAATGTAGAATATTTCTATCACTTTAGAATGCTCTATTGGACATTGCTCATGTAGATGGTGATATACATACCCCATATAACAATTTCCAATTGATATCTGGCAGTAATGGAAGTATATGTTCCTTACTTTTTAGTAAATCAATAATGGGACTTTAAAATGATGACAGCTGCTTTTTCTTTTTCAAATTCCCTTTAAAAATTAATTATTTTTACTACTTAGATTAAATGAATAAAACCCAGCATTATCATGTCATTTGTATTTTTTACCATTTATCTTAAAAAAATACCCTAGGGTCTGTCAAATTCAACACTCTACAGTAGAGTTAGAAAATTCAGAGACTGGTTATAAGAACTATTACTACCAGGCCAGGCACGGTGGCTCACGCCTATAATCCCAGCACTTTTGGAGGCCGAGGCGGGTGGATAACCTGAGGTCAGGAGTTCGAAACCAGCCTGGCCAACATGGTGAAACACCATCTCTACTGAAAATACAAAATTAGCTGGGTGTGGCACATGTCTGTACTCCCAGCTACTAGGGAGGCTGAGGCAGGAGAATAGCTTGAACCCAGGAGGCGGAGGTTGCAGTGAGCCGAGATTGTGCCACTGCACTCCAGCCTGGGTGACAGAGCGAGACTCCATCTCAACAAAAAAAAAAAAAAAAAAAAAAAAAAAAAAAAAAGAATTATTGCTACCAGAGGCTTATCAAGGTGTGATTTCAAAAAAGAGCCACTCAGCTAACTTGTACAATTTCTAACAGTTTTTCATATTGAGGAAAGAAGGACTCTGTAAAGCCATTCTATTTGAGGATGGGGCGGGTCATTGAGATAGTCCTTCAGGAGTCTCGTTTTGTTGTTTTTCAGTTGCTAAAAGTAATATGCATACATAGTAGAATTTGGAAAATGCAAAAAAAAAAAAAAAAAAGGTAGAAGAAAAAAATTCACCACAGAAAGGCAATCTCTTCTTGCTATGTTGTTGTATTACGTTTTGTGCCAGAGATTTTGTGAAATATAAAATCATGATTCTGTCATACTCACTAAAACCAGAAAACTGGAAAAGGCATTTCTATTTGACAACTAAAGCTGAGTTATTTTGACACATAGGTGATAGAATCAAAGAATTTTTTTGCCCTTAAAAATAACGAGTGGTGTAATAGAAAAGAACTCATGACCATAGGAAGATCAGCTGTTTTCCCACTTTACCCAATTCTTTCCTACCGTGCAATCTGATGGAAATCATTCTGCAGACACGTTGGAACCTCAGGCGAAGCCATCTTATTCCACTGTCTATCCTGAGACATGCAGATTCTAGCTTTTGGAGCACTGGGGTGCTGCAGGGACAGAATAACCAAGCAGTGATGAATTGTGTCCTTTCCAGTGTCAGAGGCATGTTGAAGTTTTGCATCTGTGTTATTAGTGCTTTTTCCATTTCAAGAGCCTTGACATCATTAATCTTTTCATCACTATCACTCCTTGGTGAGGCCATTTTTGTGCAAGTAACCACGCAGATCAGAGAACTATGGTATTTAACTGTATCAGGTTTGTGGATAGAAAATACGATTTCAGTAACTAACAATGAGTTTGCTTTTATTCTGTCCTAGCCGACTTTGAATGTTTACCTACCTTGAAGGAAGAGAAGGAATCAAATCACAACCCAAGGTACTTCTCATTTCTACCACAGATTACATGTATATGGCGGGGGGCGGGGGGATTGGGAACCAGGGTGGAACACTTTTTGCTTACCTCCTCCGTGCCTATAATTCGTATGAGATCATTTACGCGGCTGGATATGTGCATAGTGTGGAGAAGAGGAAGTGTGTTACAGAAAATAGAAGGCCACAAAGTAAATATCCTAGGACTCTTTATCTTTAGAAATAAATGAGTATTGACATTTTCTTGCCCTTCTAAAGAGACACTGTTGCTTCAGCTTCTGTTTTAGTCATAAAGCTTTCCAATTATGACAAACTGTAGGTTTGTTTACCTTGGATAAATAGATGTTTGGTAAGGAAAACAGATGGAGGCGACAGTCTTAAAGTGGGTAACTGTAAACTAGAGTGAGAAAATAAATGGGAATTTTTAAAAAATGTTCCATTTTACCACTAGGTGGCTCTGGTTGATAGAAAAATTTTAGTGCTTTGGGGTTTGGGTGTATAGTTTAGCATTCCACAATCTCATTTTAAATTATATTATCTTTTGTGAGGATAGAAATGACCACATTTGGGGTGTTTTGATTAGAGAACTGTTTTGTCAGGACATGGGAAGTGTTCTAAGGAAAAAGGTTGGATGGTTCAGAAGGTTGGGGACTGGCTCTGCAGAGCTCTGCTGTGACCTTGGAGGTACTGAGTTGTTGGCAGCAAACACTCATGGACACCCGGAGAGAAGAAAACTTGAGCCTATGCCTGAGATATCACACTTCTGTTGGAATAAATGGAATAAACCTTCAGGCAGGATAAATCCTCTCCCTCCATGTTCACCAGAAGTCTGGTGCCAGTCAGTCACTTGTCACCAGGCAACCCCTGAAGCCTGAGCATCGCGAGGGAATACTGATTATTAGGCAATGGTTGGGGGCAGTCAGATGTTTATCTTCGGACCCTTTTCCTGCGTCTCCCCCCTAAACCTCACTTAAGAATTCACCATCCCAAATCTCTCCTCACATCACACCACCACAGTCTTACTCAGACAAACCTCAGCTCTGATGCCAAAGTCTATACCTATTGTAGATTTAGGTCAATATCACCACCCTAGGCATTTTCATGTTAAGATTATTGCCAGTTCAGGAAGGATTCTATCCTATTTAAAAGAGATTCCAGGTCATGCTTGGTGGCGCTTGCCTGTAGTCCTAGTTACTTGAGAGGCTGATGTGAGAGGATTGCTTGAGCCCAGGATTTCAGGATTGTAGTGAGCTATGATTGTACCACTGCATTCCAGCCTGGGCAACAAGCAAGAGCAAGACCCTGTCTCTAAAAGAAATGGGGAGAGAGAGAGGGAGAGAGAGGGGGAGAGAGAGAGAGAGAGAGATTGATTAACAAGCAGGTGGAAGAAAACAACAATGCCAGGGGGAATATTACAAAGGAATATTTTCCCCATGTTTTGATCTTACCTGGAAATATGTAACTATATATGTCTGGTATAGGGCTCAGATCACTACTAAAACTCCATAAATATCTTAAGTATCTTATTACTCTATCACTGATGAGCAACCTCAATGATGCTAAAAACTACCCTCAGTGGTTTTTACATTCCTGCCTTTTGCTCTTTGAAATTGTTGGCAACATGGAAGAAGCTTAACATTACAGAATTGTATGGCAGTGAAATCTTCTTAAAAATCAGATTTTTGGCCAGGCAATGTGGCTCATGCCTGTAATTCCAACACTTTGGGAGGCTGAGGCAGGCAGATCACCTGAGGCCAGGAGTTCGAGACCAGCCTGGCCCACATGGTAAAACTCCATCTCTACTAAAAATACAAAAATTAGCCAGGCGTTGTGGCGGGCACCTGTAATCCCAGCTACTTGGGAGGCTGAAGCAGGAGAATCCCTTCAACTGGGAAGGCGGAGATTGCAGTGAGCACTGATCACACCATTGCACTCCAGCCTAGGCAACAAGAGTGAAAGAAATTCTGTTTCAAAAAAAAAAAGTCAGATTTTTGAAATAATGAGAAAATGAGCTAGAGCCTTCACATAGTTAAATGATTGTTTTAAAAGGGAAGGTCTACATTCCACTGTGGGTCCAGAGCTGTGTGGCATTCACAGGATGGCTGTCAGGCCTTCACTTTATGCCCTCTCGTAATGCCAGCACCAGCATTCGAGAACCAAGAATGGCAAGTCCCAGATCTTTGTACCACTAGGCACTTTCTGATTACTTCAAAGGTTATTATGATATTGCAAAGTTAATTTTTTATTCATTAAAAAATCTAAGAAAAGTACATTGGATTTAGAACAAAGCCCAGAACAAAGTAAGTTCTCAATAAGCACTGGTTATTGCTAGTATAATTATTAGGAAGTTAGGACTGATGTACAGAAACTCACTGCCTTTATACTAAGACCCAGCTCACTGGATTAAAAAAAAATTCACTTCCTTTATCCTAAGCCTGTATCCTAAGACCCAGACACATCAATACTGGTGGGCGAAGCATTATTTTTGTCCCTGTGTTCCCTGGTGGTTTCTTTCTGGACCTACCAATCCTGGGAAATCAGGAATTTGTTTGATCTACTATGAGACTTTCAGTTCTCCTTAATTACTGGCATAGGCCCATTAATGTTGGTGATTTCAGAATAGTCCACTTATCACTCTGGAGTTTTTTGGTGTTTTGTTGTTTTGTGTAGAGACAGACTCTCATTCTGTTGTCTAGGCTGGAGTGCAGTGGTGTGATCCCAGCTCACTGTAGCCTCAACCTCCTGGGCCTAAATGATTCTCCCAACTTAGCCTCCAGAGTAGTTGGGACCACAGGTTTGTCCACCATGCCTGGCTAATTTTATTTTACTTTATTGTGGTGACAGGGTCTCCTTATGTTGCTCAGGCTGCTTTCAAACTTTTGGGCTCAAGCAATCCTTCTGCTGCCTTGGCCTCCCAAAGTGTTGGGATGACAGGAGTGAGCCACTGTGCCTCGCCCAGTCTGAAGTTTTTAAAAGGATAGTAACACCTTATAATTTGGATAATCTTTCTTTTCTGTCATAATTTTATGTACATTTCTTTTTCCTATCCTAATGTTTTAATTAAATTGATAATCCATAAAATGTTTACTTTGAGTATCTACCCTGGGACAAAAATAAGATTTCTTTTTTCTCTAAAAGCTTGTGAATTGTTATAGATACAGGTGGAAAGTGCATTTGTGGGTCATTGGACTTAGAAGACTCATTTTAAGACCTAATTTGAATGCTTGTTTGTTCTTTAGACTAAAACAAGTCACTTTAGCTCTCTGAGTTTTAATTTCTTCATCTTGAAAAATGGAAATAAGAACATCTGTCCTTCTAGTTTCACAGGATGATATAAGAGAATGAAACCACCTAGCTAGGTTTTATTTTTATCTTAATTTTTTTTTTTCGAGACTGAGTTTCATTCTTGTTGCCCATGCTGGAGTGCAATGGTGCAATCTTGGCTAACTGCAGCCTCTGCCTCCTGGGTTCAAGCAGTTCTCCTGCCTCAGCCTCCCAAGTAGCTGGGATTACAGGTACCCACCACCACGCCTGGCTAATTTTGTATTTTTAATAGAAATGGGGTTTCACCACATTGGTCAGGCTGGCCTTGAACTCCTGACCTCAGGTGATCCATCCACCTCAGCCTCCCAAAGCGCTGGGATTACAGGCGTGAGACACCGCACCCGGCAGTAGCTAAGTTTTAAAGCACCACGCAAGTGAAACTAATTATTCTTATGCAGTGGCAATTGTTCTTCCCCCTCCCACACTGGGATTTTAAAAGATTATTTTTAGGGCAGTTTTAGGTTTACAGCAAAATTGAGCAGAAAATACAGAGTTCCCATATACCCTCTGCCCTCACACATGCACAGCCTCCCCCATTATCAACGTCCCCCATCAGAGTTCTACATTTATCACAATCAATCAACCTACATTGACACACCATTATCACCCAAAGTTTTCCATTGGCTTTTACCTTGTGCATGATTCTTCCTCTGTCATTGAAGTAGTATACAGGTGAATTTAATGCTTCAGAAAGTATGTAACAGTCATTAAAAATTGAATTTAGTGGAAGACACACTTCTCCTTTCTCCTGATAAACAAAGCCTTCTGGAATTCATTTACAGGGTTCCACTTTCCTTGATGCTAGAAAGACATGCCTGACATAGAACCTCTGTTATCTATTAAGTCCATAGAACCTACGACCACCATGCTTCTGGGAAAAGGGAGTCAATCTGATAACCATCCTACACTGAATATACCACATTGTGTGCAAAGACTTCAACTCTTCAAGCTTGTCTTGTTAGGGTCTGTAATCTCAGGCCTTTCAGAACTTTATCCTTGTCTCATTGGCCAGTCTTGTTCATTACTTTCCTCTGTCCTCATTGAATGGATATTCTTCCTGAGCTATGGAATCCGAAAGACAGCACAGGATTTTAATAAGGACCAGAGATGTACAAAATACTATGAGAAGTGGACACTATGGTTTTCATGTTTGAAAGAAATCAATAGGAAAAGCAACAAAGGAATCATGGGGGAGGGGAGTGTTTCATATTCTTATTTTCCATCTTAGCATCTTTTCCGTGATTCATACCTGCTATGTGCCTGGCACTGCCCAGGGGCAAAGTGTCAGTGGGAGGAGGGTGCTAGGAGGGGTCTGCCCTCAAGTTGAAGAGAATTTCATCCCTGATCTGGTTAAGCATTGCCAACACATGGTAACGACAGAAAACAGATCCTTTTGGTTGGTTTTATTATTGTTTTAACTTCTGTGTAGAAAACACACTCCCTTATTGCCTAACCCCACACTCACAACACCCTCCCAAATGCCACTAGATAGTGGTGCAAACAAGAAAAAGTCCCTTTTATCATGACTCTTCCAATCTAGCCAGCCTCTTCCTTCTTCTGGAGGCATTTGTAGTTAGACGGTTTCCTGAAAGCTTCGTGTTTCTGTCTCTGCAATCTCAGATGAATAACCACAGACAAGGAATCGCAAATATTAGCCAAATGCCTGTCTTCTTTCCTCTTATATCTCTTGACCACAGGGATGATTTTACATTAAGCAGCAACATAGGGAAAGATTAGGGAAAGAATTAGATGTGGTTCTGCTCAAGTGGATTTATAATTTTGAAAATACAGTAATAATTACAGCAATAGTAAGACATTTACATCACATTTTCTATATGCTAGTGCCTAAGAAATTAACTAAGAGAGAGTGACAGTATATCTGTTCTTATAATAATTCTACTGTTTATTCTATAGTTTATGTTTCTGAGCTCGATGTCATTATAAAAAGGAGTTGCTTCACTATTTTTCAGGAAAAATTTAGGTTAGTTTAATAGAGAATTTTGTGGATTTCTTCCTGTTTCATCCCTTCTCTTTGTCATTTTTTGAGAAAGTATAATTTTTGATGTAGGTTTTCAAAAGACATTTATTGAGCACTTAATATGTGCCTGACACTGTCTACATCATGTCAAAACAACCAGTTAAAAATAAAATAATTTGAGTAAACTTAGAACTCAGAGAGGTTAAGTGGCTTGTTCAAGTTCACATGGCAGGTTCGTAGCTGATAAAGCTCAATCTAGAGAAAAGTTTCTTTTAAAAATGTATTTTCATTCTCTTTTATTATTTTGTTAAAATAAGAGATATTTCATAAATTAAAAGACAAATTATAGATTAGAAAAAGAAGAACACTCAGCAGCAAGAAAGCCAGCCACCATGAGGCTAATACAGGAAAGTACTCGGTGAATGGTGTGTCTGTCACTCAGCACAGTCATTGACAACACTTAACCATTAATTGCAAGAAAACAGCAGTTTTATGCGAGCTTTTTTTGGCCTGTCTGCTCAGTTAAATCTTTGTGACCACTTCTAATTTTTTTCTTTGTGCAGAGGCTGCTTTCCTCTTTTCTTCTTTAGTCCCTCAAAGTCATTTAAACGTATATAGATCCTTCTTGACTTACAGTGGGGTTAGGTCCAGAGAGACACATTGTAAGTAAAAAAATCTGAAGTCAAAAATGCATGATATTTTCAAATTATAATGTTTATCTAGAGATAGCCCCATCATAAGTCAAGGAGTGTAGTGAATACATATCAATTTTGCTCCATTGTAAAGTCAAAAAAATTGTAAGTTAACCACTGTAAGTCAGGGATCATCTGTAATTCAAGTATTAAGTGTCAGATTCTCTCAAATCTGAGCTTGATATTATGAGGGATACAAAGTAACAGTTTATAATCCTGCAGGATGATAACCTCAAATAATATTATTAAAACACAGATGCACGTGCGCACGTGTGTGTGTGCATGTATGTGTTGGATGAGAGAAGATGTACTTACTTTTAAAAACCACAGCATTGCTTGAATAGTGGCCCAGATTATATCCACAACACGGGCATGATCTATGTGCATGACTAGGCTTGCCTCTGATGTTAGCCAGATGCATTACCTCAATCATTCCACCTGAGACCAGGCCTCTTGCAGGAAGGAGAAAGGACATTCTATTGAAGAGAAAGGGAGCCTGATCTAATTGTTATGTGACTTTATGCTAAACTGAACTCTGCACTCCCCACAAAAATGAGTTAGAGAGCATCATAACACAAGAAAGTTTTAACATAGGTTTATTGCCATCTTTGGAGACAGAGTACATGAGCTGTGGTCATAAAGAGGGATTGTTACAAGATAGACTGGTCAGGAGAACAAAGATGACTTATCTAATCCTGACTGCAACAAAGGGGCAATTATGAAACAAGGTATTACAGTTGCATCAGTCCTTATTTAACTGGTAGCATGCCCATTACATGCCTTCTTAAAGAAAACAATACAATGATGCTTTCTAATCAATTAAATTTGGTTTTATTTGTCAGCCTGTTACTATACAGGATTTTGGGAAAGGTGTTCCACTTTCTTTTTTTTTTTTTTTTTTTTTTTTTTGAGATGGGGTCTCACTCTCTTGCCCAGACGACTAGAGTGCAGTGGTGTGATCTCAGCTCACTACAGCCTCAACCTTCTCAGTCTCAGGCAACCCTCCCACCTCAGCCACCCAAACATAAGGTATAAGGTTGGTGCAAAAGTAATTGCAGTTTTTGCCATTACTTTTAATAGCTGGGACTACTGACACGAGCCACCATGCCCAGCTAATTTTTGAATTTTTTGTAGAGACAGTGTCTCACTATGTTCCCCAGGCTGGTCTCGAACTCATGGGCTCAAGTGGTCCTTGAGGCTCAAGTGCCCTGGCCTCCCAAGTTGCTAGGATTACAGGCATTTGCCACCACACTTGGCCCACATTCTTAAAATATCTGTCTAACATTCCTAGAAAAATTGCTTGCTAATGTTACCATCATAGTTAAGTTACCAAAACTGCTTTCAAACTAAAGGTTTGAAAAGGGATCACTTATTTGATGTGTTGCAATTCTGTGACAGTTTGCTAAGATCTTTTTAACAGAGAACTCTAGGACTTTTCAGAATTAAAAATGTCTAGGTTTATTTGATGATTCCACAGAGAAAATAAATAGCCAAAAAGACAGCAGGAAACATATCTAACTAAATAAAGGAAGGAGCATTTGGGAGAGAATGCCTCCAGGCACAAGTGGCAGGCCAGGTCCCAGCTTGCTGCTTTACTGACATGCCTGATGTCCATCCCAGCACCAGTAAGAGCTGCTACACTCTGGGAGTGGCCTGATGTCCCACAGGCGAGGCAACTAGTAGCAGAGCTTTGTCCGTTGCTCACGGTCCACAGAGCTGTGGCAGTGGGCACCATAGCTTGAGCTTCTTTTCCTCTTTGGTGCTTTAAGTTAAACAAGTTCTTGTTGATGGACAGTGTCCCACAGTGAGCCTTCAAAATGCTTCTCCTTAGAAATTTAAAGTTTGTTTTGGAACATGGTTGCTGAAAGCCTTTGGATATTTGAAACAATATTCATGCTAGTGTTTTACCAACAAACACTGGCTACTTATGTAAAACCTGCAAAATAAGGATTACTAACATTCATTCATGTGTCTGTGTGTCAGGCCTGGAGTATGGTATTTCACCTGCATTTTCTCATTTATTGTTTACAAAACAATAAAGCTCATGGTATGTTATGTATGTTTTGCAGGTGAGATGAGATAAGAAACTCCGGCTAAGAAAGGTTAATTTGCCTAATGTCACATAGCAAGAAAGTGAACCCTGATTCAGACTCAGGACAACTGACCCAGGGCTCTTATCTACTATGCTAAAAAAGCCACTCGTTAGCACACACCAACATTGGTAATATCATAAAAATGGCACAAACGTAAACTACCCAGGGATAAACTTAACTGAAAAAATGCAGGTGATAATATAAAATGTTCAGATTCTTATTGTGGGACATAAAAGACTTAAACGAATGGAGAGGTATACTGTGTTCCTGATGAAAGACTCAACCATGTAAAAATGGTCATCTTAAATTCAACCCAGTCATCTTAAAAATCCCTATGCACATTTCATCTGGAAGAATAACTGGTTACAAATAGCCAGGATAATTCTAAAAGAAGGAAAAAGTGAAATTGTAAGATGGAATAAGGGTGGGGACTTCACAGGGAGCGTGTCATGCTTGATCAACAATTAAAACAGTGTACACTTGGAATCAAACTAGAATTAACATTTCATAGCAAGTGCATTATTTAATAAATAGTCTTGGGACAACTGACTAACATTTGGGGGGAAATTTAGAGCTCAACCTCATGCTTTATACTAAAATATACTCCAGGTGAGTTTGAGTGTTAAAAAGAAAGAAAAAAAGCCAGAAAAAATATAGAAAAATATTATATAGCTTTAAGGAGGGAACGAGTTTGAAAGCATGACACACAAGTCAGAAATCATATTTGAAAAGGATAGATTTGGCCGGGCACTGTGGTGCACGCCTGTAATCCCAGCACTTTGGGAGGCCGAGGCGGGCGGATCACGAGGTCAGGAGATCGAGACCATCCTGGCTAACATGGTGAAACCCCACCTCTACTAAAAAAGTACAAAAAAATTAGCCGGGCATGGTGGCAGACACCTGTAGTCCCAGCTACTTGGGAGGCTGAGGCAGGAGAATGGTGTGAACCTGGGAGGTGGAGCTTGCAGCAAGCCGAGATAGCACCACTGCACTCCAGCCTGGGTGACAGAGCGAGACTCTGTCTCAAAAAAAAAAAAAAAAAAAAAAAAAAAAAGGGGGATAGATTTAACTACATTAAAAACTCAATGTTCTTGTACTTCAAAAAACACAATAGGCTGGCTGGCCATGGTGGCTCACACCTGTAACCCCAGCACTTTGAGAGGCTGAGGTGTGTGGATTGCTTGAGCCCAGGAGTTCGAGACCAGCCTAGACAACATGGCATGACCCTGTCTCCACAAAAGTTAGCTAGGTGTTGTGGCACACAACTGTAGTCCCAGCTACTGGGGGAAGGGGAGATGAGGTGGTAGGATTGCTGGAGCCCAGGAGGTCGAGGCTGCAGTGAGCTAAGATCTTGCCACTGCACTCCAGCCTGGGTGACATGGCAAGAGCCTATCTAAAAATACAATAATAATTGTTCCACTTTAAATATGATCAGAGACTATTAATAAGCAATTCAGCAAAGGAAGAAATTAAAATTACCAACTAAGCTTTGTAAAAGGTTTATTCTTTGTGGTAATAAAAGAGTAACAGTAAATATGAAACCATTTTCACCTATTGGACTCACACAAAAAAAGAAAATAATAATATTCAATGTTGGAGAGGATGTGGGGAAAAGGATAGTTCCCTAAAGAGTAGTGTTGGAAGAATGTAAATTGTAAAAATTTCTAGGAAAGGGGGATAATTTGACAATGGGCCATTAAAGCTTTAAAATTGTATATAATTTGACCTAACAATTCCTTTTCTAGAGATACATGCAAAGGTAACTATTGGAAGTTTCCAAAGATGTAGCAATGTTTATAATAAATAAAAATTAAAAATTTGAAGTAGCCTAAATGTTTAACAATAAGGGATTGGCTAAAAAAAGTTTTTGATTTAGTGAGACAATGGAAAGCTATGTAGCCACTAAAAAGATATTGTATATTTATTAGCAGAGACAGATGTTTACATGTGAATGAGAGTGAGAAAAGCAGATTACAGAACAATATATAAAATATGATCCCATTTTGTACGAAAAGAATATATATCATTATCACAGAAAAATCTTTGGGAGAATAAATACCAAAATGTTAATGTAGTGAGATTATTGGTATTTTTGTTTTGCTTATTTGTGTTTTCTATTTTTTAACCAATGAATATGGACAAATTTTATAATAATTAACTTTAAAAATCACTTCTATTACAACAGCTGGACAAAGATTAATGTTGTGGACAAAAGAGGGCTTTGCCTTTGTTGTTCAGCTGTATATTATACTCTGCTTCAAGTGGCTGAAATTTCAAGATAAGGTCACAAAGGAAAACATGCAATTCAGAGACTTATGTTCTGTAGAGATAGACTCCTGGATCTTTCAAATATTCTCTTACTACCACCCAATTTCTAAGAAATTAAACCTCCTTGGCTAATTTAAAAGTTATTCAGGGTGACATAAGTGAAAGGGGTTGTCATATCTACTCTTCAGATGAAACATTTCTAAGTTTTCAACCAGGCTTTCATTTGAAATACGTTTTGATATGGTTTGTCTTTTTTTTTTTTTTTTTTTTGAGACAGGGTGTCTCTCTTACCCAGGCTGGAGTGCAGTGGCACAATCACAGCTCACTACAGCCTCGAACGGTAGGGCTCCTGCAATCCTCCCACCTCAGCCTCCTGAGGAACTGGGACTACAAGTGTGCACCACCACACTTGGCTAATGTTTAATTTTTATGGAGATGGGGTCTCACTGTATTGCCCAGGCTGGTCTCAAACTCCTGGACTCAAGCAATCCTCCTGCCTCAGCCTCCCAAAGAGCTGGGATGACAGCTGTGAGCCACCACGCCCACCCTAGTTTGTCCTTTTGTTCACTTCCCTGCCTCAGATAAAATTCTGTCCTCCTCCTCCTTTCCCATTGTTCTTCTCTCCTTATGATAGCTTATGCCTCTGTCTTCACAACATGAACAAACACCACACACAAACCTATACACAATGTCTCCTGCCCTTTCATGGATCGATCCATCCATTATCTATCTACTTATCTACCTATTTATCTATCTGTCTGTCTATCTATCTATGTGTGTCTCAGTTGCTCCGAAGTCCTTTTAGAAACACATGGAGTTTCACTGAGTAGGAGAGCACTGAAGTAGGAGTCAGAAGAATATCACCTATTGCAGACTATCCACATCTATGAGCGAGGGAGATACCAGATCTGTCGATCATTATCATTCAAGCTCCCTTGGAAGCAGAGGTCACTTCAAATAGAGGCCTGCTAGGATGTGAGTGAAGGGAGTACGGAACTAAAAAGAGAAGCGCGAGGAAGGGAAGTGCCACCTGTTTTCCAGGAGACTTGGTGGAGCTGTGGGCCCACCAGGAAAAAGGTGTGGAGCCAGGTACTTGGCAAAGACAGCCAAGTTAGAAGCAAAAGACCAAATTAGCCAACAGCATGGTCATGTTCAAATACCATGTACATCATTTATGTCTGCTCACACCCCAGGATGCCCGATGTTTGAATTCTAAATGACACTGAGAAGGCCCCTTCAGCTCCTTTGTAGGTATGAACAAAACGGGCTATTGAAGACATGCCAGGACCACAAACTCTTGAGAGAAAACGGCATGTGGAAAATTTGTTTCAGCAAAAGGCAATTTGGCACGTATTCGTAGAGAATGGGATTAGATTTATTAAACGGGGAACCCCCAACTCCATCTGGTTCTCTCTGCATCAGCACTGGGGAGGGCTATGAGGAGAAAGAGCTAGGGATTATTTTTTGGCTTTCATGGATTTCTTCCTCAGGGATCAGATATAAAATTTAGACTGACCTTCGTTTCAGAAATTGTAAGCTGGACACCATTGGCTTCCTGATGGTTTGTGATCTCTTCAGTCACCTCCATAATGGAGTGACCAGCTCTCTTTAGCTTCTTAGAGATATGTTACTGTTGGCCGGGTGCAGTGGCTCACACCTGTAATTCCAGCACTTTGGGAGGTCAAGGTGGGCAGATCACAAGGTCAGGAGATCGAGACCATCCTGGCTAACATGGTGAAACCCCGCCTCTACTAAAAAAAAAAAAAATACAAAAAATTAGCCAGGCTTGGTGGTGGGTGCCTGTAGTCCCAGCTACTCAGGAGGCTGAGGCAGGAGAATGACCTGAACCTGGGAGGTGGAGCTTGCAGTGGGCCGAGATTGTGCCACTGCGCTCCAGCCTGGGCGACGGAGCCAGACTCCGTCTCAAAAAAAAAAAAAAAAGAAAGAAATATATTACTGTTTTGTGTGTGTGTGTGTGTTTTTTTTGTTTTTTTTTTTTTTTTTTTTTTTTTTTACAGTGACAGTGAATCCTAAACCTGAATGGCGCTCATGTTTTCCAAGAGAAGCAGCCCCTGAGGGAGTCTGCTGAGGCTGCCAACAGAGGATGAAGAGGATACAAATTTAATTAATTTCAAATCAACATAGACACAAGAACCTTTTGCTGTTTCTTCCAACGCCCACTCTTCCTAATGATGGCATCACTTGCACTTGGAAGAATGTGCAATTGAGAAGTACTAGGAAAAGGCCTGGCTGCCATCCATCGCTGCCTCTGAGGGTGGAGAAGGAGGCGGGTGATGTGCTCACTTCTGATCAACATGTGTTGCCTCCTCTCAGCCAACTTCTAGCTCACTGAACTCACTCTGGTCATGATAAATGTTCGTCACCTTTCTGCTTCATTCCTTAGGGCCTAAATCAGGAAGCTGTTTTATCGATGGTTTCCTTTTGGGTCAGTAACCAGCTTTGGATAATTTCCTCTGATTATTCAAGTCGTGGGACAGGTAAACTACATTCAGCAGGAACTTTTCTCGAGGAGTGTTATGTCATGGAAAAGACACCAAACACAGCAAGTATTTTAATGAATACACCATCCCAGGGGGTCAGTAAGCTCTGCCTGCCAAGAAGACACAGTGAGAGGGGTCCACAGTCCTGATGAGGTGGCGTTTGGTAACTTGTAGACCCTAGCATGGCCAGGTCTGGTCACCCTTAAGAACTTCTCAGAGAAACTAGGAATCTTCAGTGAAAGAACTAATGTTCTCCTCAGCTGAAATTCCCTTGCTTGTCAGCATTTCTGCAAAGCTCACACTTGTTTCACCATACCTCCCTTGGATGTGACATGTAGGTAGGAAGTATGTGCAGGTGGGAGTCATCTGTCAGCCTTCTATGTTTCAGAGATCCTGAAGGTGGTTTGAAACAAACAGAAGAGGAGCAGGAAATATCCGTGCCTGTGGCAGATCTCACTCATCATGCTTAGCATTCTCTCCCGCCAAGCTGGGATAAGCCTCATGTCCTAACACAGCACAACAGGAGGTCTCTGTCAGTCCATCAGAGATGACATTCTATGTGATATTTTTGACATCCTTGTGCTAAAAGCAATGGCACAAAATGGAAAAGGGCCTATTGACCACACCTACTCCAGTAAAATTGTTCTTCATTTATTCCTTAATTTTCTAAATCTGACCCCTTTAAAGCAATCTAGCAAATTGAGAATCCTCAGCTCTCCTTGGATACCTGATATTTTATTTCAAGAAAGAGACAAAGAAGGAAAATTTTATTTATTTTACTACCCACATATAAACCGAAGGGAGATGGGACTACCCAAACATTTGCTGCTCAATTTTGTGTCTTGTGCTTGAAAGTCTGCCCTAATGCATAACAAAAACTACTTGTCTCCTACCTTTTGGGATCCCTTTAACAAGTATTTGCCTTCTGAACTACGTGGATAATTTCAAAGGCAGAGTTCCAGACCAGAGAGGTCTTTCCATACAATGAAAGCTATAACTAGCTGGTTGTGTTTAACCACTGCTATCACGCTATCCTGGGACTGCATAGAACTTTGACAAAAGACAGACTTCATGGTACACAACTTCAACAGATTTTCTGTCATATTCTCACCAGCACATCTGAATGAGGCTTTGTGTTTTCCTTGCTCTCTTGCATGTTCCTTTTCAACTCATGGCCCACAGTGACTCTCAGATATTTATGCCAAAATTGCATACAATTGTTTTCTGAATCATAACTTGTCTATTTTTCTGCCTATGTGTGCTACTTTCAGTTTGTTTCTCATCAACATTTTGACTCTCAGAAGAGCCTCCATTTGCCCCTTTCTCTCTTTAGGTATCTAAGATCTTTGAACACCTGGGCCTTTACATTTGATCCAACCCTATCAAATAATGAACTTCTCAGAGAGGCATCTGGGGTCCTGGAACTTCATGTTGATGAAGTCATATTATATAATATGATAAAAATATTCTCATGCAGTATTTTAAATAATTTCAAATTCTAGAAGAAGCAAATTTCAGCGACATGTCATTGAGTTTTTATTTGGTAAAGCTATAATTGTGCAGTGTACAAAGCACTTTTTAAAAAGATAGTTTATTCTGTCAGGGTATATGAAGTTAGTATACAGCCAGAACAGCCAAGCCTCAATTCTTGTACCTTGTGTCTTTTTATTACTGTTTAATCAATAGATATCATATGTTTATGACAGTTTCAAGAATTGTTTTTAAACCCAAACTTAATTTTATGTTTCAGACTATTGTTAAAAAAACAAAACAAAAACCAAAAAAACCCTCACTAATTTGCCCTAATTGGATAGGGCAATCAGAACAAAATCTGACTTTCGAATATTTAAAAGATATGTAAGTTTGATTGCATTTTCGTACATTTTAAGCAAACTAGGTTAACAACAACATAGCCTAGTCAAACTTCTCAGGAAACTTGTTTTAATAAATATGTAAAAATACCCATTCATGACTCTTGACCCAATGGTGTGACTCCTCCCTCTGGGAAGGGCTTTGTTACCCAATGCAAGACCACAGCCTGGATCCACCTTGATGTAGGTGGCTCCTGGATAACCCACATCAAACAAATGTGATAAAGATGAGTAAAACTGGTCTTGGGAAAATAATTTCATAGTTTTTTTTTCTCCTAGTTATGCTGTATAATACAGGAGAACCAAAAGCTGTAAAATTATTTTATTTTATTTTTTAAAGACAGGGTCTCACTATGTTGCCCAGGCTGGTTTCAAACTCCTGGGCTCAAGCAGTCCTCCTGTCTCAGCCTCCCAAAGTGCTGGGATTACAGGCATGAGCCACTGAGCCCGACCAGCTGTAAAATTATTATATTCATTTTCACTATGTGCTACTTCTTCTCACCTGACTTTTTTTTTTTTTTTTTGAGATGGAGTCTCACTCTGTCACCCAGGTTAGAGTGCAGTGTCACGATCTCGGCTCACTGCAACCTCCGCCTCCCAGGTTCAAGCAATTCTCTTGCCTCAGCCTCCCAAGCAACTGAGATTACAGGCCTGTGTCACTATGCCCAGCTAATTTTTGTATTTTTAGTAGAGATGGGGTTTTCACCATGTTGGTCAGGCTGGTCTCAAACTCCTGACCTCAAGTGATCCACCAGCCTCGGCCTCCCAAAGTGCTGGATTACAATTGTGAGCCACTGTGTCTGGCCACACACTGACTTTCACTGTAATATCTGGATGTTTTATGTAACATATCTGGGCAATAGGGCTTATGGCAGAATTGGCCCTCGTGGTGTAGGCCTTCCAAGTTCCAAGTCTCATTTTTAGTATTCCTCCGTTCCAACCCCTGGATCCACCAGTTCCAACAGCCTGGATCCACCTTGATATTGACAGCCAGGCAGATGCTTCTGCTGATCACCGCAGCTCTAGCAATGGAAATGGATATGTTAAGAAAATACTTGTCTATTCTTTTATTTTGGTGGTTTAAACTATTAATTCACACCATCTCTGAAAAAAGGCCTTATGTTGACTAAAGAAAACATAGGCTTTAGTTTCAGCTTCTGTCAGAATTAGTACCAATTCTGAATCTGGTGGAGTGATAAGACATGGTTTCATGCTGGGAAGACACTGCTGAAATCCTCCTTGTGGGAGAACATGGAAATTTTATACTGAATTAAATTAACGCATGTGACTTTTCACATTCAGAGACATTCAGGATGAATTCTGGGGTTTCCATTTAATAGCTATAACAGGCAGTCCAGAACAACTTCACATATAGCAGCATTTCTGCTATGTGACAATGACCAAAAGAGTTCCTGTATATTAGTGTCTAGTGGAATATTTCAAATTGCAGAACCCAGACAACCAATTGCCTGAATTATTATTATTTTTTGTTTTTAGCAACTCTTTGGCTTTATCTTGATACTGTCTTGTCTGGCACCAAAGTTTTATTTCCTTCTTAGTCCTCTTGGGGATAGTTTTTGGGTGTTTTTTTTTATTTTTCTTTTTTTGAGACGGGGTCTCATGCTGATGCCCAGGCTGGAGTGCAATGGTGTGATTATGGCTCACTGCAGCCTCAACTTCCCAGGCTCAGGTGATTCTATTACCTCAGCCTCCCAAGTAGCTGGGACTACTGGTGTGCACTACTAGGACTGGCTAATTTTTTGTATCTTTTGTACAGATAGGGTTTCACCGTGTTGCTCAGGCTGGTTTTGAACTTCTAGGTTCAAGCAATCCTCCCACCACAGCCTCCAAAAGTCCTGGGATTACAGGTGTGAGCCACCATAACTGGCTGGAATTATTTGTACCTGGACCTTGTGTTTTGTTTTTTTGCCCTACTATCTTTTCTAAATAACATATCATGTTCCTGAGATAGCAGTATATACAATTATGTAAAATAGAGCTTTATATGAACTCTGTACATGCTCTAAGCTCTTTTTGAATGATATTTTAAGAAGTTTCTAAACCAAAGTGCTTAAGAAAACATGAAGATGTTAATTTCATGAAGACTGTACAAGTTTAGAAGTACAATGTAGACCTGTTTAAGACAAAGGTGGATGGGCTTTGGGGTTTTTTTTACAATTGGACTTCAGGTACAGAAGGCTTGGGTAATGGTACTCCTCAGTTCATATCACCTTATCATTGGCCTTTAGTATTTTGTAAATAAGTAACTGGACTTTTATGAAAAGCATATTCTTAACAGTTTCCCATTTCCTTTTTTTTTTTTTTTAAGATAGTGTTTTGCTCTGTTGCCCTGGCTGGAGTGCAGTGGCATGATCTTGGCTCACTGCAGCCTCCACCTCCCAGGCTCAGGCGATCCTCCTGCCCCAGCCTCCCAAGTAGCTGGGATTACAGGCGTGCACAACTGCATGCACAACTAATTTTTGTATTTTTAGTAGAGACAGGGTTTCGCCATGTTGGCCAAGCTAGTCTCAAACTCCTGGGCTCAAGTGATCCGCCCACCTCAGCCTCCCAACATGTTGGGATTATAGGCATAAGCCACCATGCCCAGCCAGTTTTCATTTCTTTGGTCTGCATGTAAAGGACTAAAGAATGATATGTAGCTACTACACTGCAGCAAACAACATTTTTCCAGTGTACAAATCAGTGGAGAGTAAGCAATGTATTACTCTGATGTCGGTGAAACACCTCAAATTATAAATAATGCCAGGAACATGTGAAAACTCCACATGTTTAATAAATGCCAGCTTTCAGAAAAAGCAGAGATTATAGGTATTCAACAAGTTAAACAATAATCTGGTAGATTAGTAATAATTTAACACATGTGTATCTTGTATTTAAAGTTAACTGAAAATTATGTAAAAAAAAAAAACACTGTGTTTGACTTTCTTTTGTTTTACAAGTGATGCAGAGTATCTGCTGAGAAGGTCAGTTAGATCATCTGATGTCATATTTGCCACTTAGCTTTTGTCCCAGCAGCATATAAATTCTACCTTGTAAGCCTCATATTAGAAGTGGTCCCAGCCAGGCACAGTGGCTTACTTCCCAACACTTTGGGAGTCCACGGCTGGTGGATTGCCTGAGCTCGGGAGTTTGAGACCAGCCTGGCCAACATGGTGAAACCCCATTTTTACAAAAATGCAAAAATTAGCCAGGTGTGGTAGTACACACCTGTAATCCCACCTACTCGGGGGGCTGAGGCCCAAGAATCACTTGAACCCAGGAGGCGGCAGTTGCAGTGAGCCAAGATTGTGCCACTGCACTGCATCCTGGGTGACAGAGCAAGATTCTGTCTCAAAGAAAAGAAAAAGAAATGGTCCCATTGCTACGGATTAGAACTAATTTGTAAAACTATCAGAATTTTAAGACTGATTAAAGGTTTTAGGTGTTTTTCTCCTACTTTGCATACTGAGAATAATATGTATAGTATTTTTCCAGTATGATTTACAATTTTATAAATGTCAGTATACATATGTATATATAAATTATTCTCAACTCCATTTTTTTTTA
This sequence comes from Homo sapiens, assembly GCF_000001405.40. Taxonomy (NCBI): domain Eukaryota; kingdom Metazoa; phylum Chordata; class Mammalia; order Primates; family Hominidae; genus Homo; species Homo sapiens. Next base: position 152,622,640 of record NC_000004.12, on the reverse strand, counting down.
AATAAAATAAGTACATGTTTGTGTGCTAAATTGCTCATTTGGCAGTGATAGATTGAAAAACATTTATAAATTTAAAAATAAAGCACTATAAGATATGAGGAATGAATAGCTTCTATGTGAATTTCTATGTAATTAATATCAATATTTAGAATAAAAGTGTATTTGAGGATAAGATATTTGTTTACTAAAATGTTTTATTTACTAAGAGTAGAGGTGAATTATGCATCTTTCTAAGGAAAAGTTCTTTTAATTTCTGTGTCTATGAAAAAGAATTCATAATTCATAATTCTTAATTGCCCTCTTTTGATCCATATAATTCTTTAAATAAACGAAACAATACCAATTCAAAAAGGGGCCTGCTTTGTATAAAATTGTCTAACCTAAAAATTAAGTAGACTTTCTGCATATCTAAAATATATTATTACACATTCTTGTCTTTATTCTTCCTTACAAAACATTTTTAAATGAAGGAATGAAATTTTAATTGTTTATGAGAATATAACTTTTAAAAATATTTCTAGTAGGCCAGGCATGGTGGCTCATGCCTGTAATCCCAGCACTTTGGGAGGCTGAGGCACGTGGATCACCTGAGGTCAGGAGTTCGAGACCAGTCTGACCAATATGGTGAAACCCTGTCTCTACTAAAAATACAAAAATTAGCCAGGCATGGTGGCTGTCGCCTGTAATCCCAGCTATTCGGGAGGCTGAGGCAGGAGAATTGCTTGAACCTGGGAGGCGGGGTTTGCAGTGAGTGCCAAGACTGAGCCACTGCACTGCAGGCTGGGTGACAGAGTGAAACTCCATCTCAAAAAAAAAAAAAATTCTAGTAAAAATGGAAAAATCCACAAGAAAACCTCTTTTTTTCCTGATTACTCACTTTTCTTCATGCCTTTAATTTTAACCTCATCTCACACCTTGATATTAGAAGAAAGTAAGGCTGAAAGGCAGATTCATAAGTTGTAGATAACATGAAGACTTCCTTGAATAAGGATTTATTCTTTCGGCTCACAAAGACCAGTCAGTATTATTGACAAACAACAGGCAGGAAGATTTCTCCTAAAAGTCTCAACTAAAGTTAAACCTGGTCCATTATGGCATCAATCTACCCCTAGAAACTGATGCAGAGTCTATTTCCTCCCTGTTTTAACTAGAACTTAGCCAGACTGGAGACAGCATGGACCCAAAGAGCATGCAGTCCCACAGAGTTAGGGAAAGGATGCATCTTGACCAGCATTCATCATGTGGATCAGTTAGGAATTAAGTTCCTGATTCAAGGTGAGCTCATATGGCCGCTCCCTGGTCATCTAGGACACAAGTTCCTTCTAACTCTTCCCCACCTTCATTAGTACAGGGCTTCTTTCCTGTGTTGCCACATGATCCAAAATGGTGGTTGTAACTCCAGCATGATATTCACAAGAAGGAAAGAGAGGGAACCAGCACAAGGGTGAGCCTCCCAAGTAGGTCAGCCACTTTTAAATAGCTTTCCTGCCAGCCCAGTGAAGCAACTCTGCTTACATCTCATTGGCCAATCTCTGCAAGGCAGCAGGGAACAGTCATCTCTATGGTTGGTACATTATCACTTTCAACAATAAGGGATTCTGTCTCACAAAGTGGTGGAAGAATATTGGGTATCTGAAGAGGTAGCCACCCTGGCCAGAAGGTGCTAAACACTAAACATACATCATCTCATTTTAATCCTAGTAATTACTTATGAGGTAGGTTTAGAGAACTTATACCTTGTTCCATGTCTTTCCAACTCCAAAGCACAAGTTTTTAATCACTGCACTGCACTGCATCCCCAATAACTAGCCGTAGGAAAGTGTTTTAAAAGGCATCACTTGGCGGGGTGCAGTGGCTCACACCTGTAATCCCACCACTTTGGGAGGCCGAGGCAGGCGGATCACCTGAGGTCAGGAGTTTGAGACCAGCCTGGCCAACATGGTGAAACCCCCGTCTCAACTAAAAATACAAAAATTAGCCAGGCATAGTGGCATGTACCTGTAATCCCAGCTACTCAGGAGGCTGAGGCAGGAGAATCACTTGAACCTGGGAGGCGGAGGTTACAGTGAGATGAGATCACACCATTGTACTCCAGCCTTGTCTAAAAAAAAACAACAAAAAAACAAACAAAAAAAAGTTTCAGTCATTGTCAAGGATGCCTTAAGGTGAGCATAGCCTGAGATAAGAAGTAACAGAGGCTGCAGGCTGAGATAAGAAGGAACAGAGGCAGTGAAGGCAGGACCCTAGGCCCAGAAGTAATGGTCTATCATGCTGAGAAAAAAGCCAGGGCTTAGAATAGGGGTGATAAGTAAAAAGCCTAGTTTTAAAATCTAAGTGCTGGTAAAGGTTTGGTCACTAGGTGAAAAAATAAAGTTCCCACTTACTAGAGCTGACATAAACAGCATATGATCCTCTTTAAGGTTGCAGTGGAGAGGCATGTCCAGGGACTCTCAAGTTAGAGACAGGTGTGTTTAGTGCTAGAATTGGAAAGACATTCAAGCAGACTGGCATGTTGCCTCTTCACAGCCATAGTCGTGCTGGCTTGCAGGATACTCCAGCCTAGAATGTATATAGGAGTGTGGAGAACAGCAAAATCAGCATTGCTTGGGATTCAGCCTGAGCTCAAGTGGCCCACCCCTGGAGGCATCCAGTGTTCACACTTCCCAAGAGAGAAAACCTGATTGGATGGGTGTTTCAGCAGTCTATTGCTGCTTAAACACCTCAAAACTTAGCAGCTTAAAACAACAACACTCAATTTATTTTTCACACAAATCTGCAATTTGCATGAGGCTCAGTGCAAATGGTTCAACTCTCTCCCACACGGCATTGGCTGGGCAGTTCAACTGGATCTGGGGGTCCCACTTTCAGATGACTCACATGGCTGGCAAGTTTGTTCTGGCTGTCGGATAGGAGCCCAGCCAAGCCTGTGGTCCAGCGGCCTTGGCTTTTATGATGTGGGCCTCTCCATAGACTCCTTGGGCTTCTTCACAGCATGGCAGCTGAGTTCCAAGAGCAAGTGTCCCAAGAGAGCAAAGTAGAAATGCATAGTATTTTTATAATTTAGACTCAGAAATCACATCACATCACTTCTGCCATACTTTATTGTTTGAGACAGTTACAAAGTCTACCTAGGTTCAAGGTGGAAAGGACATAAACCCCACTTGTCCTTGGAGGCGTGTCAAAGCCACATTATGAGAAGAGCAAGTGGGATAAGGGATTTGTTGCAGGCACCGTTGGAAAATGTGATCTGCCCAAATTGGTGTGTCTTCATGCAATATCGAGGAAATATATTAGGTAGTTTCGTGTCAAGGAACATTGTGGATATTTGACCTCCCTGAATCCCAGTGCCTATGTGCTCTTTGGCTTGGACATAGACCCCTGGTCCAGTAGTCTGTAGTAGGTGGTAGAACTAGTTTTACCAACTACATGAGTCATGAGCCATGGGACTGAATGGGTTGTAGGTGGATCAGACACATAGAAATGTATGACTACTCTCAAAGCATGAGGTTAAAATGGGAGCAGATTAGACTGAGCACCTTGAGGATAGGGATCAGTCTTACTCATCTCTGTATCCTGAAAAGTGCTTGGCGCTACTGCACGCTCCATAATAACAGAAAAACCAATTATTTAATGAGCTAGGAGTTACATATCATCTTTCCTTAAGTACCTAATCAGTCTTTATCATCAGTGAGTGCAGAACTCAAATATGGTATTGTTCATCTTCCATCACCATTTTCTCCCAAGTTTCCTGGTTTAATTGCATTTTCCTCACTTTCCATCTAATGGATCCTGATGTCATTCTTTATCTTTATTTCATATTGTCCTATTGTGTGTATTGTATTGTATTTTTAGCTACATTAAATCCAATATGGAAGGAAGCAGAGAACGATCATAATTGAACTAACAAGCAAGTGGAGGTGGAGAGAAAGTGGCCCCAATTTGGAAGGTGAAGGAAAACTGGGGATGGAGCCTAACTGATCATTAAAATGCTCGAAGCAGCTCTTTCCAACCCAGATCTGAGCTTCTCTTCTTTGCCCTCTGGAGGGTCCACAGAGAAAGGAAATACAAGTTTTATTAAGAAAAAGAGGAAAGCATCTATTTTAGGTGATAATACAAGCACAGAGAAGGATTGTTTCTTCTCTGGGCAGGAAGACAGATTCACAAAATAAGAGGCACTGTAAATCCTTCCTGAGATGTTCCCCAGCACCTCTGAATGTCACTGAGACCAACTAAGCCAGTTAATGGGCTAAGACCCACTTACCTCTTAACTCCATGAAATCCATGCAGAAATACCTCCATCTTGTTACAAGTGCCAATTGATTGCTTTTTACCTGGCATGAAGGTGCCTTTCTGTTCATAACCCACCCTGTCCCATTCCTAAGGGAACCCCATCCTTCCTCTTGGCTTGTACTGTTAGACCCTCTGCCTTCCGGCAACTGAGATGAAGATTCTAAGGAAGCAGCCACATGAACTCACGTCAGGATCAGTGTTCCAGGGGCGTCCAGAGCATGAGCAAGAGAAGCAGGGTGGGAGGATGTGGGTTAAACAGCAAAAACTAAGATTCGTTGTTAAAACCAAAGGGGCAGGGGAGGGGTCAAAATCTGGAATATAAATTAGAGGTGACAGGGAAACAGAGGCAGACTGGAAAGGGGCAGGAATGAGGTGAGGAGAGGCGGTTTCCACAACGGAGCTGAGCTATGCAGTCTGCCTTTATTGGCCGCTGGCTGCACAGTGAACAGGGGTCAGTGTGGCCTGAGAGTGCAAGGCTGGGAAGGACACTAGATAGCCAATACCTTCTTTTTGTCAGCATTGCCCAGTTTCCCTGTTAGGTTAGAAAGCCCAGTTCCAGAGAGACAGTGTGAATCACAGACCCTAAACTTGGACCCACACTCCCACAGCATCAGGGCACACATGCTGACTCCCATAAGAGCCGTGAAAATGCTAGGAGCTAACTGGGTCAACCGCGGGAGGGGGCAGCTCCACCCATACATTTGGCCTTATCCAGAGCCAGTGACATGAGGCCCAACAGTTTTCTTTGCATTAAAAAAAAAAAAAAAAATATATATATATATATATATACACACACACACACACACACACACACACACATACGCATAGTGTTATATATATACTAAATAAATACACTTCTAATTGTCTCTCTGTATGTGTAATAGTGGTGTGTTTGTTTAAACAAGACTCTTGGTTCCAGTGAGAAAATGTCCAACTCAAACTAGTCCAGCCCAAAAGGAAACTTATTGGCTCATGTCATCATGCTTGGAAAGGGCAAGAAGTTGCCAATTCCAGGGACAACCAGAACCAGGTAAAACTGACATGAGTAACAATGAGACCAGGGACTCAAACCCCATCAGGCTTCTCCAGTATTTTGTCTTTCATTCATTCTCTGGGACCAGCTTTCTCTACAGGACTGTAATTATTGCAGCTGGGAGCTCCAGGAGTCTTCTGTCTTTACCACCAGAGTAGAAGGGAAAATCCTTCCCTGGGTCTAATATTTAAAAGCTCCCCCCCAACCACCAGAGGAATTTGATTAGACTATCTGGGTTTTATGCCTAACCCAGTAAAAATGCGTACAGGGATGGAGTGGGCCTGACACTTTTCTCTACTCCTGCAGGTGGGTGAGTGGATGGGTGGGTGGTGGGTGGTTAGGTGGTTGGCAGTGGGGAGGAGATACAGGGGAAAGCAGTTTCTAAAGGGAATCAGAGTGCTAGGAACAGATGCCGGGCACTCGGGAGCAGCCAAATGCAGAGGTATCCACCATGCACATGTTTCTTTCCCTCTGTACTTACTTATCCACATCTAGAGAGTCAGAAGTTGAGAATGAGCCAGGTTCTCTGGATGGTGGCTTTACTAATGCTTTTCATTTCCTTCTTTGTGCATTTTTAATATTTTCCAAATGTTCTACAACACATACATATTGCCTTGTAGTATATGTTTTTTTTAAAAAAAAATAGGGTGAATACGTTTTTATTAACCAAAGAAGAAATATTAAGAACCAAAACAGAAAAATCCTAATTTTAGGTCTAATATTCTTACAGCATAAATGTTGCTTGAAAATCATTTGCAAAACTGAACAAAATATATTGTGGTGTATGTGACCAGCACCGTTTTTTGTAGGAAAGAGAAAGGATCCTGAAAGGGGAGGTAGAAAACCCTCAAAGATTTGCTTCTTGGTATGGAAGGTACAGGTTTTTTCTGCATGCATTCCTTTAATCCAGGCTGAACACTCTGCCCATTTCCCTTTGGAAACTATGGGAGAATCAGGGAACTTTCTGGGCCTCTGTATTCACCTTGTGGCTCAATTCACCAGTTAGGGCAGGAGAGGAGGATGTTAAGGCAGTTGTCAAGACCCTGAGAAGCTAAATGGGAACAAGGCAGAACTGGAAACATTTTTTCTTCCCATAATGCATAATGTCTAATCACTTAGATTCTTTTCATGTTTTTGCTGTAAGGATCATTTAACATGAAAGAATATTTTGAGTAAAGAGCAAAACTAACCTCCATTTTAAATTCCTTTCCTTGTATACTTCTGTAGTTGCTATAATTTCTACAATTAACATATACATATTTCACAGAGTAAAAAAATGTATATTGCAAATAAAATCCAGTTAAATTTTTTAAAAAACCATTTTGAATTCCACCAGCCTAGCAAAGCAATTTTCATTTTGAGGAGTGTGTTGGAGTCTCCACCTATCTCTTTCTAAGAAAGAGAAAGTGAGAAGGGTCTGGAAATGGACCACAGCGTGGAGTTACACAGGATGACTTCCTCCAGCAGCCCAGAGGGAGCATGCAATGGTTTCCTGAAAAGAGAGGGAGCATTTATCAGCTGCAGTGGAAGGGTCAGTGGGAGAGGAAGCTAGTCAGAAATCCTGGACAGAGAAAATACTAGAAGGCTTCCCTCAAGATGCCACTGGGATTCACTTATTCAGGAAACATTTTCCTGAGTGCCTACTATGCACCAGGCACAGAGGAGGTGAGATATTGCAGAAAAGCCAATGGCCCCTGGAGCCAGACTGTCTGGGTTTAAAGCTGCTTCTGTGCCTCTGGACAGGTTACCTAACTTCTTGGTGCCCCAGGTCCCCCACAAGACTTTTGGAAAAACGACTTGAGTTAATAGATACGAATGCTCGTATCTATTGAGAGTGCCTAGAGTGTGGTTAGGATTCTGTCATGCTGGTTGTTACTATTGCAGTCTCTGCACTTGAGGAGTTCACAGTCCAGTAGCTGAAAAAGCACAAACTGGAAGTCTGTGGGACAAGACGGAGGACGTGACAGGTGCATTTTTTTAAGATAGAGAGTTGCTGGGTGGCTCCCTCCTAGACGGTTGATAGTTCGTGCTGCCCCGAAGTCTGAGACCAAGTGTTATTTTGTAGGTCACTGGGTCACAGCAGGCATTCTCCTACAGTGAGAGTCATTCTAAGCAGGAATGATGAGATGATGATGAAGACTTTTATTGAGTACTCACTCCATGACTGGCACTTTTCTAAGTGCCTCATGTGAATTAATTTGCTTAACTCCGCAGGACACTGGTAAACTATTGCCCCCATTTTGCAGATAGGGAAACTGGGGCACAGAGAAATGAGGCAACTTGTCCATGGTCACACAGGTAGCTTGTGGACAAGCTGAGAGTTGAACACAGGTAGTCTGTGTCCCACATCAGCCTGCATGTTACCAGCATCATGTTGAAGATATATCGTGGACATCAACTGCAAAAGAATTGTGCCAAGTGTGACCCTGGATACTATTCACCCACTTATTTGAGTGTCATTCATTTGTTGCTTCAGTTGACATTTCCTAAGCCCCTTGTCTAAGTAGGGCACAGTGAGCCCTCTTGGGTACAAAAAGGAAGCCAGGATCCTCCTGTCAACAAGTTGATTCGGGAGATAAGGCTTCTGCCCAAACACAGAGTAGCAGGTTCCCCACGAGGAGCATTTACAGTGCTCAGACACAGGAAGAAGGGATGGATGGCTCTGGGTTGGAAAGAGCAGTTGAGTTTGAGCTGGGTCTTAAAGGACAAAAGGCCCTTCAAGAAAATGGCATTCCTGCCCTGGGGAGGGTGTGAGGAAGGTGTGAGTCAGAAAGCGCAGGACTGCACGGCTTGGCTGCCGCACTTAGGGTGCATAGGGGGAGTGGCAGGCAATGAAGGCTGCACCGGTGGCTAGGGCCTCCTTGAAGAGCCCTTGAACTCTGGTTTGGCAAGTTGGATTGCATTTAGTAGGAAGTGAGGAGCTTGTGGAGGCTTTTAAGAATGGATCCTCTTCCCCTTATGTAGTCTGGAGACAGTGCACAGAAATGGTCCTTCCAAGAGGAAGAAGAAAAAGGAAGAACAGGTCATCAGCCTCGGACCTCAGGTGGTTGAAGGAGAGAATGTATTTGGTGCCTGCCACATCTTTGTCTCCTTCAATGACACCTTTGTCCATGTCACTGATGTTTCTGGCAAGGGAACTACCTGCCATGTGGCTGCCAGGATGAAGATGAAAGCTGACAGGATGAATCCTCACCACACACTGCCATGTCGGCTGCCCAGGAGGTGGCCCAGCAGTGCAAGGAGCTGGGGCATTACTGCCCTACACATTTGCAAACTCCAGGCCACAGCAGGAAATAGGACCAAGCACCCTGGACCTAGGGCCCAGTCAGCCCTCAGAACACTTGCCTGCTTGGGGATGAAGATCGGGGCAGATCGAGGATGTCACTCCCATTCCCTTCCGACAGCACTAGAGGAAGGAGGATTGCCATGGTCACCGCCTGGGAGCAGGAGTCCTCAAAATATTGTCTGTTAATAAATTGGCTTCATGTGTAAACAACAACAACAACAAAACAAATAATGGGAGTCAAATGATCAACACTGGGATTTGAAGAATGATCCCCAGCCTGTGGAGGGGGAGTTCAGGAAGAGAAGGCAGGGGAGAGAAAATGAGCGCAGCAGCAGGGGGAATCAAGAAAAGAGGAGGAAAGAAAGAGGAAGGGCAGTGTAGAGTGATCAGGTCACTGCCAGCCCTCCCTTTGCTGCTTAAAACCTTTCAAATGGCTTCCCATTGGTTTGAAAGGAAGCTCAAAGTCAGCACGGTCTGCATCGTGCCTTTGCTTCTTTGGCTCCTAGAGCTTCAGCCAACAGCCTTCTTTTCACTCATGGAGTATATCAGCCCTTTCCTTCTCACCTGCTGTTTACTCTGCCTGAAGTGTGACTGCCTTCCCTACTCTCTACCATGTTAGGTTCCATTCATCCTTCAGATTTTAGCTCAGTGTGTATTCTCAGTACCTTTTCTTTGTAGCACTTGACCCAGTGGCAATTTTACAATTGTTTGCATGATTATTTAAGTAATGCCTGTCTTGATTGTAAGCTTCCTGACAAGGGGTAAATATCTGTTTGGCTTATTCTTGTATCCTCAGCATCAATCATCTCTTGAGATAATATGCTCTTAAAATGTTAGATTAATGAACGGAGAATCTGAAAGGTTTGGTAACTGAATGAATAAGAGGATGAAAGATAACACCGGGTTTTTAATCACTAGTGACAGGTAAAGTGGCGTTGCCATTTACAGCAACAGGGAACACAGGGGAAACAGTTTCCCAGGGGTGATTATGAATCCGGCACTGTACATATTCACTTGGAGGTGCCAGCAGGTTATCAATTTGTCCAGCAGGCCATAACAAATTTACCACCACAGTTTAAGGGAAATATTACAGCCAGAAAAATAAAGAATGAAGAGTTTGAAGATGTATCCATAAGAATTAGTTTGCCTTCATGTAGAAAAAAAAATCCAAAAGGATAAAGACCTAATATCTAAGGGTTTATTTTTCTCCCACATGAAAGCAGTTTGGGGCTGAGCTCAGCGGCTCATGCCTGTAATCTCAACACCCTGGGAGGCTGACGAGTGAGGATCACTTGATCCCAGGAGTTCAAGACTACCCTGGGCAACATAGTAAAATCCTCACCCCCACTCCTCCTCTCTATAGTTTTTTTTTTTAATTAGCTGGGCATGGTCACATGTGCCTGTAGTCCCAGCTACTCTGGAGGCTGAGGTGGGAGGATTGCTTGAGCTCAAGAAGCAAGTCTGCAGTGAGCCCTGATTATGCCACTAAACTCCAGCCTGGGCAACACAGTGAGACCCTATCTCAGAAACAAAACAAAAGAAAACCAGCAGTTCAAAGACAGAAAGTCCAGGGCGGGTAGGCCACCTCCGCGGTCATCTGAGAATCATGCTCCCTCTCTCTGTGCCGCCGTTGTTAGCATGTGGGTTCCATCTTCAAATTCTCCTTTGGTAGTCATCAAAACTTCCTTCCTGGCAGCAGGAAGGAAGAAGGGGGAAGGTGAAATGAACTCTCCGAAAACTCTGATCCACTTACAACTCACTGGCCAAAATTTAGAAAAGGGTGCATTTACTTCCAGGAAAGCTGGAAAATGTGGCCTTTTAGGAGGTACATTGCTACCTTAAAGTCAGGGATTCTGTTACTAAAGAATAATGGACCGGGCGCCGTGGCTCTCCCCTATAATCCCAGCACTTTGGGAGGCCGAGATGGGCAGATCACTTGAGGCCAGGAGTTTGAGACCAGCCTGGCTAACATGGTGAAACCCCATTTCTACTAACAAATGCAAAAACTAGCTGGGCATGGTGGCGCGGGTCTGTAGTCCCAGCTACCTGGGAGGCTGAGGCAGGAGAAAATGCTTGAACCTGGGAGGCGGAGGTTGCAGTGAGCTGAGATCACGCCATTGCACTCTGGCCTGGCTGATAGAGCAAGACTCCGTCTCAAAAAAAAAAAAAAAATAGAGAGAGAGAAGGAGAACTACTGGGTGGGCAATGGCTTATTTTACTACTACAGGAGACAGCCAAGGTCTAGAGAGAATGTGCTCCTGACTGAGAGGAATGACAGTAGCCAGTAATAGACATACAGAATTTTAGAGGAGCAAGGAATCTCAGCAATCGCCTAGTCCAGTCCCCGCCTTGGCCAAGACCACACAGCACATGTGTGGCAGAGCTGGGGCCAGAATTAGCTCCCCCTGAGGAAGTAAGTGATGGAAGAGACCATGGGGGAGTTTGCAGAAGCTCCACCTGAGCGTGCCTGAGTTAAGGGCTGACTTTAGGCGACACTACAGCAACTCAGAGGAGAGTCTGGGATGGAGGAGAGTCTGGGATGGAGCAGGCTTGGGGTTGAATCGCAGCTCTGTAACTTTGGGTGAGTTACCCAGCTTCCCTGAGCCTCGGTCCTCATCTGTGTAATGGGGTAATGGCATAAAATAGGCACGCTATAAATGACAGTCATTCTTATCACTATTTTTAGAAAGCAACAAATATTTTTGGAATAATTGAATCTGAACAAATGAAACACTAATGAATGAAATTAGAACAGAAAGCTATTTATCTTAGATGGTTTGGTGATTTGCTCAATGACAGATATAAAGCTGGATAGGTGGTTTCTTATATACCCCAGCTTTAAATTTCATTACTCTAGCTTCCTGTATTTGCCCTACAAGCATTGATGTTTCCTTGGACTTCCTGTGGCCTTCCTGCCAAACCATGCCACTCTCCTCTGTGACACTTGATCCCCTTCTAAATACACCAGTCCCATAAAGGAGAGTTAGACACAGGCTTCCTCCACTTCTTGATTTAATTTTCCTTTTCTCACCCTCACATATCCTCATATACCCCCTTTCTCACTATTCCATCTTTATCAGCTTCTTCTCCTGTTCATGCAACACATTTTGAGTGTTTACAGAAGACCGAACTTAGTGTTGAGGGACAGCCTAAAGAAGACAGAAGCCATAGAATCTGGCCTCGAGCTACTTGCAATATGAAGAAAAATGCATGGCCTCAGTGCCTCTTTATCAGACATCATGAGTTTGGGGTCAGATATACAGATATCCGCTCTGTAGCTGTACGTTTCCCATCTTCCCCCTTTACCTCTGCCATTTTCCCATCTCTCTATCATTTGCTGCTTTACCTAGTTTTGTGTTATAATTAGTAACTATTTTGAAGTTTAAAAGGCTAGGAAACAGTTATATTTATGGTCTTTTCTTTATTGTCTTAAAAGCCACTTCATCAACTTAATATCAACACTCAAGGTAAAATAGTATTAAATTACCAAATGAAACATGCAAAAATCTGTAAACACTATAAGTGAGATTCTCATTAAAATTAATTTATTTTCATTGGGCATAAACTAGGTTCTAATTTTATTTGGAAATGCAGGATTTATGTCTGTTGTAAAATATGGCAATAAGTCCCACATTGCTGTAGCCAGGACTATATGCCAGCTGGAGAGGAAATGGAACTCAATATTTGCTTGTCTGTGAAGGTTTCACATCCAGAAAGCCTTAAGCCCTCTCTGCAATAAGAACATTCCTGCATTTCCTCTCCTATGGGCTTTTGCATTTCCTCTCCTATGGGCTTTTGCTTCTGCCACTAACTAGCTGGGTGGCTTTGGGAAAGCAGTTTCATTTCTCTGGGCCTCAGTTTCCCCATTGGCAAAATAAGCTAAATTACTTCCACATCAACAGTTCTCATGCTAAAGTGTGCATAAAAAGCATCTATGAAACTTCTTAAAAATGCGGAGTCCCAGTGCACCCCCTGCCCCAGAGTCTAATTCAGTAGCCCAGGGTTTGGCCCAGGAATCAGCAGTTTTAATGAACACTCCAGATAATTCTCAAGCAGGGAGTCTGACGACCACACTTCGAGAAAAGTCACTTTAAGCTCTTATCCAGCCTCAATATTCTGAGTTTTTCTCTGAAACATATGGCAAATAAATTCTAGAAGAAAGAGGAGGAGGAGAAGAAAATAAGAGAAAACCTTATTATCCCTGAGAAAGAGGTCTGAAGGGCAAATGTTGAGATTAGCGGGGCTGAGCTGTTTGCACTGACCTCTCTCTCTCCTGAGCACCTGAGCACCCCGCTCTCAACCACACATTGGGGAAGCTTGATCAGAGGCTGCCTTCTGTATTATCTGACTGCTCCCTATGAATGAATGTCTTATCTCCTTTAAAGTGTGAGTCTTCCAGCCGCAGGACCTGCTTTGACCTATCGGGCATTTTTAGCAGTCCCTCAACAGTGCCAGCTGAGCCCCCAAAGGCCTGATGAGATAACAACACAAGTGGGGTGATGGCCAACTTTGAGTCCTGGAAGAGGAGCACTTTTCAATTTCCCACCAGAGGGAAAACATCCCTCAAGCATTTCTCCCCTAGTATCCAAGGACAATTACTTTATTTATTTACTTATTTTTAATTTTTAATTTTAATTTAATTTAACTTTTTTTTTTTTGAGATAGAGTCTCGTTCTGTTGCCCAGGCTGGAGTGCAGTGGCACGATCTCGGCTCACTGCAACCTCCACTTCCCGAGTTCAAGAGATTCTCCTGTCTCAGTCTCCTGAGCAGCTGGGACTACAGGCACGCACCATCATGCCCAGCTAATTTTTGTTTTTGTTTTTGTTTTTGTTTTTTTGAGACGAAGTCTCACTCTATCGCCCAGGCTGGAGTGCAGTGGCACCATCTCGGTTCACTGCAACCTCCACCTCCTGGGTTCAAGCAATTCTCTGCCTCAGTCTCCTGAGTAGCTGGGATTACAGGCACCCACCACCATGCTGGGCTAATTTTTTTGTATTTTTAGTAGAGACGGGGTTTCACCATCTTGGCCAGGCTGGTCTTGAACTCCTGACCTCAGGTGATTCGCCCACCTCTGCATCCCAAAGTGGTGGGATTACAGGCACAAGCCTGGCCAAGGACAATTACTTTAAAAGTCCAGCTCTCTTCATTATGGATCTGAGAGGGTGAGACAGGGATGCTTAATTTTCCGTGATGGGGGTCTTCTTACTGCTGGTGAAGTTTAGGGTGATAAGTACAAGTGGGCATTTCTTGGTGTTTAAATCAGGAACTGCCTGATAGGGGAAGCTGAGATAATAACAGTAGGTAAAACTTTGTGCCATTTGTCTTAGTCAGCCTGGGCTGCTATAACAAAATACCATAGACCAGGTGGCTTGTAAATGACAGAAATTTATTTCTCACAGTTCTGGTGGCTGGGAAGTCCAAGATCAAAGTGCCTGCAGATTTCGTATTTGGTGAGGGCCTGTTTCCTTGGCCACAGATGATACCTTCTTGCTGTGTCCTTATATGGTGGAAGGGGCTAGCTAGCCCTCTGGAGTCTTTTTATTTTTATTTTTAGAGATAGGGTCTTGCTGTGTTGCCCAGGGTAGTGTAGAGGTGCAATTATGGCTCACTGCAACCTGAACCTCCCAGCTTCAAGCATTCTTCCCACCTCAGCCTCTGGAGTAGCTGGAACTACAGGCATATGCCACCACACCCAGCTAACTTTTTTTTTTTTTTTGAGACAGAGTGTCACTCTGTTGCCCAGGCTGGAGTACAGTGGCACCATCTCAGCTTACTGCAATCTCCACCTCCAGGGTTCAAGCAATTCTCCTGCCTCAGCCTCCTGTGTAGCTGGGATTACAGGCATGCACCACCATGTCTGGCTAATTTTTGCATTTTTAATAGAGATGGGATTTCACCATGTTGGCCAGGCTGGTCTAGGACTCCTGACCTCAAGTGATCCACCCACCTCAGCCTCCCAAAGCGCAGGGATTACAGGCATGAACCACCTCGCCTGGCCTAACTTTTTTATTTTTTGTAGAGACTGGGTCTCACTATGTTACCTAGGCTAGGCAAACTCCTGGACTCAAGCAATCCTCTGGCCTCAGCCTCTCAAAGTACTGGGATTACAGGCGTGAGTCACTGTGCCCAGCCTGGGGTCTTCTTTCAAAGGGCACTAATCCCATTCATGATGGCCCTGTCCTTATGACCTAATCACCTCCCAAAGATCCCAGCTTCAAATACCATCATCTTGGTGATTAGATTTCAACATATGAATTTTGGGGAAACACAAACATTCAGACCATAACACCAGGTAACGTTCTAAGTAATTTACCTGCATTAACTCATTTAAACCTCACAACAAGCCTATGAGAGAAATACTATTATTATATTCATCTCCCAGAAACCGGGGCACAAAGAGGTTAAGCAACTTGCTGAGGGTCACACATCTAGTCAGCAGAGACCCAGGATTCCAGGCAAGGCAGTTTGCCTCCGCAGCTGAAGTTCTTAACCACTTTGCTCGACTGCCTCTCATCTGTTTGAGGAGTCTCAGCTCTCCTGCAGCTGTGGCCTGTGAGCCCAAAGAGCTCCTTAACCATCCCTTTTCCGGTGTTCCCATTGGCATCTGTGTTCCACAGGACGACTATGCGGAGGGAGAGCCAAGCAGAGAGGAAGGAATGTTCTGGGGGATAACCAGGGGCAGACCCAGTGCCCTCCTGCTGAAGTGCTGGTAAACACTGACACTCTGGGAAAGCGAATAGCCTGGTGGGCAGACAAAACACAGAAACTGCTTAACAGTGTCGATCAGACCCTTCAGGGCTCTGCTGTAAACATAGGGGCAGCTGCAAGAAAAGCTGGAGCAATTGACAGCCTCTCTCCATCCTGCCCCAGTGACTTTGAAGACAAAGGTCTGATGCATTTTTCTTTGAGGGTTGTACCTCAAATGAGAGTATGCTCCTCTCGTTCTTCAGTTGATTAGATGAAAGAGATAAAACGCCTTGTGCATATTAAGTTCCCCTGCAGGAGGTGAGCAGGCAGATCTTCACTGTAACCATGCGTCACTGCCTGGATTTGAAACAAACACACCTACGAAGACACACTGGGCGTAGACTCAGTAAATAACCAGCTGACTGGCACCCAATTTCTGCCACTGAGTTGTTTTCCTCATCTTTTTTTCTCCTCATTTTTCACTGCTTTGGAGCTGTCCTGGGTGGCAGCCTCCTCCCCATTAGCATGCAGCGCCATCGTTCCTCTTCCACCTTCAGAGTCCTGGGACCCAGACTTAGTACGGAGGGGAGAAATGAGGGCAGGGCTAAAGAGGAATGCATAAAAAATAAATGAGCCATTCATAAAACTGAATATTATTACCAAAAGGAACCGTCTGCCAGCATCTCCATGTATATATTAACTCAGCTGCTATCTCTGTAACAACAAGGAATTAAGCCAATGCCTCATCTTTATAGTGGCTGCTCAGTTGATTTAGTATTAACTTTAAACAACCAATTGTGAAATGAGCACTTCACTTTGCCATAATGATGATGAGGTTTCGCCTGTACCATTTTTTATAACGTAAGCCTGAAAATTGGTAAAATAAATTCAGCTGTGCTTAGAACGTTCTTCCAGCTCTCCCAAGGAGCCAGAAATTCAGGTGGGGGGGAATTGCTTAATTTAACCAGCTTCATGAAGTCATTTCCACAAATTCTAAAAACTGGCTTTATTTTTCTTTAACTTGGCATATCTTTCCCTGAAAATCTGAAATGCCAAGATGTTGGACTTTTTGCTGTCTACATGAGTAACCACAGATTGCTTCTTTTTTTTTTATCCCTTCACACTGAAAGGCACACATCTTGGATGCCTCTCTTTTCCTCTGAGGCCTGCAAGTCTGTCTATGAAAAAAGCCTGCAAAGAGCCCTCATGTTGACAGCCCTGTCCCAGAGACCGTCTGAGCACCTGTTTCTGATTTCTTGCCTGGCGTTCTGCTGGGTCGCATGCATCTTTTCATTCTTTGCCTCTCCCAGTTGATGTTGTGTTCTGCCCCCTCATGAAAACTGTGACTATACAGAAAAGGCGACTGACTTCCACATGTGGCTCATGGAGTCAGTGTCATCACTTTGCAGTCACCCCTTGTAAATCTCTACAGGCTATAAGCCTGTGTCTGTCCCCTGCGGTTCCGAGAACAATCCGCAGCAAACACTGACAGGAAGGGCCATTATGGTCACTGATGTTCTCACCATCTGGAATGGTTACAGTTGTCAGGCTCTGAGATGACTCACTGTGCTGAGGAATCATTTCTCTAATGGCAGCACTAATCAGGAGGGATGAAGCCGTTGCTAAGTGCTGCTGCGTGAAGAAAATACCCTGCCAGATGAAAAGGAAGGGCCGTTGCTTTGCTTTTGCCCATTTGAAAATGGAGTGGCTCCGAATGTCATCTTTGCATCCATCTAGTGATGGGCCATCCTTCATGTTGGAAGCTGGCACCTATGTTTTCATGGACAGAGGACCTGCGCCGGGCTCTCTGTCCTTCCTCTCTGTGGCCAGCTAGGTAATTCTCTTATAGAGGCTTAAAGTTTGGCGTGGAAAGGGCAGCAGAAACAGATGGGGATGCAGTTTTTTATGCAATCCCCTCCCTCAAGCGTCTGCCCCAGAGCTGGTCTGTGCAAACCCTAATCTCACCACAGGAGCCCTCCACCCTACTGTTGGAGTTGGCTCCTGTGGAAATTCTCATTGGCACCTGGAGAAAAGGGCTCCACAGGTGCGCCCTGAACCTGAACTGTGTGCTGGGTGCCTGGAGAGCCCTGGAGACAGGGCAGAGCATAGGGCAGGGTTCCTGCCATCAAGGTGCTTACCAAACTGCATTGCAGGGGCCCTCCCCTCAGGAATGCAGGCTTCCCAGCCTTCTCTGACTACAGGAGAAACCATTTCATAGGTGTTTCTAGGAAGCCCACTGAAAGGCAGTTTGGGGGAGAGATGGGTGTTTGCTTAGAGCAGAAATAATGACTGCAGCCCAGATCTAGAAGGGCAAGCTGCTCCCTTTCCTTGATAGGAAACCTGTCGTGTTAAGAGGCCTATCTGCGCCGGAACTTTCCATTAGTAGAGTCTTCTGCAAATAGTAGGGAGCAGCCAGAAACAAGCCAGAATCGCTAGGCAGCAGCTTCTCCCATGGGCTGTTTGCCTGGCAGGAGTTAGAAAGGAATGTCTATATCCCGAGCGCTTTCCCACTCAGGATTCCCGGAGTGTAACAGGAGTGGATTCAAATAAACCAACCCTCCCCGTGGAATGAAAACTTTCTGTATTTCACAATAGAGTGACCTTAAACCCAGACTCTAAAGCAGCAGTCCATGGCCTTTTTGGTATCAGGGACTGGTTTCATGGAAGGCAATTTTTCCACGAGGCAGAGGGGCACGGATAGTTTTGGGATGAAATTGTTCCACTTCAGATCATCAGGCATTAGATTCTCATAAGGAGTGCTCAACCTAGATCTCTTGCATGTGCAATTCACAGTAGGGGTCATGCTCTTATGAGACTCTATTGCAGCTCTGATCTGGCAGGAGGCAGAGCTCAGGTGGTAATGCTCACTCCCCCACCGCTCCTACTGTGAGGCCCAGTTCCCTGCAGGCCACAGACTGGTACCTGGCGAGGGTTTGGGACCCCTGCTCTAAAGGATATCTGGTGTGGCAACTCCCAAAGGAACTGATGAAAACCCTTAGTTATCAGGGGAGTCTGGTTCTCATCTGTGCTTTTCATGTGACATACAAGGTCTGCTGGGCCCCTACTCTGTCAGTTTCCTAGGGCTGCCATCACAAATTACCCACCAACTGGGCACCATTAAAAAAATACATATATCCTCTCACAGTTCTGGAGGCTGAAGTCCAAAATCCACACATCGGTAGGGGTTCCCTCTCTGTTCCAGGCCTCCCTCCCAGCCTCTAGCAGCTGCAGGCAATCTTGGCATTCCTTGGCTTGTGCCTGCATCACTCCAGTCTCCACATCCATCTCCACAGGGTCTTCTCTCTGTATCTCTGTGTCTTCTCCTCTTCTTACAAAGACATTTGCCTTTGGATTTAGGGTCCACCTGGTTAATGAGGTAAGAATAATCTCACCTCAAGATCCTTAATTGAATTATATCTGCAAAGACCATTTTTCCAAATAAGGTCATATGTACAGGTACCACGGCTGAGCACTTGGACGTATTTGTAGGGGGCCATAGTTCAACCCACTACACTTATTATCTGGGTGTTCTTTTTCCAAGCCAGGCTTTGCTGGGATGCCTCATGGACCTTGAAATTATGTAAACTGTATTACTTGAAAGAGATGCTTCCTGTGACATGTTGGGGAAATTGCCTGCTGCTAGTTGTTCTCACTCTAGGAACAGAGTCTCCATTTCTACAGGCTTGACCCTCCAACCTTGGCACTCTTGCTCAACCCCTCTGGGCTTCTTTTTGTGGCAAAGGAGAAGAGTTATCCTCTGCTCTGTTTAGTGGGAATACTGCAGTCCAAGCTGAAAGCCCATCCTGCCCTTTTCCCCACTGGGCAGAAACAAGGATGCCATGACATTTCCCCCAGAGGTGGCCCCTTAGGGTGTCCTTTTTATTTATGTTTGTTTGTTTGTTTGTTTGTTTGTTTGTTTATTTTTGAGACAGAGTCTCACTCTGTTGCCAGGCTGGAGTACAGTGGTGCAATCTTGGCTCACCGCAACCTCTGCCTCCCAGGTTCAAGCGTGATTCTCCTGCCTTAGCCTCCCAAGTAGCTGGGACTACAGTCACGCGCCACCATGCCCAGCTAATTTTTTTGTATTTTTAGTAGAGATGGGGTTTCACCATGTTGGCCAGGATGGTCTTGATCTTCTGACCTCATGATCCACCTGCCTCGGCTTCCCAAAGTGCTGGGATTACAGGCGTGAGCCACCGTGCCCTGCCAGTGTGTCCTTTTTAACCTTTTCCCACCCATTGCCATGGGCAGCCACATCTTCCTTTTCTCTGATCTTCTTCCCACCCTTCCTCTTCTTTGGCTTTGCTTTCACAGCTGCTCACCCTTCACCAGTGTTCCTGCGAATCCTATTGTAAGGAAATCACCAGCATTCTTCATCTTAAAATACAAGCCAACACTACACAGCAGTATAGGTTACCAAATAAACTCCTTTAATTCTCACAATCGACCTGTTACTTATTATGCCACTTTCACAGACAATAAAATGGAGGCCCAGAGAGGCTGTGTGACCTGCCCAAGGTCAGCAAGTAGTAGGTAAGGGGAAAGAGACATAAATCTACACAGTCTGGCTCAAGTGTCCCATGCCCACCTGCTCTGCAAACTGTCTCAAGGTTATCAACAGAGGGAAAAGCCAGATGCCTCCCCTCTGCTCCCTGACGTTCACCATCCCTTGAGACGGTCCCACTTGAGACTGAAGCTCACCCTCGTAACACACTGAACCTGGTGAAGACACACAACTCTACCTTTCATTCTTCACAGCACAACCGTAACTGAGCTGAAATCCTTAAAGCAAGACTGAATAGAAACTCAGAGTAACAACAGGTCACCACCTCCTCTGGCTCTCAGAGAGAGGTTCCCTGACATCTTGCTCCTGGGCTACCTCTGCAATGGAGTCTGTCTTATTCCCTTCCCCAGAGGGATGGGGTCAAAAAAATTACTTCTAAATCCTGGCCTGAAGAGTAAGGGAAGGGTATGAGAAGAAGGGCTGCTGGTGCTGTTCGCCTGCCTGCCCTCGAATTTCTGGTCCTCTACTGAAGGCCAGCCTTTTCCCTGGGATGATCCCCCCAATACACAAACACACACACACACACACACACACACACACCCCATTGAGAAAATTCCTCTCTCTGACCTCAAGAGTGTAGTCTCACCACATGCTCTCAACAGGAGCCCACATCGTGATCCAACACAATAAACCTGGCATCACCCCTGAGACCCTCAGGCCCATCCTTCCTATCTACCATGGAGGAAGCAGTCTCTTACCATCTCATCAGCAAGGTGGTGCTCATCACCTTTCATCCTGTTTTTTGTTTGTTTGTTTGTTTTTTGAGACAGAGTCTTGCTCTGTCACCCAGGCTGGAATGCAGTGGCATGATCTCGGCTCACTATAACCTCCACCTCCTGGGTTCAAGCCATTCTCCTGCCTCAGCCTCCTGAGTAGCTGGGATTACAGGCATGCTAATTACGCGCCTGGCTAATTTTTGTATTTTTAGTAGAGACAAGGTTTCAACATGTTGTCCAGGCTGGTCTCAAACTCCTGACCTCTAGTGATCTGCCAACCTCAGCTTCCCAAAGTGCTGGGATTTACCAGGTTCAGTGTGTTAAGAGGCACGAGCCGCTGTGCCTGGCCCCATTCATCCTCTTGTAGGGATTTGTCAGCGTAGGTTTGTTCATATCTCAATGAGCCATTTCCTCACTGCTATAATGAAAAAGATGTTTCTTTAAAAAGGTGACTAGAGAACAAAAGGAACTAAAATTATTGAGGAGTATTAGGAATGTCCAATTCTTTTTTCATGTATTCATTGCGGTGTGAAGACATAAGGCGTCAGTGGGCTCACGGTGCTATCCAATTAGCCCAAAACACTCAGAAAGTGAACTTGACAATGACACTGGCAGGAAAAAGCTAACACCTGGCTTCCAGGAAGCTGTCCTGAGCATACATGCTTTATTTTATCTTGTCTTCACAGCCAAAAATGTTAGGGCTTGGCGGCACTGCCTTCTAGTTCCTGCCAGTGCCAGTGGCTCCAACAGTTAATGCTAGGGTGTGGCGTGTCAAAATTATTTCAAATTTAGTTACATATCAGTGCTGGTCAAAGGCTGCACAAGCTGCAGAAGTGAAAGTATGTTTTTGTATTTGGGACAACCTGCAATTCACCTTCTTAAACCAGTGCCTATGAGCAACAGAAGTTTTCTGGGGTTTTTTATCCCCCCAGTAGAAACGTATTTCTAATTTTTATTTTCTTTATTTTTAATTTTAATTTTTATTTTTTTGGGGGGTCAGTCTTGCTCTGTTGCCCAGGCTGGAGCACAGTGATGCAATCTCAGCTGACTGCAGCCTCTGCCCCCAGGGTTCAAGTGATTCTCTTGCCTCAGCCTCCCAAGTTGCTGGGGCTACAGGCACACGCCACCACACCTGGCTAATTTTTAAATTTTTAGTAGAGATGGAGTTTCACTATCTTGGCCAGGCTGTTCTCCAACTCCTGACTTCAAGTAATCCACCTGACTTAGCCTCCCAAAGTGCTGGGATTACAGGTGTGAGCCACCTTGCTGGCCCTATTTCTGATTTTTAAAGTAAACACAAGTTATGTGCTGAAAATAATTTTTTTTTTTTTTGAGACAGGGTCTTGTTCTGTCACTCAGGCTGGAGTGCGGTGGCACAAAAATGGCTCACTGCAGCCTCCACCTCCTGGGCTCAAGTGATCCTCCTGCCTCAGCCTCTCCAGTAGCTGGGACCACAGGAATACACCACCATATCTGGCTAATTTTTAAAACAATTTTTTGTAGAGATGTGGTCTCACCATGCTGTCCAGGCTGGCCTCAAACTCCTGGGCTCAAGCCATCCTCCCACCTTGGCCTCCAAAAAGTGCTGGGATTACAGATGTGAGCCACTGCACCTGGCACATTTATCTCTCTTAACCACTTCTGGTTAAAAACAGCAACTTGCTATAGTGATTATGATAGTGTTTTAGGAGCGAGTTCTTCAAATGATAAATATGATATTCCCAAATATGATTACATTTAAATATTACATTAAAAACTCAATTTACCAACAGTTCATGGTCTGAGTTTTTATGAGAGCAATTTTGTTAACTGTAAGGCAGCCTCTTGCAGACTCAAAAAAGATGCTTAGAAAATGAAAGTTATTGATCTTTTAAGTTAAGAAGCAGCAAGGAAACTTAGTGATTCTGGGCCATGCACTGGTGGCTCACACCTGTAATCCCAGCACTTTGGGAAACTGAGACAGGAGAAGCACTTGAGCCCAGGAGTTTGAGACCAGCCTGGGCAACATAATGAGACCCCCCCCCACCACCACAACTCCATCTCATTTAAAAAAAAAAAAGGGAAAAGAAACTTAGTAATTCAACTTCTTATATTATAAATGAGAGGACAAAAGAGGTTTGTTAAGTTTGGAACGATTCATCAAGCTGCAGAAGGGACACTTTTTAGCCCTGTGAATAATTCACATCTGGCCTTGGAGCAACTCAGATTGCATCTAGAGCCATGGCTTATTTCTAGTGGCTGTCCTGAACTGAATGAATGCCACAGTGAATCAGACAAGGGCCTCTTGGCCATTTTTAACACCTCCCATCCAGTTCACTTAAGGTTAGAGATATTTAACATTTTTTGCTTTTTCTTTTTTTTTTTTTTCTTTTGGAGGCAGGGTCTCTTACCCTGTCACCCTGTCCAGGATGCAGTGGCATGATCTCAGCTCAGTGCAACCTCTGCCTCCCGGGTTCAAGTGATTCTCGTGCCTCAGCCTCCCTAGTAGCTGGGACTACAGGCATGTACCACCATGCCCGGTTAATTTTTGTATTTTTTGTGGAGACAGAGTTTTGTCATGTTGCCCAGGCTGGTCTTGAACTCCTGAACTCAGGCAATCTGTCCACCTCGGTCTCCCAAAGTGCTGGGATTACAGGCATGAGCCACTGCACCTGATCTGCAATATTTTTTAAAAACCTCAGGACTCAGTGGTTGCATTAACCATGGCAACCACACTCCTGCTCTGTCTAGCCAGTGATGCGGCAAGGCCAGTATTTACAGCATCAGTTCTTGTTTACTTGCTTCCTCTCCCTTTTTGCTGTTGATGTATTTTATTGCCAATTAAATTCCCCTTAACCTTCTGACTGGCTTTGTTTTGGCCTACGTACTATGCTAGGAACCAGGAGGCTTCGATTTGAGCTTAATCCTGCTGTAATATCACTTTTTGAACTTGGAGTCGGCATTTAAACGCCTTTGCACCTCATTTCCTCATTTGCAATATAGAAATCATGAACCAAGAATTTTTAATTTGATAAGATCTTGGATGCTTTTTTGTACAGCAAAATATTTTCTGTCTGTCTCTCTTTTTTGAAGATGAAGAAATTGAAGATCAGTGAAGTTAAATGAATTACTCAAATCTACCACCTCCCAGGGTTGATAATGAAAATGAAGTAATAAGCAAACAATTATGTAATACTCTGAATTAAGTTGCCTTTGGCAAAATATTGAGGTAAAGTCTGTTTTTTTATATCGCCTTTCAGCTCCCCACTCATCTCTGAATACTATTCAAATTTGCAGCCAGTTTGCCAGAAAGGAATGGAAATGCTATCTAGTGTGGCTTTTGACATTCTACTTCAGGACAGCTGTATTTGTACACCTTGGGAGATATGCACAAGAAGTATTGTTAGTTAAGCAACCTTTAGAAGTATGTAGGTTGCATGCTGGTATCTCCTCAGACTTAGCACTTTACTGCTACCATAGAATCATAATCATAAAAAATCTGGTACACAGTAAGACGGTGCCTAGAGAACAATGGACAAGATTTTGGCAGCTTAGAAGACAATCTCCAGGTATGAAAGTAATTCTTTGTTCTTCCTAACAGCTTGATCATTTTGAAGACAACCCCATATGAAACAAAGTGAATTTAGAATGTGCATGTGAATAAAGTGTGATTAATTTTCAAATACTTTCACCTTGACTATTTTAGTTCAGAAATGCTGGCCTAAATTCTTCTTTTATATTTTAATTAATTAATTAATTAATTTTGTATTTTTAGTAGAGATGAAGTTCCACCATGTTGGCCATCTTGAACTCCTGACCTCAAGTGATCTGCTTGCCTCGGCCTCCCAAAGTGCTGGGATTACAGGCGTGAGCCACTGCAGCCGGGCATTTTCATTTTTTAATTTTAGATTCAGGAGGCACATGTGCAGGTTTGTTACATGGGGATGCTGAAGTTTGGGCTTCTAATGATCCCATTGCTCAAGCAGTGAACGTGGTAACCGATAGGTGGTTTTTTAACTCTTATCCCTCTCACTCCCTCCTGGCTTTTGGAATCTCCAGTGTTTATTGTTTCCATCTTCGTGTCCATGTTTAGCTCCCACTTATAAGCAAAAACATGGGGTATTCGGTTTTCTGTTTCTGCATTAATTCACTTAGGATAATTGGCCTAAGTTCTTAAAATAGACCTAGAACTACGTCTCAGGTCAGGGCTGCAACAAGAGTTGAAATGGCAGGGACTCATGTTAGAACTTCCCAGCATTAGAATCGCTGAGAAACATCTTTATAATGAAAATTTTCCAGGTCGTAGCACTAGATATTTTGAATCAATGGCAGTGGAAAGAGGCCTGAGCATTGGTATTATTTTGAAGTTCCAGATGTTTGTCAGGATCTACTGATGGGATGCATTGGCCATATACTCAGGTACATCTTGAGAGGTCTAAAGTGAAGACAGTTTACAGCAAAATTTCTGTGAAAGTCAGAATCCTGGCAGAGAATAGATGGCATACTCAAACTGGGTAATTTGAAGAAATTAATAGAGAAGACGTACAAAGTCATGGATAGGGTGTAGAGAAACCCACAAGGGATGATGCCATCTTCCAGGATAAGAAACAGTAGGGGGCCACCACCGCTTTAGGCCCAAAGGGCCAAGGAAAAGGAGCAGTTATTGGAACAAACACAGGGTAGCTGAATGGACAGGGCCACCTGGCAGGATTTCTGGCCTCGTAAAAGGATGCAGGCATTGTACATCAACATTTATAGCAGCATCATTCACAATAGCCAAAAGGTGGAAACAACCCAAATCCATCAATAGATGAATGGAGAAACAAAATGTGGCATATATACATACAATAATATATTATTCGGCCTTAAAAAGGAAGGAAATCCTCCTGTATATGACAACATGGTTAAACCTTGAAAACATTATGCTAAATGAAATAAGCCAGACGTAAAAGGACAAATGTTATATGATTCCCCACTTATATGAGGTACGCAGAAAAGTCAAATTCATAGACACAGAAAATAGAATAAAGGTTACCGGGAGCTGGGAGGAGGGTGGATAATGGGCAGTTATTGTTTAGTGGGTATGGATTTCTATTGGGGATGATGAAAGGTTTGGGAAATGGGTAGTAGTGATGGTTGCTTGACATTGTGATTTGTACATCTAAAAACGGTTAAGATGTTAAATATTATGTATATTTCATGACACCAAAAAAATGCAGATAAGAAAAGAAAAAGATGCAGACAACCCACAACAATTCTTCAGGGAGCACCTGAGGAATAAAGTCCCTTTTTCTTCATCCTCCCACCCTCCAATCCACAGCCAGAGTCTCCCGTTGGTTGAAACTGACTGAGCTGCATCAGCAAAGGGAGCCCGTTAATGTATTTCACAAAGATCAGCATCCAGGGCACAGAACAGGGTAGAGATGTGAGGAAGAAGATCAGAAGGAACAAGAGGAAGCTGGACAGCATGGGTCCCTTCATCCCATCGTCTCCCCACTAGAGAAAGCATCAAACCAGCTACCTTAGTGTTAAGAAGAGTTGGTATGAGGAAAGCTGATGGCAGTGTTTTTTCTTACCCAGAAACAGCGGTATACAACCAGTAAGCCCAGCAGTGTGTTTTCCAATGAACCCAGAAAATCTTTGTTTAAATGCTACACTGTTTATTTATTTATTTACGTCTTTTGATCTAGAAATCCTACCTCCTGAAATCTGCCTTAAAGAAATAATCAGAGATATAGACTAAACATTGCATAGAAGAATATTCACTGGAACATTATTTATAATCACAAAAAGGAGCAACTAAATGTCCAGCATGTACAAGATAATTTTACATAAGAAAGCAGAAGGGCAAACTGATTTCATGTTATAATGCCAATAGTGTAAAAAAAAATGGTACAAAGTACACTACAATGTTAGAATGGTTATCTGAATGACTGAATTAAGAATGATTTTTTTCAAGATTTCTTATTTTTCAACATTTCTTTCTTGAACATGATTTACTTCAATAATCAAGAAAAACCAACACATATGTTTTAAAACCTTATGGCTGCCTCACATGATAAATATTCCTAACATAGAGATCTCCAGAATCTACTCTGCCATCCTGTGTAAAATGCATTGATTTACCTGCTGGCTGCCTATTAATTAGAAGGGAAGCAGCCAGGGGAAGGGCAGCCAACTCCCCTGAAATAGACAGCGTGTGTGGCTGAGGGTGCAGCTTCCTTTGATGGAATATTGCTAAACGACGAAATTCTATCTCCCACAAGAAATTATTTCTGCTGGCTGTGCAAACGTCAGGCTGCAGCCTGCCCTTGGAGAGGCGGCTGCATTACTATGTATTTGTAAAATCAGCAAAGCCTATGCATGAACGGTCACGGTGGCTGACTTTACAAGCTACTCACGACAGGCATCTGCACATAGAAAACCACAGCTCAGAGTATATTCAACCTATTGTGATTCCTTCTTATTTCATGTTTTTCCATTTTGAAAGGGTGTTGATTTACATAAGGGAGAATGATCTTTTTGTGTAAAATGGCTTTGTGGACATATGAAAATATCTGTTAACCTAAGCTTGGTACAGTCTTGCGTAGCTTTTGTGCCTTGTTTAACCATTTCTCACCCTTGCACAGCTCACACTCTAGGACAGTAACCTATCTCATCAGCAATGCTGGGTGTGTATGGAAATGTGCCTCCAGAAGGAATTGAGCACTGGTTGGGAATGACAGCTCTGGAAGGCCCTCTCCACTGATACTCAGTCCAATTCTTCCCAAGGCTTGGAGGTCCCACCCAGGAAAGGGAACATCTGCATGGCTCAGAGGCCATGCTGGGTCTCAGTGCTGGGCCACTATGCTTAAAACTGCCTGTTAATGACAATGGCCAAGTCAATACATGGTGGCACAGAGGCACCTGTCTGCTGCTGGCTTGACACCAAGTCATTTCATCAAGTCAGCAGATGGTAAGAGGTTTTAACCGCACACACTGTACTTCTTTCAAATTGAAACTTGGCGAAGTCCCCAAACTTTCTATCT
The DNA here is from genome assembly GCF_000001405.40 of Homo sapiens. NCBI lineage: Eukaryota > Metazoa > Chordata > Mammalia > Primates > Hominidae > Homo > Homo sapiens. Next base: position 152,595,056 of record NC_000004.12, on the reverse strand, counting down.
TTTTCCCCAAGGATCATTTGCTGTCAATTTTACCCTTCAAATTATCTTCTGGAGTTATTATTATTATTATTTTTTGAGACAGAGTCTCGATTTTTTGCCCAGGCTGGAGTGCAATGGCGGGATCTCGGCTCACTGCAACCTCTGCCTCCCAGGTTCAAGCGATTCTCCCACCTCAGCCTCCCAAGTAGCTAGGACTACAGGCGCACACCACCATGCCCAGCTAATTTTTGTATTTTTAGTACAGACAGGGTTTCACCATGTTGGCCAGGATGGTCTTGATCTCTTGATGTCGTTATCCACCCGCCTTGGCTTCCCAAAGTGCTGGGATTACAGGCATGAGCCACCGTGCCTAGCCTGAAGTTGTGATGTTTTAACCAGGAAAATTAATTTTGGCATCAGTGGAATCAAGAAAACATTACAAAAAGTTACAAAAATGCTTTAGGGTTTTTTTTTTTTTTTAAACTAGGATATCAAAGAATGAACCATTGAGAGCAGTTGTTCTTAGCCAATTAGGCTAGGCACAGCAGAAATCCTTTACACACACTGCTTGGTACACATCCCAATAGATTCTGACCTAGGTGGTCTTGGGTGGAGACTGAACATCTGTGTATTGAAAGTATTCCATTTATGGCAATTATATTAGAAAACTGCTGGAAGAAATGAGGCAATTCTAATAGCATTTATGGTCCATAGACTAAATTTTAAGGGACAGTATATATTTTCTTTTATACTTGGCTGCATCTACTTAAGAAGGCGTTTACTTGCTGCTCATTCCTGCCCCAGACTATGACATCAAGATTTGAGTGAGATCCAAGAAAATAGCCATCTGAACATAAAGCAGAATTCTCTTCCTTTGTTAATAATGTCTTTCATAAATGAGCAGCTCACTTTCCCCACAATAATGCCATACCTGTGAATTCTCTCTCGAGAATTCCTATTTCTTAATGACTGGAATGGCATTATTTCTAGAGAGAAATTAAGTGTGAGCATAAATAACTTGGCCAAGTTTACAAAAGACAAAGGCAGACATATCTGATGATGGCCAGAGATGTGAACATAATACTGTGGTTGCCATTTGACTGTCAATATAATGCATCTATTCACGCAGAGGAAGGGAGGATTTTTAAAAAATCAGTAATGGGCAAAAAATGTGATTATTTCCTTTTTTTCCTTCTATCCTGCATAAATGTATCACACTATCAAAGTTATCAAAACACCATCAGACAAGGTCAGAAAGGGAGGCAAGTCTATGTCAATTTTCTCTTCTTTTTTTTTTTTTTTTTTTTTTGACGTGGAGTCTCACTCTGTCGCCCAGGCTGGAGTTCAGTGGCACAATCTCAGCTCACTGCAAGCTCCGCCTCCCGAGTTCTCGCCATTATCCTGCCTCAGCCTCCGGAGTAGCTGGGACTACAGGCGCCCACCACCACACTCAGCTAATTTTTTGTATTTTTAGTAGAGACGGGGTTTCACCGTGTTAGCCAGGATGGCCTCCATCTCCTGACCTCGTGATCCGCCCGCCTCGGCCTCTCAAAGTGCTGGGATTACAGGCGTGAGCCACCGCAACCGGCCAATGTCGATTTGTTTATGCATGTGACTGAAGTTATAAAAAAGTTATTAAATGAGTAATATCTTCCTAGGATATTAGGAGATATTACTCCTAATATCACAGTGGGTGTACACCTTGTAATATTATTCATAATATCCTAGGGAGATATTACCCCTACTATCACAGTGGGTGTACACTCTGTGTTATTATTCATAGTATCCCAGGGAGATGATATTACTCCTAATATCACAGTGAATGTACACCCTGTGATATTATTCGTAATATCCTAGGGAGATGATATTACTACTACTATCACAGTGGGTATATACCATATGATATTATTCATAGTATCCTAGGGAGATATTACTCCTCATATCACAGTGGGTGTATACCCTGTGATATTATACGTAATATCCTAGGGAGATATTATTCATAATATCCTAGGAAGATACTACTCCTAATAGCACAGTGGGTGTATACCTTGTGATATCATTCGTAATATACTAGGAATATATTACTCCTAATATCACAGTGGGTGTACACTCTGTGTTATTATTCATAATATTCTAGGGAGATATTCCTCCTAATATCACAGTGGCTGTACACCCCGTGACACAAGGAGTAATATCCTAGGGAGATATTACTCGTAATATCATAGAGAGTGTACATCCTGTGATATTATTTATACTGTCCTAGGGAGGTATTACTCCTAATATCACAGTGGGTGTACACCCTGTGATATTATTCTTACTATCCTAGGGAGATATTACTGCTAATATCACAGTTGGTGTACACCTCATGATATTATTTGTAATATCCTAGGGAGATATTACTTCTAATATCACAGTGGGTGTACACCATGTGTGTGTCACAGGTGTACACCCACTGTGATATTATCTATAATATTGTAGGGAGATATTATTCCTAATATCACAGTGGGTGTACACCATGTGTGTACACCCTGTGATATAATTCATAAAACTTTAGGAAGATATAACTCCTAATATCACAGTGGCTGTACACCCTGTGATACTATTTGTAATATCCTAGGGAGGTAGTACCCCTAATATCACAGTGGGTGTACACCCTGTGATATTATTTGTAATATCCTAAGGAGATATTACTTCTAATATCACAGTGAGTGTATGATATCATAATATACTAGGGAGATATTACTCCTAATATTACAGTGGATGTACAGCCTGTGGTATTATTCATAATATCTTAGGGAGATATTACTCCTAATATCACCGTGGGTGTACGCCATGTGTAAGAGTTCAGTTAACACAAAGGAAAGTGTTGCAGTTGAAGAATTATTTATTTATTAACTTAAAAATACAGAGCAGTAATTGTAAGTTAGTATTACTTCATGGCCGCTTACTCCATCTGTCTGGTTTGAGCCCTCAGAAAAGGTCTTGGTAGCGCCTGCTGCGAGGGAAAGGACACAGATTTATTTTCAAGAGGCAATGCTTTCAAAAACAATGACGCTTTGTGGGCTCTCTGCAAATACAAAGTGATCCATACAGAAGAAGTTGGAGATTTATACTCCAGAAAAAAAGAGATATTACCAACTTGCATGAGCCCTTCCAAATTTCTCAGGTGGTATAAGTGTCCTATCCCCTGTCTTACTAGGCATTGATTAGAAGGACAGGCTTCCAAACAATATCCAGGGATGAAATAATAGTGATAGCGAAAACTCCCTTGAAGATGAGACTAACTGAGATTAATCGGAACTGCTGCAGCTCTGATTTTGAGGGCTTCCCAGTAAACCCACCTCTGCTCTCTGGAAGTCGATGTTTAAAGCTCTGCGGTGTCTGCCCTAGATCTTTCCAGAGAAGGGATTGCTAAGCAGGAGCAGAAAGATCACATCATTCGCACTTGAACTCAATGCGATGAGCACATTTGTTTGTCCTCATTAAGTGCGGTGTTGCAGGCGCTAACTGACGTGCAGAGGCAGCACGCTGGGGCGGGGCCAGGGAGCCAGAATCTGGTGGAGCGTCAGGGGAGCTGGGCTTTGCCGGCAGCTCTGCCCCTGCTGAGCTCTGCAGCCTTGGGAACTCCTCGGGTAACTCATCAATAAGAAGAGACATTCAGGTGGAGGTTTCCCAGTTGTGATTTCCAGAAGCCTCTGGTGTCCGAGGAAATGCCCAAGGCCACCGCAGGGGTTCAGCAGGAAGGCCATACAGGCGCAATGCCTGCAGGTCCTTACCCCCATTTCAAACAAGACATCTCTGATCGGATCCTTTATATATACTGAGTTCCAAGTAAGACTGATTAAAGATGTGAACGCCACAGGACCATCTAACTTTCACATCTTCACTTAGTAAAAGGCAAAGTAAAATGTCTGACCATCTTTCTTCATTGTGGAGCACGTAGAGTGGTTACAAGCATGGACTCTGGAGCCAGATTGCCTGGGTTCAACCCTCATCTCGTCTTCCTGGAGCTGTGTGACCCTGGGCAAGTTTCTTAACTTCTCTGTGCCTCAGTTTCCTTATCTGTAACGTGGGATAATAACAGTACTGATCTCAAAGGATTGTCATGAGGATGAAATGAGTTAATATATATGAAACCCTTAGAACAGTACCTGGCACATAAACAAGTGTTTCTTATTATTATTGGCCCAAGCTAGCAGTGAGCTTCTGGGCCAGCAGGGTTTAATAAAGCCACAAAAGGCAAGGCAGAAGAGCTCACTCATTCTGTGTAAAGGTGCTTGGGGGCATAATTGGATTTGCTGAAAGTGCCTTTTTAAACAGTGCTGTTGGTTTCTGATTCACATTTGGGAAGAAAAGCAGAACAGAAGGTGATAAATTCCTTTATGGGAGAGCTTGGCAGGAAAGGCAGATGCAACTGTAAAGTTAATTGGTGAATGGGAGGTGGAACTCCTGGGCAAAGGCAGACTGACGGCATGAGCATGTTCTCCTGCTCCCGAGCTGGTTTATGATGATTAATTCATTAGGGATTCTTTAAGGCCATTCCTGGGTGGCTGCTGGTCCTGTCTATACCCAGACAGGGATGATGTCAGAATATGGTTTATGGAGTTCTGCAGTCCTCTGGAGGATTCCAGGAGCTTATAGAGCTGTTTCCAGGCTGTTTGCCAGCACTCTGAAAACTGAATCCCACTTGAATCTTGTGTAACCCAACTTGTTTTTCTCTGGCATGATTTTTTTGTTGTTGTCTTCTGTACAAGCACCAGGGCATGAGAAGTAACCTCAAAAGTTTCTAAAGCAAAGCTCCCTTTTTCAGCTCCCCTTACTTGAGTCAGAATTCTGCTTCATTTCACAACGCTTCTCTGATGCATGAAGAGCATAGACTGAGATAACACACCAGGGATATACTGAGTTTAAGATACAGAATGAAAGATCGTAAAATATATCATTATTTTTTGTATCACTAAGAAAGGGAACAGATACCTGCTAATTAAACTCTAACATAAGCTTTTTTTCTTTATAATCAGTTTGAAAATGCTCCTTCAGACTTTAAACAGATTATTTTTAGATTGCATATCACTCTTGTGCATATGTTAACAGGAAAATATAAGGCCAGGGTATTCCTGAAATTCCTACACTTTGACATTGTGTAGAAAGTCAATGTCAAATCGTAGTATACACTTTCTGAAGACATTGCCAGCGGCCTAGGAGCTCACATGGGTGGTAACAACCAGGCACACATCTCAATTAAAATGCCCTATGAAGAGCTACAATAGGCTCGTGCTCCTGTGAGCAATGGCAGCTCCTTGACTATCACCAGGCCAGCAGCAACTGCAAGATGCATCCCAATTTGAGGAACATTTATGTGTGAAAAACTGTGCATCTTAGAATGCATGAAATTGGTGATAAAGATTTATAGTTGTTTCTTAAAGAGGATGGGTTTACCTCTCAGGAAACTTTTCAAGAGTTATTTTTTTAAAAAACTCACCCTCATCCTATTAGCGAGAAGGTACATAGTGAACTTTGGCCTTTTCCAAGAGCTTGACAATTTCTCCAAGCAGGTTATGCTGGAGGATTGGGAGGAGCAGAAGATGCCAGAAGCAAGAGTCAGCCTTAGGAGGGAACAACTGGTCCCATGATGTATTTCACATTTGCCCAAAGTGTCTTCCTATTAAATAAGAATCATTTATTTGTGCGATGTTGTAGTTATTCTCTGATAAATACAAATATCCTTTAAAAGGTCATTCAGTGTTCCTCCTGCCTGATTAATGATTTCTCCCTTCTGGGAAGGATTTTGCCAGAGGTTTATTTAAAGGAGCCAACCTTTCAAAAAGAAAAATTTCTGAATGTTTCAATAGCTTAAAACTTAGACCATAAATGACCACATCTTGTATGATTCTATTTATATGTCCAGTATAGGCAAGTCTATAGAGACAGAAAGTAGATGAGTGGTTGTCAGGAGCTGGGTGATAGGTGGAAATGGAGAGTGACTACTAATGGGTACGGGGTTTCTTTTTGGAGAGACAAAGAGATTCTAAAATTGGATTGTGGTAATGGTTGCGCAACCCTGTGAATATACTGAAAACATTGAATTGTACACTTTACGTAGTGAATTCTTTGGTACGTAAATTATATCTCAGTAAAGGCATTTAAAAAACACTTAGAATATGTCATGTGTGTATTCAATAACCTAACAGAAATTTTCTACACATATCCCAATGATATTTATTTAATAAAAACTTAGTGAGAATTATTTTGTTCAAAGCAATTATTTTGTCCAACAGATTCAACAAAGCAAAATGCTAGGGGCTGTGGCAAAGGAGATTTGACCCCTCCTTTGAGGAATCCATAATCAAGCAGGAGCAGGAGAAAGAGACATTGACATAAATCACCCTGGAGGACAGAGGAAAGATTCTGAGAGACTCTGGGGATGTTTCTTGGGGAAATCAGGATTTGACTTGGCCTGGAAGGCATTGGAATGATAGATAAGTAAGGGGGATTGGGAGAAGGGATGGAAGTAGAGAAATGTCTTAGATCCTTTGCAAGCTGACAGAGGCTTTCTTGGAAAGAGGCCCCAGCCCAGGTGAGCTTATGGGTCCCGCCCATGGAGAGCTTCTCCAGGCAGAGTTAAATAGAGTGGGAGTAGGCAGAGCCAAGCTAGAGAGGGCCCTGGGACTGATGAGGGGAGAATGCTGTCAGCAGAACTAGACTATGAAATGACATGGAAAAAAATCAGAAGACTTGAATAGGGTCATTCCAGCTAGTTGCTAGTACAGATCATGAACTCATATCTGTTTTTCTAAATCTCAGCTCACTCATCACTGCCTTGGAGTGAAGGTGATAACGCATTGCACACCATCCCCAGCAAGGGCTGCCAGTGGTCTTGGTAGATCGCAGCCTGGCTTTTAGGGACACATACAGGTGTTCCTTGATTTATGTACAATGGGGTTATATCCTGATAAACCCATCCTAAATTGAAAATATCTTGTCTGTTGACAGGATATGCATTGTTATGCATGTAATACACCTAACCTACTGAACAACATAGCTTAGTCTAACCTACCTTAAATGCACTCAGAACACTTACATTAGTCTGCAGTTGGGCAAAATAATCTAACAAAAAGTCTGTATCTTTCTTACCAGTGTAAACTAAAAAAAAAAAAAAAAGTACGGTTTCTACTAAACACAGTTCCCTTTCACACCATCATAAAGCCAGAATATCGTACATCAAACCACTGTAAATTGAGGACCATCTATACTTTGAAAAGGTGAAAGACAAAAGTCAAAAAGATGATGTGTTAGTGCATTTTGCATTGCCATAAAGGAATACCTGAGGCTGGGCAATTGATAAAGAAAAAAGTATTTGGCTTACAGTTCTGCAGGCTGTAAAAGCATGGAGCCAGTATTGCTTGTGGCAAGAGCCTCATGGCAGAAGGCAAAGGGGGAGCAGGTGCATCACATGGCAAAAAGGAGCAACAGGAAGTAGAGTCTCTCTGGGAGGCTCTGCCCCTATGGCAGGCTTCTGCTTGGGCACTCAGGCTTTCCCATATATGCTCTGAAATCTAGGTAGAAACTGCCGAGCCTCCTTCACTGTTACATTCTGTGCACCTGCTGGCTTAACACTGCATGGAAGTTGCCAAGTCTTACAGTGACTTGCACTCTTCAAAGTAACAGCCCAAGCTGTGCCTGGGATCGTTTGAGCCCCAGTGGGGATGGGGGGAGCAGTGTCCCAAGGTTGCACAGGGCAAGGGACCATGGACCTGGCCCCTGGAGCCATTCTTTCCTCCTAGGCCTCCAGGTCTGTGATGGGAGGGACTACCTCAGAGATTTCCGAAATGCCTTCTAGGCCTCTTGGCTATAAGCACTTGACTCCCTTTTAATCATGCAAATCTCTCTAGCAAGTGGTTGCTCCTTACCCTACTTGTATTTCTGTCCTGAAATGCTTTTTCCTTCTCCACTATATGGCCAGGTTGTGATTTTTCCAAACATTATGCTCTGCTTCCCTTTTAAACATAAATTCCAACTTTAAGTCATTTCTTTGCTCCCATATCTGATGGTAGGTTGTTAGAAGCAGCCACTCAGCATGTTCAATGTTTTGCTGCTGAGAAATTTCCTGCACCAGATACCCTAGGTCATCACTCTCAAGTTCAACCTTCCACAGAGCCCTAGAACATAGGCACAATGCAGCCAAGTTCTTTGCTAGGGTGTAACAAGGGTGACCTTTGCTCCGTTTCCCAATAACTTCCTCATTTCCATCTGAGACCTGCTCAGCCTGGCTTTCATTGTCCGTGTTTCTATCAGTATTTTGGTCACAATCATTTAACTAGTCTCTAAGAAGTTCCAAACTTTCCTGTCTTCTTCTGAGCCCTCAGAAGTTTTCCAGCCTCTGCCCATTACCCAGTTTCAAAGCTGCTTCCACATCTTCATATGTCTTTACAGCAACACCCCATTCCTCAGTACGAATGTTCTGTTAGTCCATTTTGCATTGCTGTAAACGTATACCTGAGGCTGGGTAATTTGTAAAGAAAAGAGTTTTATTTGGCTCTGGTTCAGCAGTCTGTACAAGCATGGTACCAGCATTGCTTCTGGTGAGGGCCTCAGGAAGCTTCCACTCATGGTGGAAGGTGAAGGGGGAGCAGGTGTGTCACATGGCAAAAGAAGGTAAGAAGTAGGAGGGACCCCAGACTCTTTAACAACATCACATGGCAAAAGGAGGCAAAAAGTAGGAGGGACCCTAGACTCTTTAACAATATCACATGGCAAAAGGAGGCAATAAGTAGGAGGGACCCTAGACTCTTTAACAATCAGATCTTGCAGGAACTCACTTATTACTGTGAGGAGGACACCAAGACATTCATGAGGGATCCTCCCCCATGCTCCAAAAACTTCCCTCTAGGCCCACCTTCAGCACTGGGGATCACATTTCAACTTGAGATCCAGAGCGGACAAACATCCAAACTATGGCAGATGGTAAAGTAAGAACCTTCTATTAGTCCTTTTCCTTATTTCTTCAACCTCTCACTGTACAATCAGAAGCTGTCACGTTCATTAACCTCAATTCTTATAAGCATGAAGTAAAACAAGTATGAGCAGGCAGGAATAAACCTCCTCACATCCCTGTTCCTGAAGAGGTGCTGCTTACCTGGTTTTACCACTCTCTAGGGTGGTCTGTCCACTCTGGAGTCTGGATTGCAGTTGGCAGTGGGGTTCATGAAGGACAGCTTTCTTTCTTTAACAAAGCCTCCAAATTTTTTTTAACTCAGAGCTTTATATACAGCTCAAAAATAAGTTCAGACTGATTGAATCCATACTCTGACAACTAACAATATAGAGTTAACCAAATAGTTAACCCAATCAAAATGTATATCTACTAAAAATATAAAAAATGTATAGAGCAGTTCCGGTGTTAACCTTTAATCTCTCCTCACTGAGGATTTAATTTGATTCTTAGCCAGATTTCACAGGGGTCACTGTGTCTGTGCTGGGCTCTCAGGGTCTACTTTCCCTAGACATTTTTCATTCAGAATCCTCTTCTAGGCTCCATGCTGTTCTTCATCCATGCCTGTCACCACCAAAATGGTCATTTCCTTGCATGAAGGCTCTTCGTTAATTTTCTTTCCCCATCTGCAGTTGCCCAAAGCACTCCCTTTAAGAACAGAAACTTTGTCAACTGTGTTTCTGTCGTAAGCCAGATATGTATGAGTGTGGAGCAGAAGGCAAGTGTTCCCTCTGTCAATACACACGCAGCAAGTGCCTGCAGCGGCCGCCTGTTACCCAGGAAATTCTTTCTTTCTCTCTCAGTTGATCCTTTGCTCTGTGTTGAGCTGTCCCCACAAGCTCTCATAGAAGTAGAGAGGATGTTTATAACATCTAGTTTTAGTACAATCTTAAAAAAAATCTCCTATCTTGCCCGGAAGTCATGGCTGATATAAACACCCTGGTTTTGCTATTCAACCCTTCTCAGTGTCGGCTCTCCTCAGTTTCTGTTTCTAATACGGGCATATTTGCTCCCTTGGGTTGGTAACTTTGCATCTTAACAAGTCCCTGTCTCCCCACCACCCCACACACTCAGGCAAAAATGCCACTTCTGATGTGGGGATTATTCCATTTAAAAGAAAAACTGAGGGCCTCTGGGAGGGCCTGCCTGGTCACTCAGCCCAGATCTCCTTAGACCTGATTATATATTTGAGCTATTTCCTTTTTGATCAATTGAAACATGCTGATACAATGTGTGATGGTTAATACTAAGTGTCACCTTGATCGGATTGAGGATGCAAAGTATTGTTCCTGGTTATGTCTGTGAGGATGTTGCCAAAGGAGATTAACATTTGAGTCAGTAGACTGGGAGAGGCAGACCCACCCTCAATGTGGGTGGGCACCATCCAATTAGCTGCCAGCACTGCTAGAATAAAGCAGGCAGAAGAAGGTGGGAGAGGTTGACTTACTGAGTCTTCCGGCTTTCATCTTTCTTCTGTACTGGGTGCTTCCTGCCCTTGAACATCAGACTCCAAGTTCTTCAGCTTTTGGACTCTTGGACTTAGACCAGTGGTTTGCCGGGGCTCTCGGGCCTTCGGCCACAGACTGAAGGTTGCACTGTTGGTATCCCTACAGTGAGGTTTTGGGATTCAGACTGGCTTCCTTACTCCTCAGCTTGCAGATGGTCTATTGTGGGACTTCACCTTGTGATCGTGTGAGTCAATACTCCTTAATAAACTCCCCTTCATATATACATCTATTCTATTAATTCTGTCCCTCTAGAGAACCCTTATACATAATGCTGCAGCCAAAGATACACATGTAATTACTTAAATCAATACATACTTCTAGGCCAGGCACAGTGGCTCACGCCTGTAATCCCAGCACTTTGGGAGGCCCAGGTGGGTGGATCACCTGAGGCCAGGAGTTCAAGACCAGCCTGGCCAACATGGTGGAATCCCATCTCTACTACAAATACAAAAATTAGCTGGGCATGGTGGCACACACCTGTAATCCCAGCTACTCAGGAGGCTGAGGCAGGAGAATTGCTGGAACCTGAGAGGTGGAAGTTGCAGTGAGCTGAGATTGTGCCACTGAACTTAAGCCTGGGCGACAGAGTGAGATTTTGGCTCAAAAAAAAAAAAAATGTCTGTTCATCTTTGCCATTATGGTAGATAATAAAGAATTTGCATACGTTTTGTATAGTTAAATAAAGTAATAAACATCTAAAGGAATATTATAAAATTATCTTGCTTTCTAGTTCTATAATGTCACTTACTGCACACTCCTTCCCTTCTGAAACATTTGAATAGACTGGCTAATTCACACTATTTGATATTTTGAACTGCCTACCAAATTAACAAAATGGAAGGAATTCAAGCCAGGTATTTTCTAAAAATGCATTTTTCATAAACCAGGAAGGGATATCCAACTCTGAGAGAATCCCAGATGTTTGAACATTTTATCAGAACCCGTTTCATGATGATATACCCCTTTTGTCACTCATTTTGTCAGATCAAATGACTTCTTTATTTTTGCTGATAATTCAACAAGAGCAGCCTTGTTTAACAGTTATTGACATTATCTCTTCCCATAAACACTGGCAGAGGAAAGTTCTGAATTCTTAAAGATGGCCTTTCTCTATGATGCTTCTGTGATTATTTCCACCAGCATCTTCCACCTTCAGTAAAACAAGGGAAATGGCAGGTAGGCAGTTTGATAAGTAGGGGTAGTGTGAATATGTGGGGTATATGAGCCTAGAGAGGAGGGTGGGGAAGTAATTAAAATGAGGAGAATAGATGAACTGCCCTAGGGAGAGGATATTGTGAGAGAATAAATGAGGGCCCTGGATTGGAGCCTGGAAAATCCCAACATTTAAAGACCATGTTGTGGAGGAGAAGCCGGAAAAGAGCCTGAGAAGGAATGGCTGAAGAAGCAGGAAGGGCGCCAGGGGAACGTGAGGTCGGGAAAGCAGGCAGGAGAGTGTCTGGAGAAGGTGGAGAGGGATCGTCTCTCATCGCAAGAGGAGAAACTGTAATGGAGTGGTCAAAGCTGATGCCATATGAAAGCCAGGGAGAAAGTGAAAGGCACTGTGGTTTTATTTATTATGTTTGTTTGTTCTTTCCAACTTTTGTTTACATTCGGGGTACATATACAGGTTTGTTATATAGGTAACTTTGGTGTCACAGGGGTTTGGTGTACAGATTTTTTCATCTCCCAAGTCATAAGCATAGCACCCAACAGGTAGTTGTTCGATCCTCACCCTCCTCTCACCCTCCATCCTCAAGTAGATTCCAGTGTCTATTGTTCCTTTCTTTGTGTCCATGTGCACTCAGTGTTTAACTTCCACTGGCAGGTGAGAACATGTAGTATTTGGTTTTCTCTTCCTGCATTGATTCACTTAGGTTAATGATCTCCAGCTCCATCCATGTTGCTGCAAAGGATATGATCTTGTTCTCTTTTCTGGCTGCGTAGTATTCCATGGTGTATATGTACCAAATTTTCTTTATCTACTCCACCCTTGATGGGCATTTAGCTTGATTCCATATCTTTGCTATTGTGAATTCACTGTGGTTGTAAATGCTCTGTTTGGTTCAATTGTGTATAAAGTTTAGTTTACAAGTAAAATCTCCCTGACAGCACAAGTCTGAAAGTTAAGCAAAATGTCTAATATCCTGTAGGAGCCTTCATTCCTGGAAAGAATAAGAATAAATGAACTTATGGAGAATTTGTAAATTAAAGGATCTGGCAATGTATATAGTAAATTTTAATAAACAGAAGTACAGATTTTTGTTCAAGTGGGTGGATTTATTTACTGTTAAATATTTCTGCACAAAATGTATGTACACTACAAATAAAACTATATTTGAACCATGCATGTGGGAGGTAACAAGCAAAAATGAAGAAATTTTGTTAGTTACACTATTTACATGTTTTTTTTAAAAAATCATGATGTTTATATTGCCACTGTATTATCTTTTTTGAAAAAGAATGCAAAGAAAAATTTATTTTACATGACATGGAAAAAAAGGAACTCGGGTTTTTGTAGTTTCTGCTTAACATATGTATATATCTTTTTTTGCCTATGTGAAATCACCAGACCAGATAGATAAGAAATGACCCCGGGTCAGAGTGAGTCAGTGTGGGAAGACCAGTAACAGGTCTCCCTCATTATGTTGTATAATCCTTTTCCCACCATTCCTTAGCATTGCAAAATAATAAATTCCAGTAGCCCTAAAATCTATTTCTCACCCCGTTTCCTAACTGCTTCTTCATAGAAGATCAGAGTTGGCCACCAAAGGATCAATCACTATCTGCATAATTTCCCTCTTTGACTTTTACACCTAAACATGATTCCATGGGTTTGCTCCTCCTGGTGGCTGGACCACCATGGCATCCTCAAAAGCTGTCCAAGCCCTAGTTGTGCTAGCTGGGAGAGGAAATTAAGGGGACCATTGCTTTAATGCTATCAGCTAATTCTTCATTAGTTATTGGCACCTTTCCATTGTGAACAAGCAGATAGAATGTCAGTGTAGTTCCTAAGGTCAGAGGTGGGGTTGGACAAGGGAAGAGAAGGAGTGGAAGGAAAGTGGGAGAACCAACAGCCGACCTTCACTGATATCTAGGTATTGGCAAAGGCAGCTTTAGCCTGGTCCTTAAAGGTCTGTCTCAATATCCGATCTTTTTTTTTTTTTTTTTTAGATGGAGCCTCACTCTGTCACCCAGGCTGGAGTGCAGTGGTATGATCTCAGCTCACTGCAGCCTCAACCTCCCAGGTACCAGTGATTCTCCTGCCTCAGCCTCACGAGTGCTGGGACTACAGGCATGCGTCACCACACCTGGCTAATTTTTGCATTTTTAGTAGAGACAGGGTTTCACCATGTTGGCCAGGCTGGTCTCAAACTCCTGACCTCAAGTGATCCACCCGCCTTGGCCTCCCAAAGTGCTGGGATTAGAGGCGTGAGCCACTGCGCCCGGCCAGAATAACTTGATTTTGAAGTCATTCCTCTCCATGCCATTTCTTAATGCTCCCTTTGCACAAAAGATTCTCAGAAGAATAGGGAGAAATTTTTTTTTTTTTTTTTTTTTTTTAGGGATAACAAGATATTTCAAAAAGGGCAGTATAAAGTCAAAATGGCATTGCCTTAAGAGATAGAGATTAAACCTTTCTGGGCCTCAATTTCCTCTTCTGCGAAATGGAGGATAATAATAGGACCCACTTCCTGGAGTTATTGTGAGGTTTGCAATAGATGGCAGCTATCATAATTAGAAAGTGACAATTGAAGCTTGGGTCCAATTGGGATTCTAAAGATAACCCAAACTTGCAGGCCCTTACGTGCATTTTTAGATACAATGTCAAATCCACATTCATTATTCTAGCTTATGAGGCATGAAAGTTTAAAGCCTTTGTGGGGAAAAAAAATAGCTTACAGATGTCTTCTTAAAGGGAATTCTTTATTCATTCCACAAATAATTATTGAAAACTACTGTGTACCAAGCAGTGTGCTAGTTGATGGGGAGTGAATGAAATAATCTCTGTTCTCATTGAACTCCTCTAGCAGAGGACACTGTGACTAATCAAATACCACAAGTAAATAACACAATCTATAATAAAAGCTATGAAGACAAATTCTGACTTGGTTTTAATCTCAGATAATAGAATAGACATTGAAAAATATTATACTAGGGAAGTGTAATTTTGCCATTTCTCAATCTCAATCTTTTTCATAATTGATATGGTGTTAGTACTTGGGTCCCCTTGTTGTGTGTGGTGTTATTGGTTAAGATAAACTGTGCCAAATACATCTTGAATGTTCAAAATTGGATTAAAACATGGACTCATTAAAATGGCAAACTGTTGAGTCTCTGAAGCTACAATTTCATATCACAGCACACATACATTTCCACAGGGCAAGAAAGCCTGGGGTAAAGCCGGGGAGCAGAGGCCTAAGGACGGCAAGGATAAGGTCGGAAAGCCACCATCCAGCCCCCTCTGTCACAGAACGCTTTGTCAAGTCATGGTCCTGACAAAAGGAGTGAGATAAGACCAGAGGACCAGGTCATGGCATGCAGGAAAGCGAGCTCACTTTAATAAAGCAGCTCACTTTAATAAGTTTTCATTTGTACAAATAATTTATCCCGTTCTTCTACATTTTCCCCATGGAGCAGTAATTTTCAAGCTGTAGGTCATGGCCCATCCACAGATCATGACATAAATTTAGTGAGTACCCACATGCATTTAAAAAGTAAAATAAAATAGAAAAAAAATAAACTAGAAAATGTCAGTGTGGCCAGGCACGGTGGCTCACACCTGTAATCCCGGCACTTTGGGAGGCTCAGGCAGGCAGATCACCTGAGATCAGGAGTCTGAGACCAGCCTGGCCAACATGGTGAAAATTCGTCTCTACTAAAAATATAAAAATTAGCCTGGTGTGGTGGCACATGCCTGTAATCTCAGCTACTTACGAGGCTGAGGAAGGAAAATCGTTTGAGCCTGGGAGGCAGAGGTTGCAGTGACAGATTGCACCACCACACTCCAGCCTGGGCGACAGAGACAGACTCTGTCTCCAAAAAGAAAAGAAAAGAAAATGTCAGTGTGCAGTATGTAATAGGGGTGAGGGCATCTGCGCTTTGGCGTGTATATGTATACTAAGTGACCCTCTGGGCCCTGTTCAGTGCTGGGAATTCCCTAAAGAACATCCTGTCCCTACTTTTATCTGGATAGGATCCTTCTAAAGTTAAAACTCTCTCCCAAGCAGATTGCACAAGGACAGGGGCCAAAGAGCGGAGTATCTGCACAGGCTGAAGCTCAGGGGTCAATCTGAGCTAAGATGATGTCTGGATGTGGGGGTTGGCACTGCAAACGGACAATCCACATGCAGACATGCAGTGTGCAGTGTGAATGAGGCAAAGCGACGGAGGCGGAGACCTAGTAAAATACAAAAGTGCACATCCCACCTCCTATCATGGGGAGGAAAGGTACAGATTGGTGTTCCTGATATTCGGCTGTTTTTGAGCTATAAAAATGTCAATCCATATATTGGGTTGGGGGGGGGCCTTGAAGAGGCTGGATGCAGCCTCCTTCAGGGCTTCACCTATGAGTGAGAAAGGAGCTGATAAGAGATAATTGATAGTGAGATTAAGCCAAGGGTTTGCATCCATATTTTCTTTGCTGGGCTCTTTGCCCTTGAGCAACTGCTCTCAGCACCTGTCAGCTGTCTGTAACTGAAACCATTGTGTTTTAAAGAAGGTATGCTTACAGGTAGCTTCTTTCTCACCTTAGCATCCTGATGATTACGACTGCTTTCCAAATACCAGAGATGTTTTCACTTTTATTTCCTCACTTGATAAGATACTTCTTTTGGTCTAGCTATTTAAACAAACAAACAAACAGACAGACAACAACAACAACAAACACTTAGTGTATGTAAAAACTTCTTTTCTTGCAAGGATCGGAGGGTCAGTCATTTTATTTTCAGAAATAATTTCTAACTTCAGATCTCCCACATTGTTTTGGGATGACACAGAGAGTTATCAAAGAAAAGGAAGGAATAGCTGGTTTTCCTCTGAGTTCTTAAGAGCATCCTAAAGGGGACTCCTTGATGATAAAAGGGGAGGGAAGATTGGGTGTGATGTTTTACCTTGACAAATAGCGTGGTCACTATCTGTTGAAAGTTAACAGTTGGTGGAGAGGGCAGTGAGAGGGCAGGCTCCTAGCTAGGTATACGAACAGATAAGTTGTCGGGGAGGAAAAAGCCACTGCAGGAAGGAAAGAAGCCAGCTTTTGCCCTGGCAGGAGTGGTGATCTGCAGAGGCGAGGAAGAGCCTCAATCCAGAGACCCTGGGAGCTGGCATCAGCTGTTAAGATGAGATGACAGATATCTAGGGCAGCCACTTATTTCTTTGAAATGACCCGCCCTGTAGTTACTTCTCCAGCCTAAGTCTCTGACTGACTCTTCAAGAATTTGAGTTCCTCCAAAAGCTTTTCTTGGTCAAGTCCAAAGGGCTCTTTATTTCCTATGTAGAGAGAGAGAGGGATGTTTCTTTAAAACTCTTATTTAAAACTTTTATGTTGTAGAAAAAGCATGTGCTTAGAAAAGAGACAGACCTCCGTAGCGTTTTTTTAAATGCTCACCACAGTCTAGCTGTGAGCCCTTCAGTAATAGCAAGTTAGGAAACTCAAAGAACTGCAGTTTCTTAACCTGCAAATAGGGGAACTAATACATCTGTAGGGTTGTTGTGAGGATTACATAAGGTAAAGTTTATGAAGTGCAAGGCTATTGCTGGGCACTCAAGAAACAAAATTAGTATGTGTATTATTACCTTTCCTATAAGTGCCACCATTCCAATAAGCAGCTAAAGGGCAACCACAATGGACTTTACAACTCTTTTAGAACACCAGTGATGATCATAATATAAACATTTGGGACATATTTACAGAATTTATAATTCAAGATGGGGATTTTTTAAAGGCTTTTATGAAAGTGTTCCATGAAGTTGCTTAGACAATTGCGTGAAAATCCTATGTAAGGAAAAAGGTATTCAGTTTTAATTCTTTTTTCTTTTTTTTTTTTTTTTGAGATGGAATATTGCTCTGTCGCCCAGTCCAGAGTGCAGTGGTGCGATCTTGGCTCACTGGAACCTCCGCCTCCCGGGCTCAAGCGATTCTCCCACCTCAGCCTCCTGAGTAGCTGGGACTACAGGCACACGCCACCATGCCTGGCTAATTTTTGTATTTTTAGTAGAGACCGTATTTCACTATGTTGCCCAGGTTGGGCTCAAACTCCTGACCTCAGGTGACCTGCCCAACTCGGCCTCCCAAAGTGCTGGGATTACAGGTGTGAGCTGCCATGCCTGGCCCAGTTTTAATTCTTGAGTGATTTTCAAGTCTAAGAATTTTCCAAGCACTTGGCTTTTCTTTCTTTCTACTTCTACTGTTTAACATTCATCTGTTTTATTTAATTATGGCTTCTCTAGTGAGATTAATTGAGTAAAGTTTGGAAGAAAGGCGTTAAAAATTATAGACACTTTAGACTTAAAGCTAAAATATGCTTTAGGGATTAGCTTGTCTAATGTCTCCCAAATATCACTCATTAGAAAATAATGTGTCACTTTTTGTCACCCTTATATCACTTATTTAAAATTTTCCCTTAAAAACTAAATATCCACTTTACTACTAAACAATAATATTCAGAAATGTCGGGCCGGGCACAGTGGTGCATGCCTGTAATCCCAGCACTTTGGGAGGCCGAGACAGGTGGGTCACCTGAGGTTGGGAGTTCGATACCAGCCTGGCCAACATGGTGAAACCCCGTGTCTACTAAAAATACAAAATTAGCTGGGCATGGTGACGTATGCCTGTAATCCCAGCTACTCAGGAGGCTGAGGCAGGAGAATTGCTTGAACCTGGGAGGAGGAGGTTGTGGTGAGTAGAGATCACGCCATTTCATTCCAGCCTGGGCAACAAGAGCAAAACTCCGTCTCAAAAAAAAAAAAAAAAAAAAAAAAAAAAAATATATATATATATATATATATATATGTATACACAAAAATTAGCCGGTGGGCTCCTGTAATCCTAGCTACTTGGGAGGCTGAGGCTGGAGAATCACTCGGAAGGTGGAGGTTGCAGTGAGCTGAGATTGGGCCACTGCACTCCAGTCTGGGAGACAGAGCAAGATTCTGGCTCAAAAAACCAAACAAAACAAACTGGAAATGTCACAGGTTTAATAGTAGTAAAATAAATACATAACTTAAAGCAATTGTCCATTATCACCTACAGTCACCTTCTATACTACCAGTGGCATGGGTGACAGACTGGGATAGCACTGATCATATATACCCCTCATCGTGTAAGTGAGGACACTGAGACCCAGGCAAGTGAAGTAATTAGCCCTGGTGGAGTCTATGTTTGCAACTCCAGTAAAAGGCTTGATGTATTGAAGAATTTGATAATTAAAAACCATCTAGGTATTTCAGTTGTACTAATCCTTCCTTTTCATATTAGCCATATACTCCCTAAGATCCAAGGGAGTAATCAAAATAAGGACTGGCCTTAGAGAAAGAGAAGAAAGCACTGCTTATTATATACATAGGCCCCTAAAAAAAAAACAAAAAAATAAATAAAAAAACAAAAAAGCATTGAGATGGGTCAAAGGACAAAGAACTAGATTTGATAATTTGTTCTCTCTTAAAATAATTTTTATAATCATATGAACACATCTAAAAGCTAAAGCACATTTACTTGTTTGCTTATCCAGTTTCTTGAGTTTGTTCATGCTGACCTGACTAAGGTCAGCAGTATTGGCCGTCTCCTGACCCTGAGTGCCTTGTGCATTGAAACCTGAGTGTTAGTTCCTGTTTGCACCATTGTACCTTGTTAGAGAAGGTATTTCTATTCTCCAGAGAGTGAACAATAAGCTACTGTATGTTTGGTCTCTAGAGTTCATTTCTTCATGTTTTCATTAGTTTTATTCATAAGATTCTATTAGAGTCAATTGTTAAATTGCTGGAAATGTCCCCAACAAAGGACAAAAAGGTTCTTCTATAAAACAACAGCCCATCCCCTGCCCAGACTTGAAGGACCATAAATTAGTGTAATAAATTGCAGAATATAAGTGAGTAATTTTTCTTCCTACTCTCCTAGGGACCTGGAGTTTGCAAGTCCATGTCTGAAAGTAGGTCAGAAACATAGTAAAAAAAAAAATCCTACTAAATACAAGTTGGAGTTCACTGCTTTGAAAAATTATAGTCTCATCTAGTTAATTCAGAGCCCAATTCATTCCTTTTAATAGATTCAAGTTACCATGCATAACCCGGGATAATTGAAATAATTGTTAAAATTGCTAATAACATCTCATTTGAGATATTCCTCTTTTAAAAGAATTCTTCCAATTCTGGAGTTTATGGTAAGAAGAACATTCCTCAGTTGGTCCTGGAGATTTCATTAGACACAATTCCATTACAGAGTCACATTTCCCTAGTGCTTTCAAGATCCTGGAATTCCTTTCTCTCTACTTTGAATTGAAGAAAGCATTTGACAATAAATCTATTTTGCTTCATTATTACAAAAAGTGCATTAGCCATAATGTTACAAAATTTCAGAGTATGGCCAGTCATGCAGTTTCTAGCCAAGGACATGAAAGCAAATACATAACTTAGTATTTATTAAGAGCTAAGTACCCAGAGGGGGCTAGTCACTAACAAAGACAGAAGCACAGACAATTCTGCATCAAATGAGAAATTTGACCATATTTATTAGAGTAATTCCTAATCTGTTATGAACTGTACAATTTTAAATAGAGCAACATGGAGGGACTTGCAATACAGTGAAGAAAAAAGCAATTTTTTAGAATTATAATGCATTGAAAACACATGCCAAATACTTCCCTCAATACTAACAAATGGGATAAAACCATAATCTATCTGAGTTTCACATCGTTTTTCAATACTACACTCTAATAAATTCTGAAAACACCAATGTAAGGAGGTCGGAATGAAAATGCTGCAAAAAATGTTTGTTTGTTTGTTTGTTTACAGCACAATGAATGTTTATCTTATTTTAAATTAAATGTTCCTTAACAGACAGCTGCTTAATAGCCCTCATACATTTCTCCTCCCCCTCTTCTCTAATGTTCGCCCACAGCTATTCCCCTGAAACTGCTAGGGTGGCTTTTGCTCTTCTTTTAATTCTTTAAAATAAATGGCCAACCATCTCTAACACACTGGAATAGTGTTCCCAGAACAGTCATAAACCTCTCTATTACACAGTAATGCCTCGTTCATTCCATAAATGTCAAGACAATTTCCCGACTACTTATTTGCTCTTAGTACTTTTTCCTGCAAACTCAGAAACCAGCTGCCATTCCTTCTGTACCCTTAAAATTAGGTTGGGGTGTGTAAAACAATGAATGATATAAGGAAGGACTTCTTCATTGCCCATTATAACTGTGGAAATACTCAAATTTTAAGGGCCGTGTGACCCTCCAGAGGACATTGCAGTCCCAGACAATGGTACATGACGAGTTCTGTCTTGCTGTGGACAAAAACATGCCTGCCAGACTATGTCAGCCCTCTTCATTTGCATTTAAAAACAAGACAGAGGGATGAGACTTTGAACCAAGAGTCAGGCTCTTGGTGAATTGTCAATTACACAATTTTAATAAAGCAACATGGAGACATTACAATAGAGTGAAGAAAAAGGTCAATTTTTTGGCACTGTAATGTATTGAAAACACTGTCAATTACTTCCCACAATATATGGGATCAAATCTTTTTGGCTATCTGTCTGGTCCATTGGCTGGACCAGGTTTATTTACCCTTTTGACCCCCCATTTGGACACCTGGACTCCATGCCTACTTTTGCCTCCTTGCCCAGTCAGGACCCTTAGTTTCAGTAGCTAGTTATCCTGCTCAGAGGCCATACTTTGTCATTTCCTCTAGGTTAGTTGGATGCCTCCCATCTTTTCAACTGGCTGTCATCTCACTTCCTATCTGCCTTCACGTGGCCTCTTTCAGGGTCTCCAACCCATGTCATCCTGGACAGCGTTGACCTGGGAAATCCTTGGACTTGCTTCTCTCTACTCTTCCTCCCACTTCCTGTGATCTTGTACTGTCTCCTGTCCAATTCCCAAATTCATGAGCTAGGGAATCCCAGGGTAGATTAAAATTCTGGACCTGACTGAAAAAGAGCCATGTACTTTTGTGAAAAAAACGTAAAGTACTTAGGTGATCAATATTCTTGAAAGTTATCATTTACTCAGAGAAATTAATAGCTCATGCTGATGAGTATTTCTTAGTATTGTACTCTGAAGGGGACGTTTTCAGATCCTCAGTCTGAGGGGAGAAATTAGAAAGAGGATGGCAAAGACCAGAAAAGTGCTTACAAGGATTGAAAAATGGGACCAATAAGAAAATGAGAGGGTGTGGGTTATTTATTTGTGAGAAGAAATTAATCTGTGACTTATAATTCCCTTAAAGTGTGATGCTACTACATGAGCATTGGATTGGATTGCCCTCTCATTTCCTCTGTTCAACAAACATTACTGAGGGAACCAAAAAAAAAAAAAAAATTGAAGAACGCATATTCATTCTAGTACTTACTGAGACTGGAAGAGGCAGTGATTTAAAAGGTGAATCATGGAGATAAGGAAGAGTTTTCTGAGTTGCCAGACCAGTATTTCCTAACTTCCTTATTTCCTCTCATGTCATCAACACAGCCCGGCTGGCAAAGGGAGTAAGTCATGAAACTGTTCCAATTCTGAGACCCTGTAATTCCACCTCGATGAATGTACTCCAAGGACAAAGAAAAAAAGTAGCTTTTGCAAATTCGTTTATAGTAACATAATTCAAAATATAGAGACATCTTTTAGGGGTCAGCCCAGCCCATTAGCCATCCTGTCTTCCCTAGAACTCCTCCCACTCCCATTCGAGAGGGTGAATCCGTAGCAGCCATGTTTGTCTTGGGTAATCCCATCTCCTGATCTACAATTCAACCAGAAATCAGTCTAACACGAGCTGGAATGTGGAACTAGAACAGAGAATTGCAGGTTAGTCTTTGCATGTGGTCAGAGTGGTAAAATAATCTCAGGCTATGAGGTAACCCTACTGCCCTACAACGAGGTAATTAGGGTAAAGGAAAGAAGAACAAAACAGATTTACCAAGAGAAACAAGTAAGAAACAAAGAAAAGGCCGACACCTTTCTGTCTCCTTCCAGATGCCCAACTGCTTTCCTATTCTTTGACCCCATGGCATACCCTTCTACCTTTACAATAAATCACCTTTTTCAAGTTAAAATAACTTAAATCACATGTTGTTGCTTATAACTGAGTCTTAACTAAGATATAATAATTAAAAATTGGAAGCAACTCAAATACCCCCAAATAATTAAATTATTGTATGTTGAATATTTTTACTGTATATTGAGTACTCTTTAAAGCAATATTTTAAATTGTCTACATGGAAAAATGCAGACCATTAGACTGCGTGAACATATTGCTTGCAACTGCTAAATTGCAGATTTAGTTAACAAAGACTGCAAGAGTAGACAAAGTAATATAAACAGTTACAAAGTATGTGGGATTTTTGGAAACAGTATTTGTACAATATATTTACAATAAAATTAAGCCACCAGGATTTTGAAATAGGGATTTAATATTCCACTTCACATCTATCCCAGAAGAGTCATTATTCTGATAATGATATGCTCCATCTGTCTTCCCCCAAAAACTTGAAAGTTGTCCTCAAGTTTTTCTATTCTTTCATTTCCCCACATCTAACCCAATAGCAAGTTCATTGGCCATGACATGAATACATATTTCAAATCAGCCCATTTCACTCTAATTCCTTTGACAATAACTCAGTCCAGATTGCCATTGTCTCTCACTGGGGGTAACACACATTGCCTCCTAACCAGTTTCTCCAATTCCACTCAGCTCTCTTTTATCCCATTCTTCACATAAAAGCAAGGATTATTTTAAAATAACATCCGGAATTGTGACTTCTAAATACAATTTTCCAATAAAAGAAATTAGGGCAACTTGGAGAATAAGCTGACTACAGGTCTGGGGCAAGAAATGTGAAAGACTAGCCTGGAATATCTTGTCATACCAGTTAGCAGTGAAGCAATTCAAGGCTACTGAGGTCATGTCAAAAGGACTCAGGAGGCCACTTAAAGAGAATCTCACTGGCCCAAGAAAGGGTAATTTAAGTATTGATAAAAACAATAATTATAAGAGATTGAACCAGATCAAAATGTTCAAATTCATGAGTTAATAATGATGTACTAAAAAAAAACTTTGAAGGATATTAAATGACTGTCTGTGTAGAAAACCCCAAAGAATCATTAAAAAAGAAACTCATTAGTGATTACTGCAAAGTTGGACTTTGTTAGTGATTATAGCAAGGTTGCACGATAAGCAAAACTAAAAAACTCTGATAACAGATATCAAGGATACAACTAAATGGTGAGATAGAGATATTCAATATTCATAGATAGGAATATGCAATATTGTCAAGATGTCAGCTTTTCCCAACTTGATCTATAGATTCTGTAAAATTCCAATCAAAATCCCACCCAGTTATTTTATGGATATTGACAAACTCATTATAAAGTTTATATGGAAATGATCCTTAGGAACCCATTCATTTATTTTGAGAACTGATAAGTAAAGGAAAAGAGTAAAACAAAACTAAAAGTAAATTATATATATTGTTTTTCAGTTTAAAGCTTTTCCATTGCTTCAAATTGCACTTTAAATAAAAGCCAACCTCCTTACCAGGACCTATAAGGCCATGCTTGATCTGGCATCTTCCAACTACACTCATCTTTTTTCATGCCACTTAGCTCCTTGCTTATGATACTCCAGCTATATGAGCCTTCAAATAAGCTGTGGTTTTTCCTGCCCCAGGCTGTCCCTCCTCATGCTTCAGATCTCAGCTTACCTTTTCAGAGGACCTTCCCTAATCATCCTCACAGGCAATCCTATTTGTTTCCTTCCTACAACTTGCCAAAATTTGTATTTATTTTGTTTGTTCACTTGGTTTTGCTTCATTCTTCTAGTAAACTACAGGCTCTAAGAAAAGAGGCATCCCTTGTTAATGGCTAGAACCTATGATACATAGGCACTCAGTAACTGTTTATAGAAAAAGTAAATGATGTTATCCATCAAGGTGAGACTAGGTAGTTGAAAAACATGTGAAACTCAAATAAACCAGAGAGGGTGATTTTGGGATCTCTGAGAGGCTCAAGGTCCATGTGTATGACAGGGTTAGAAGAGGGCCTGGAAAGAGAGAAATGTGATTTCCAGGAAGTAGAAGATAACTATGGAGTTGAAGAAACAGATGTGAGCACCTTAGGCTGGGAAAACTTTTATGGAGTGTCTTAGTTCATTCTTGATGCTATAACAAAGTAGCACAGACTGGGTAATGTATAAATAGTAGAAATTTATTTCTCACAGTTCTGGAGGCTAAGTCCCAGAACAAGGCGCTGACAGATTCAGTGTCTGGTAAGCACTTGCTTTCCACCTCCAAGATGGCGCCTTGTTGCTGTGTCCTCAGGAGCAGATGAATGCTGTGTCTTCACATGGCAGAAGAATGAGTAGAGATGAATTTACTCCCACAAGACCTTTTATATGGGCATGAATTCCATCCATGATGGTAGAGCCCTCATGGCCTAATCACTTTTCAAAGAACTCACCGCTTAATACTGCTACATTGGGGATTCAGATTCAACATAAATTTTTGAGACACACAAACCTTCAAACCATAGCATGGAGTGTTAAATTTAAAAAGTGAATACCACTGAAATTATAAAAATTGCAAAACATATAGACCCTAGGCCTTTTATGCTCAATTAACTACTGGGCTGCAGACTCTGTTCATCATGCACTTGGCTGTGGCATTGGGCCAGATAATTCTTTTTTTTTTTTTTTTTTTTTTTTTTTTTTAAGACAGAGTCTCGCTCTATCGCTCAGGCTGGAGTGCAGCGGCCTGATCTCGGCTCACTGTAAACTCCGCCTCCCGGGTTCACGCCATTCTCCTGCCTCAGCCTCCCGAGTAGCTGGGACTACAGGCCCCCGCCACCACGCCTGGCTAATTTTTTTTTCTGTGTTTTTAGTAGAGACGGGGTTTCACCGTGTTAGCCAGGATGGTTTCGATCTCCTGACCTCAAGATCCGCCCGCCTCGGCCTCCCAAAGTGCTGGGATTACAGGCGTGAGCCACCGCGCCCGGCCTGGGCCAGATAATTCTAAGAACTTTTATTGTTGTAGCTGATCTTTGATAGGTCTTGATGTGCGCTGATGTTTATGTATAGAAGCCCACCACAGTTACATTTTGTGCTTCGGGAGCTTTAACAAATGATCCAATGCAAATGTTATCCTTAGTGATTAGGAGCACTCTAATGAACCACCATACCAATGTTCCTTTTCAGTTCTTTTTTGCTTTATTCTGTTTTTCCCCCCTTCTTTTTTAACCAAGAGATTTTTGTGAGGGGGTTGTTGGCAAAACCTGTTGCTACAGTTTCTGAAAATTAAGACTGAAATTCTTTACTAAAATGCCAGGAAGTTTAGTGGATTCTGAAAAGCATATGATTTTTTTCTATCTGTGTTTTAATTAATCACCAAGCAGTATAAACACATCACAGGAAATTTGGATAATAAAAAAAAGATGAAGGGAATTAAGACACAATCCATCTGCATCACCCCAATGTTATAAATATATGTATTTTCTTTTAATCTTTTCTCAAATGCTTATTGTTCCCTTGCTATATTCTTCGTGTACATAGGAGTTTTTATCCTAAATGTTTCCTTCATTCTAAAACAGAAGGCAGATAATAAACAAGCAAATAAGTAAGATAATTTATGATAGAAATAAGTAAGGGGAAATAAATAAAGGAGGGTAATGTGGAGTGAGTAGTCAGGGAAGGCCTCACAGAAAGGTCATTTGAGATGAGACCTGCTGGACAAGAAAGAATCTGTTGCGTGCAGTGGCTCACACCTGTAATCCCAGCACTTCGGGAGGCTGAGGCAGGAGGATCACCTGAGGTCAGGAGTTCAAGACCAGCCTGGCCCCAAATGGCAAAACCCCATCTCTATAAAAATATAAAAATTAGCTGGGTGTAGTGGCGGGCGCCTGTAGTCCCAGCTACTCAGGAGGCTGAGGCACAAGAATCGCTTGAACCTGGGAGGTGGAGGTTGCAGTGAGCCAAGGTCACGTCACTGCACTCCAGCCTGGGTGAAAGAGTGATACTTCATCTAAAAAAAAAAGTAAGCCAGGTGTGGTGGCACACACCTGTAGTCCCAGCTACTCAGGAGGCTGAGGCAGGAGAATTACTGTACTCTAGCCTAGGCGACAGAGCAAGACTCCATTTCCACAAAAAAAAAAAAGAAAGAATCAGACTTATGAAGGTTTGGGCCAGCATTTTTCACACTTGGGACAGCAAGTGCAGAGACCCAGGATAGGAATAAACTTTGTTTGAGGAACAGAAAGCTGGCCAATATAGACAGAGCAAATGAGCCAGAGGAGCGTGGAAGGAAAAGAGGGAGGGAGAGGGCTGTGTATGTGGGGGTGTGTGTGTGTGTGTGCATGTGAGAGAGAGACAGTGAGAGAGAGAGAGAGGGGGACATCACTGGACACATTAAGGAGATTATCTCTTGGTCTAAGAGCAATGTGAAGCTATTGTAAGATTTTTAAACATGGCAATGACATGTCTGATCTAAATTTTTACGTGTACTCTGGTCTCCAAAAATAGTGTACAGAAATTGTTTCTGCATGATTGTGTACACAAATATTAAAGACTGAATTCTAACTCATATCTGCTTAAACATGTCAAACCATGTGTCAGAAATGCTCATGTAAGTGGGAAATATACAGGCTTTAGGTAGGGCTATATCCAGAAGTCCAGAGAATGTCCTCAGATCTGTCTTTTTTCTTCATTAATTCTGCCTCTTTTTCTATGTTGCCTCCATCCTCTCCTCCAGCACTTCTGAACCTAACAAGCAGGGGGTACAGCCACCAATAGCCCGAGGTCATCCAAAAGGAAAAGAGAGCTTCTGTCTACCTTAGTTTGGAGAATTCTGGGAAAAGACTCAAATTGGTCAGTCACAGACAATGTATCCCTCCTTTGGCCAATTACCATGTACAGGGCAGCACTGTATTGTCACTAGTCAACCTGGGCCATAAGCTCACCTGTTGGGAGAGATGAGGGTAGGCCACAGTGACCTACATCCCCACCAGGATTACACAAAATTGGAAATAAATTCTCCAACACAAGGGATGCTGTTATCAGAAGGAGATTGGTAAGCATGCTGTGCAGTGGAGGAACTCCCCGACTTACCAAACAATAGCTACACTGTTTGGTCATTCAACGTACATACTAAATTCTTTTTCATGGAATAATATTCTATGATATGTCGGTTTCAATCATTCATTCTTTTGTCGTTGTTGTTCCAAATGACCATTTGTCTAGTTCTATGCTTTACTGAATTAATTCTCAATTGTTACGTAATTTTTTTTTCTTTTTAGAAGGAGTCTCACTCTATTGCCCAGACTGGAGTGCAGTGACACAATCTCGGTTCACTGCAACCTCTGCCTCCTGGGTTCAAGTGATTCTCCTTCCTCAGCCTCCCAAGTGGCTAGGATTACGCACGAACCACCACACCCAGCTCATAATTTGATTGTTTCATAGTCATAAATAATATTCAATGACCGTCTTAGAGCATGTGGCTTTTTACATACCTTTTATTTTCTTCATTTCCAGAAAAAGAACCCCTGGATTGAAGGTATACCATTTATTTTTCTTTACTGACATATTTTGTCAAATTTATTGCTTTCTAAAATGTTGTTTACCTGTGAAATGCCACTAGAAACGCATAATATATCAATTTCTCCATACCTGCTATATTATTATCATCACTTTTTAATTCTGTCAATTTAATAGGTAAAAATGATGCATCTTTGTTTTATTTGTTGCTTTTTAAAATCACAGCTTCAGGTAATTTTTTTTTAAACTAGGGCACACGCCCTTTGCTCACTCATCTGTTAGAGTCTTAATCATTTTTTATCTATTTATCTGATTCATTTAGATTTCTTAGTCCCTTCCCATAAGTGACTGTATTTTCTAGTTTACTGTTTGCCTTTTAATTTTATTTATTTTTGTTGTTGTTGTTATTTATTTATTTATTTTTAAAATTTTTTTAGAGGCAGGGTTTCGCTTTGTTGCCCAGGCTGGTCTCAAACTCCTGGCCTTAAGCGATCCTCCTGCCTGGGCTTCCCAAAGGGCTGGGATCACAGGCGTTGCCTTTTCACTTTACCTTTGAAAATTATGTTGCTCTTACGTTGTCAAGTTTTTATATCTTCTATTGTTTCCAAACTTGGAAATTCATACTTTTCCAGAGGCTTGAAAAATATTTAATTATATTTTCTTTCAGTTCATCTAAAGCTTTTTTTTTCTTTTTCGTCTCTTTAAATATTCTAAAATTTAGTTTCTATTTATGGTGTGAAGTGAAGATATGAGTTGATTTTTTTTCCAATTGTTGGCTATTCAGCTCATTACAATTTATGGGATGATCTTTTCTTTCCAATTGATTTGTGATACAACTTTTAACTGTATTTTATACATACTAGAATTCATGTATAGGTTATTATGTTTCATTGAGAGCTTTGTCAACTCAATTCATATACCAGTGCCACCAAGTTTTAATTAGTATTGCTTTATATACAGGGGTGTCCAATCTTTTGACTTCCCTGGGCCACATTGGAAGAAGAATTGTCTTGGGCCACACATAAAATATACTAACAATAGCTGATGAGCTAAAAGAAAAAAATGGCAAGAAAAACCTCATAATGTTTTAAGAAAGTTTACAAATTTGTGCTGGGCTGCATTCAAAGCCATCCTGAGCCACATGCGGCCCGCAGGCCATGGGTTAGACAAGCTTGCTTTATAATATGTTTTAGTGCCTGGTAGAGCTAGCTCCCTACTTTATTTCGCTCTTGAATGTTCGTGTTATTTTAATGTGTTTACTCTTCCAGATAAAGATTGGGTTAACTTTCAAGTTAAAAAAAAAATCTCTTTGAGTTGTTGATTGGAACTGCATGTACTTTAGGAGCGAAAACTTCTGGAAAATGTCCAAATTTGTCTAGGCTCAAAGTTGCCCGCCCTCAAGTAGATGAGGCTCTGGTATCACAGTCTCCTCTTTTTGAGGGCAAAATTCATTTGCATGAGGAAGAAACTTTGTGTTATTTTCTTAGAACATTATTTAAAAATTGCATTTTAGGAGACACTTTCTGTTGTGGCTGATATCAGAATTGGAGGTAGGACTTAATATATTTTTAGCACTTTCTTTGTAGTAAAATAAGATTGGATACCTTTCCAAATAAGTGGGATTTTTTTTTAGCTAAAATTCCTCCACTTTTTGTTGTCTTTTTAGT
Source organism: Homo sapiens (assembly GCF_000001405.40). Classification (NCBI taxonomy): domain Eukaryota; kingdom Metazoa; phylum Chordata; class Mammalia; order Primates; family Hominidae; genus Homo; species Homo sapiens. Next base: position 152,565,183 of record NC_000004.12, on the reverse strand, counting down.
TTTAGTATTTGTATATATCTTTTATCACTTTAAAAAAAGGCTCAGTTGGCTGGGTGCGGTGGCTCATGCCTGTAATCCCAGCACTTTGGGAGACCGAGGCGGGTGGATCACCTGAGGTCAGGAGTTTGAAACCAGCCTGACCAACATGGTGAAACCTTGTCTCCACTAAAAATACAAAAATTAGCTGGGCATGGTGGTGGGCGCCTGTAATCCTAGCTACTCGGGAGGCTGAGGCACAAGAATTGCTTGAACCCGGGAGGCAGGGGTTGCAGTGAGCTGAGATGGCACCACTGCACTCTAGCCTGGGTGACAGAGTGAGATTTTGTCTCAAATAAATAAATAAATAAATAAATAATAATAAGGGCTTAGTTTAATCTCCAGAATAGAGATCCTTTTTGTTCACTGAATTTTCTATACGTCTCAAGTTTATTTGAAAATATGAGGGCCATGTGCCAATTGTTTGGATAGCTAGCTATCTGGTTTGCTTAACCACTTATGCGTTTATTACAGAAAGCGGGATCTGAAATCTTCACCTACTAAACCTTAGTTTTCAGCTATGGGTCCTGAATTACATGAATGGTGTCCCCTGGAGCTGTGCAGTGCATAACCAGCATGTCGAAATGCTGCAGCTTTGGTGATAACAATCTGCTGAAATTGAAAGCAAACCTACATATTTCCAGTTTTTCAAGGTTTCACCAAGGGTTGAATTATACCCTAAAAATATGTAGGCACTTTCCTGGGTATCTCTTGGGGAATGTATTTTTCCAGGGAGAGAAGGAATAATGATCACAGTGATGATGATGATGATGATAGATACTTTTGCTTTATTTATCTCATTTTATCTTTGTTATAACTGTCTGTTGTAAAGCATAAGTGTTATTAAAACCCTTATATTAGAGATGACGACAATGAGATTCAGACACTCTGTGTGACTTTCCTGGCTGGTAAGTAGCAGAACTGAGCCTTCAACTATAAAGCATTAACTCTATATTACTTCCTCATTAGGGATATTCAAAAAATGCCCCGAATCTATTATAATTCAACTCTTTAAGAAGGTTTTCCCAATGCTTGGAATCTTGGGGATTGTGTGTGGGTTGTTGGTTTTTGTGGGTTTTTTGTTATTGTTGTTGTTGTTTTGTTTTGTTTTAATCTATCTTGAGGGCTGGGTGTGTTGGTTCACACCTATAGTACCAGCACTTTGGGAGGTCAAGGTAGGAGGATCACCTGAGACCAGGTGTTTGGGACCAGCCTGGCCAACACAGCAAGACCTCTTTTCTAAAAAAAAAAAAATTTTTTTAATTGGCTGGGCATGGTGGCTCGCACCTGTAATCCCAACACTTTGGGAGGCTGAGGCAGGTGGATCACTTGAGGCCAGGAGTTCGAGACTAGCCTGGCCAACATGGCTAAACCCTATCTCTACTAAAAATACAAAAAATTAGCCAGGCATGGTGGTGCACATCTGTAGTCTCAGCTACTCAGAGGCTGAGGTGGGAGGATTGCTTGAACCCGGGAGGTGGAGATCGCAGTGAGCCGAGATCACGCCACTGGACTCCAGCCTGCGTGACAGAGCGAGACGCTGTCAAAAACAAAAACAAAAACAAAACACCTCAGTTCAAGTTTGGCCTGTCCTTGTGTGGGGTGGGATTTAGGGAAATTGTATTGTTTTCATTTTGTCACCTTCTTTACCACTTGATGTATTGCAATTGGTGTAGAGATAAAACCAGCTTACGTTATACACCCAGCCAGATTTGAAGAATAAAGGAAGTTACAAAAGGTCAGCCAAAGGAGTGGGTGTGGAACTAGGAAGAAGCAGAACTACCTGTGCCTTTTACATGATGAGAAAGATGTCTTAATTGTATACACCTGTGTTTTGCTTTGTTTCATTTTAAACACCAGATGGGACATCTCCTTTTCCCATGCCAGTTTCCTCTGGTGGCTGCGTTGAACTGTCTATAACTTAGAGATCCTTAAAAACAATACAGTTTGTGTGTGTTTGTGTGTGCACACGTGTATGCATGCATGTATGTGTGCATGTGTATGTTGGAGGTGGGCCCAAGGCAAGCAGGCAAAGGGGTTGATTTTGTTCCATCCTTTGTCCAATTCCAGGTGATTATAGTGTGTCACAGATGACTTACAAAATCATACATACATAAACTTTCTGACTGTTTTAAGAGATCCTAATTCTGATATTCATTTATATGCACCTTCAGTTTTATTGAGATGCTTTCCCTGTCTTCTTACATTTAATCTTGAGCCTTTGTTTTTGACCCAATCACTTTTACTTAAATTCATACTAGTCATACTCCCTAAAGTGTTTATTTCTTCTTTGGCAGTAAATATTTTCCATCTTGAAGAATCTTGTGGTCAAGAGAATAAAACAGCTCTTTTATTTGTTTGAGAAAACAAATAAATAAATCTGAGAACAATTAGAAGTTCTCAGATAAGGAGCAGTTTATTTTCTTTCTATACCACACATTGACTAGCAGTCCTGTAGTTGGCACTCAATAGTTACTTACTCAAAAGAAAATAGATGCTAACGAGGGCCAGGCGTGGTGGCTCACGCCTGTAATCCCAGCACTTTGGGAAGCCGAGGCGGGCAGATCACGAGGTCAGGAGATCGAGACCATCCTGGATAATATGGTGAAATCCCGTTTCTACTAAAAACACAAAAAATTAGCTGGCGTGGCACGCGCCTGTAATCCCAGCTACTCGGGAGGCTGAGGCAGGAGAATCGCTTGAACCCAAGAGGCGGAGGTTGCAGTGAGCCAAGATCACAAGACTGCACTCCAGCCTGGGTGACAGAGCGAGATTCCATCTCAAAACAAAACACAACAAAAAACAAAATAGATGCTAATGAATATTACCTTGGATATTACATTCATTTGTTCACCCAGTTTCTGATAGCTCCTTTTATATCATCCTAGAATGAAAGTCAGGGGCACAAGGCCAGGCGCGGTGGCTCACGCCTGTAATCCCAGCACTTTGGGAGGCCAAGGTGGGCAGATCTTGAGGTCAGGAGCTCGAGACCATCCTGGCTAACATGGTGAAACCCCGTCTCTATTAAAAATACAAAAAAAAAATTAGCCAGGCGTGGTTATTTGCTAGGAAGGAAGATCTCATTATTCTTTAGGTTAAAAAACAAAAACAAAACACAACATAACTAGAGACCACCTTTTTGGGGGCAGTTGGCTGTAGTCCCAGCTACTCGGGAGGCTGAGGCAGGAGAATGGCGTGAACCCAGGAGGCGGAGCTTGCAGTGAGCCGAAATCACACCACTGCACTCCAGCCTGGACGACAGAGCGAGACTACATCTCAGAAAAAAAATAAAAAAAGTCAGGGACACAATAAAGCTTCATAGACTTTTTAAAAAAAATTAATAGACTTTACTTTTTAGAACAGTTTTAGGTTTACAGAAAAATGAACAGGAAAGTACGGGGAGTTCCCATATACCTTCTTCCCCTACCACAGCTGCCCTCATTATTAATATCTTGCATTCGTGCGGTACATATGTTATTTATAACTGATGAGCCAATATTGATACATTATTATTAACTAAAGTCCATAGTTTAGGACTCAAATTTGAACCTCATTAGGGTTCAATTTTGGTATTGTACATTTTATGGATTTTGACATATATATAATGACATGTATCTAATATTACAGATTATACAGAATTGTTTCATTGCCCTAAAAATCCCCTGCCCTGCTCTCCATCGATTTATCCTTCTTTCCCTCCCTGTGAGCCCCTGGCAATCATTGATCTCTGTAGTTTTGCCTTTTCCAGAATGTATGTAGTTAGAATCATATGTATCTATTGCAAACTGGCTTCTTTCACTCAGTTATATGCTGTTGTTTCCTCCACATATCTTCATGATTATAGACTTTAAACACTTCGTCATCTCTATTAAACACCTACTATGTGCCATACATGGTGATGGGTGCTGAGTAGACAAGACAAACAAGATTACTGTTCTTGATCTAAGCTTTGAAATTGTTCAATATTCAGTGTCCAGCAACAATGAATTTTCCAAGGCAACAAGCACTGTTCCCGGTATGCTGAAGCTCTTCTCTTCATTCCCTGAGGAAATCACTTGCTTACATCATCATCTATGAGGAGATCAATGTTACCCATAATCCCATAACTGATTTACCATTTTCCAGACTAACCAGTACCAGCTCCTTCATGTAACAGGAATGAGCCCTCCTGATTTAGTTTACAATGCAGATCCTCTTCTAATTTTTTTTTTTTTTTAAGAGACAGTGCCTTGCTCTGTCACCCAGGCTGGACTATAGTGGTATAATCATGACTCCCTGCAGCCTTGAACTCCTGGGCTCAAACCATCCTCCCACCTCAGCCTCCCAAGTAGCTGGGAGCACAGCTGCATGCCACCATGCCCAGCTAATTTTATTTATTTATTTATTTATTCTTTTGTGGAGACAGGGCCTTGCTATGTTGCCCAGGCTGGTCTTGAACTCCTGGCCTCAAGTGACCCTCCTGCCTCAGACTCCCAAAGCGTTGGGATTCGACACTGAGTCACGGCACCTGGCCCTATTCTAATTCTTGACTACAAAACTTGATGAAGGAAGAGAAAGGCAACTGCCCCCAAAAAGGTGGTCTCTAGCTGTGTTGTTGTTTTGTTTTTGTTCTTTAACCTAAAGAATAATTAGATCTTCCTTCCTAGCAAATAACTAACATACATCAATTCATTTCTGCCTATTGTCAGCAATAAAATCTAAAATTATAATTAAACTTTCAAAAGACAATTTATGAATCACCAATAATCTTGATGAAAAAATACATAAGGCATCCTCCAAGTCTTTGGCTGGTTTTTCCCCCCAAGATAGGCAAGATACTCTTATATATGGTAGGTTTCATTGGATTAACAAATGGAGGAATCTAGTCCTAGGTTCTAATCAGTTTTGTTTCATTTAAAAACATTTCATGTTTCATGCTTCTTATCCTTGTTCATTATTGTTCACTCTTAAGATGGAACTAAATTGATGGATCTCCATGATAGTTAATGGCAGTTTTAAGTTTTCAGTGAATGTGGGGCATAGTTTACCGTAATTTAAGGAGCAAGAATTTATCCTTTTACACAGAGAGTACTTAAGCCATTTGAATTCTGCTGTGTTTATCTCCTGATAAGACTAGATAATGTTAAAAATTGAATATATTACCAAACAAAGCAGTCTAATTGTACATATAATATTAGAAACAATAGTTCTAAGAACATGAAAATATACAGCAGACCAGTAAGTTATTTTAGTTTTGTTTCCCCTTTAAGCACTGAGGTTTTCTGTACTACCCGTGTATTACAGAGTCATGAGAACCAAACCGGTTTTAGCCAGATTAGAAAATAGACTACATAGGATGATATCATGATGCTCGAAGAGATGAATTAAATAATTAAATCTCTGATTAATACAGGAACACAATGGTGATACTGAGATACCCTATTTGTCATTGAATCTTTTCCTAGATTTTATTTTAAAGTCTTAGGCCTACAAAAGAGGACTGTCAAAATGGTTATTAAATCACAAAGAATGTGAACGCCCACAAACAGACAATTCTTTTCATCCCTGCTGCAAGAAAGAAATCTATAACTGAAAGATAAGAAAATCTGGAAATGGGGCTATATGTAATATATTAAATTTTATATCAAGAATTGTGCATCTGTTTATGACCAAAAAAAAATTTCTATACCAAAGATAAGAAGGGGATGTGATGATTTCAGTTATTCAGGATGATTACTATTGGTAATAAAAAAGAGCATTTTAAAATGAAAAATATTTAGAATAATAGCTTTTTTCCCCTTGTGGTCTATCTTCACTTGTAGGATGTAGCTGAAATTCTTTGCCTTAGAGATAATTCTTATTTTCTTTGAATACAAGCCTGTTACATATTTTTTCCTTCATGAATCTGTCCTTAGATGACTTAATCACTGCTGCTGTTTTATTTGCTTCTTTTAATGAGGGAAGTAATACATGGAAGGAGCAGAAAATTGTTGTCAGACGAATGGGTGCCTGTGACTTGCCAGGCCCTAGGACAGGTGTGGCAGGGCATACAAGATGAGTGAGTCCTTGTATCCCTGCAGTTTGTAAAGGAGCCAGTGCTGGCTGGAGCCATGTTGGAGCCCAAGGCTCAGGAAGAATCAGTAATACTGATCCTGTCTTTATTTTAAATTCTGATATTTTGTTCAACATCAATTTCTTGCATTATTTTGATTTGCTAAAACATTTATTTAAAATACTATATTATACACAATTAGAAAATGGAGTTATTCAATATGTACTGAATATGGTACATTCTGCAAGATACATTTTATAACGGTGGGGGAATGTTCTAGATGAAAAGGGTCTAAAGAGACATAACTAAATGTAATGAGTGAAACTTGATTAGATACTGATTTGAAAATACTGGGTTACTGAGTTATTTGGCATCCCCTTAAAATTTGCAACTCAAGTAACTGCCTCACTTTGCCTCCCCCTGGTCCCAGCCCTGGAAAGAACACCAGGGGCAGGATGAACCGTGGGTGGAGGTGCCTGTGGGAATGAACACACATCTGGTTAGGGTGAGAGTAATCAGCAAAGCTTCCAGAAGAAGCTTTACAGGATGAGTAGGATTTCTGCCTGTCAGAGATAGCTGAAGGGAGAAGGAGGCCCATGTGGAAAGAGGGCCTCTCAAGCAGAAAGAACATGGACAAAGGCATCAGCAGCACAGGCTTCAGTCAATCTGGGATGGGATGTACATAAGGTAGTGATGGGATGTACATAAGGTAGTGATGGGAGAAAAGGCAGAAAAGAAAGTTTAGACCCTTCTGTGAGCTCCCTCTTTAATTCACTGGGCAATTAATGAGCAGCCACTGAATTTTTTTTCTTTTGATTTTAAATGAAAGTGCATTTTAAAATGTTTTCTGAAATTGTTTTCAGGCACTTTCATAAAATGTAGTTTAAAACTTAAAGTGTATTGTTGCTATTGTTTAAGATAGATGCCTCTTCAAATCCCTTGTAAAGTGCTGTAAGTGGAAGTAGGATATCAGAAATTTAGAAGCAAGTACATTCTGTCCCCTCCAGCTTTTTAGAGTATTGAATTATAATTGATATACAGTAAATTGCACGTATTAAAAATGTACAACTTAGTAGTTTTGATGTATGTACAGAACTGTGGACCATCATCACAATCAAATAACGTACGTATCACCCCAAAAATTTCCTCAGAGCAATCCACTTTTCCTTCCTTTCCCCACTCTACCTCTTCCCCAGATAACCATTGATCTGCTTTCTGTCACTATAGATTAATTTGCATTTTCCAAAGTGTTATATATATGGAATTATGCAATATGTACTGTCTATGCTACAGTCTAGAAGATGCTTATTTTTTCAAAAGGTGGAGGAATGTTCCAGATTAAAAGACTAAAGAAATAAAAGAAAAAAAATGC